>NW_018654717.1:1843813-2145394 GCF_000001405.40 Homo sapiens
ACTGCAACCTTTGCCTCCTTGGGTTCAAGCAATTCTCCTACCTCAGCCTCCTGAGTAGCTGGGATTACAGTCGCACACCACCACACCCAGCTAATTTTTGCATTTTGAGTAGAGACAGTTTCGCCATGTTGGCCAGACCAGTCTCAAACTCCTGACCTCAAGTGATCCGCCTGCCTCGGCCTCCCAAAGTACTGAGATTACAGGTGTGTGCCACTGTGCCTGGATGTGAATGGGATCTTTCTAAAGCCAGGACCTAAGCTCCAAGAAAGGCTGGGGAGACTTTAGCCCCAGGGTAGATCCCTTCATCTCCCGGCCAGGAGCCTCTCTGGGGGTAGTTTTGATTCCCACTTGCTAGTTCCCACAGGACACTTGTCTGGGTGGCAACGTGGAGTGCCGGAACCTGGAAAGATGCACTTGACCAGCAGGGGAGGGTGGAAGATGGCCCCTTTCACTGCGAGCCCAGGGCAGCCAGCAGCCTCAGCAGAGGTGAGGCCCAGGCAAGAAAGAGGACAGACTGACCTCTTCCATCCTCCACACCTGCACATAGGAACCTCCAGTCTGGTGACCAAGAGAGCAGGTGTCTCCTTGCAAGTCTCAGCCCTCAGACCTTGCCAAGAAAGAGCACCCTTGCTTACTTCAGACAGCACACAGATCCCTGGTCCACGGCAGGAAATCACCCAGCCACATGCTCACACTGACCTGGTGGCAAAGGCCTCTCTGAAAAGGGTCACCCTGTATAAGGCTTGGGCACAGGATGGAGCAGAAAAAAATAGAGCATCTCACGTCCCACCTGACACAGGGGCAGGTGACAAAGCTGCACCTCTCCCTTTGGGAGTTACTAGTCGTCTGGGTGTGCCAGCACCCCCAGATCTTTCTGATCAGAGGAAACCAGATAAAAGCCATAAACGCACTTTGCAGAAGAGTGCCCACCTACACACAAGCTCCCATCCAAGATCAGGAGCTGACAGGCTACCAGGAGACTCATCAGAAGCCCAGGGGCTAGAAGGTCAGAACCAGCTTAATCTATTAAGTGCAGAACATCAAATGTCCTTTTAGATGCTACGTGTGGTTGTGTGCTTCACACATACACAAACATTCTCTGCACTTGAACAACCTCAAGCATCAGGGCCTCCTTCAGTTTTGCACCCCAGGTGTGTCTTTACCTCCCTCTGGTCCTGGCTCAGCATCCCAGGTATCAATCTGTGCAAAGAGGCCAGCAGAGAGTAGAGATGAGAAGGAGCCCAAGGGGACATCCTTGTATCCCATGGTTGTGGAAAACAGTAGCCGTTTTGCGAGTGGGGACTTGCGAACCCCACAGTGGCTGGCAGCAGCTGGTGTAGGGACATGACAGCCATGGGGACAGGTTCTCCATCCAGGCCCACAGGCCCACCCCCCTTCCCCTGCCACCGAGCACAAAGCAGGGTCACCCACCTGGGCCTCCGCTGTCAGGCTCGGGACTCAGGAGAGCCCAGGAGGCAAGTTATTCTCCACTTGTCCCCACTTGGCTGCAGGCAGGACCCTGATCTGCAGTGTGGCCTCAAGACACTCGGCCTCCCCGTCAGTGATGCACTGGGGGCCAGCTTGTGCCGGTATGCTAGAGCCGGTTGTTAAATTCTCAGGAATTTTGTGAGCTGAATTATTCAAATCATTATGCAAGATTAAGGTATAAAAACTATACGGGCCGGGCGTGGTGGCTCATGTCTGTAATCCCAGCAGTTTGGGAGGCCGAACTGGGCAGATCACTTGAGGTCAGGAGTTCAAGACCAGCCTGGCTAACTCTACTTAAAATACAAAAATTAGCCAGGCATGGTGGCGGGTGCCTGTAATCCCAGCTAATTGGGAGGATGAGGCAGGAGAATCCCTTAAACCCAGGAGGTGGAAGTTGCAGTGACCAGAGATCGTGCCACTGCACTGCAGCCTGGGCAACAGAGTAAGACTCCTTCTCAAAGAAAAATAAAAAAGAAAGAAAAAGAAAAAAAAACTATATAAAATTAAAATGATAAAAAATTAAAGTTGAATTATACAAGATACAACTAAATGGATTCTATTAAAACAAAGGTTATAAATACTTAAACCTCATCACTTCCTGATTATTTTTACTGCATCTTAATAATAGCTATGCTTTGAGGTTCTTTAACTGACTGTGTCTATAAGGCGGAAGTACTCTATCGTGCTGTGCTGCTGCGCATCTCGAACCCATGTTCACGCAAGTCATGTTAGCAACTTGAAATTGGCCCTGGTGGGAGTATTTATACAACAGGAACAGGCAAATGCTACAGGTCGGCAGTGATTTGTTTCATGGATTTTCTATGCTTAAAAGAGCATCTTGTCTGTAGCTAGAACACTGTGAGTAGCACAAAACATTGAGGAAACTTTTCTGAATATTGAAAAACTATTACCCAGTTCAACAAAGAAGCCGCTCATGGCACTAAGGCTGCAGCCTGCCCCAACTCTTTGTTGTTTCACTTTGATCTGCTCCTTAACATGAATGAACATTTCAGTGTTTGTGCCAACACCACACTTGCTCATCTGCTGCAACCAATGCTTGGCTACGGATATGACAGTGCAAAGTCACGAGAGCTTTCTATGAGACTCAATCACCTCTGCGGTATTTAGGACAGAGACTATTGCATATTTTGTTATTATTTGTAAATTAAGTGCTACGCATCCTTTATATCAGTACATGTTACTATAAACTTATGTATGTATACAATACATTTGTTTCCTGGAAAGCTGGTTGTTAAACGTTTACCAGGACGCCATGCTCTTCATCTACAAGATGCCTATCTTGACCTCACACTTCCCCCAGTGTGCTGGCAGGTGCCAGAGAGCCCATCAGATAGACAGACAGACAGACACCACAAAGTAGAAATGATTCCTTTCCATGCTAATGTGTTAAAAAAAAAAAAAGAGAGAGAGTTTAGCCTTTCCCATAAAGCACCAAATAAAATCAAGAAAATGGGCTATGACTTTTGACCCTATTTTCGTGTGTAATACTTTTTAAAGGATCCTTTTATTTATTCAAATAAAATAGTAAATAAAATTAAAAGTATCATTTAATTTTTAATTTTTTTCACTCTGTCGTCCAAGCTGGAGTGCAGCGGCAGTCTCAGCTCACTGCTGAGATCTCCTGGGTTCAAGCAATTCTCCTGCCTCAGCCTTCTGAGTAGCTGGGATTACAGGTGCCTGCCACCATGCCCAGCTAATTTTTGTATTTTTGGTAGAGATGGGGTTTCACCATGTTGGCCAGGCTGGTCTCGAACCCCTGACCTCAAGCAATCCTCCCACCTTGGCCTCCCAAAGTGCTGGGATTACAGGTGTGAGCCACCACGCCTGGCCAAAATAAAAAGTATTATTTAACTTTATGTAAAAATCCAATTGCACCACAGAAATGGCAGGAATAAAAGAATCTTAAAATGAAATAATTTATATAAACTTTAACATAAAAGGTAGAGCCAGGCATGGTCACTCATGCCTGTAATCCCAGCACTTTGGGAGGCTGAGGCAGGCAGATTGCTTGAGCTCAGGAGGTTGAGACCAGCCTAGACAACATGGTAAAAACCCATCTCTACAAAAACCAAAATTAGCCAGGCGTGGTGGTGCACACCTGTGGTCCCAGCTACTTGGGAGGCTGAGGTGGGAGGATTGCCTGAGCTGGGGAAGTGGAGGCTGCAGTGAGCCATGATTACACCACTGCACTCCAGCCTGGGAGGCAGAGCGAGACCCTATCTCAAACAAACAAAAACAAAATAAAACAAAACAAAAAAACAGGCCAGGTGCAGTGGTTTATGCTTGTAATCCCAACACTTTGGGAGGCCAAGGCAGGCAGATCACTTGAGGTCCAGAGTTTGAGACCAGCCTGGCCAACATGATGAAACCCTGTCTCTATCAAAAAAATACAAAAATTAGCAGGGCGTGGTGGTGCACACCTGTAGTCCTAGCTACTCGGGAGGCTGAGGTGGGAGAGTTGCTTGAACCCGGGAGGCGGAGGATGTAGTGAGCTGAGATCAAACCATTGCACTCCAGCCTGGGCAACAGAGTGAGACCTTGTCTCAAACAACAACAACAAAAACAAACACCCCCCAAATCAATCTAAGGTGGAATATGTGTAAAAATAAGCTATTTCTATAACTGTAATAGACTCACAGCTGGACATTTGACTGCAGGTTGGCTCCCTCAGTGAATTTTTCTGTTTTGTACACAGATAGGGAACTAATCCTTAGTGAGCACCCTCACTGTATATCAGGCTCTTTCAGAAATGCTGTCCTGCTTGTATTTGTTTATATATTCATTTCCTAGTGTTTCCAGAAAAGATTTGAGACCGCTTATAAAAATACATACAATACAACAGGATAGAAAAACAGATAAAGAAATTAGACCAAAGGGTAAGTTAGGGCAGAAAAAAAAATGTGTATAAAGCTGGTGCACAGAAATACAAACTGTGACATGCTGTCACCAAACTGCTAGTGGTTAGATGCAAATTGGGTTCTAAGTGTCCTGGAGTCCAAGCACAAAGAAGAAAATAATCAGTTTGAAGAGTCACAGTGTCTGTAAGACATCCATTGCTCCAGAGAGGCATGGATTTCCTGGATCTGGAGTCTGAGAGTCATCCTCTCTGGGCTTCTCCTGTGGAGGTCCTGGGTGGAATGCGAACAGCTTAACGTCATCTCAGCAATAAATTCCACTGTGAGTTTCCAACCTCTGTTTCTTATGCAGCCTTCAGCACAAGCCACGGCAGTGTACCCATGCCAAGAAAGAATGCCCACATCTGACTCAGGAAATGAGATTCTCTCAGGATCTCAAGCACTGTGAGATCCAAACACACAGCTCTTGGACTGACTATCTGGATACAGGGGAAGTTCCCAAAATATAGTTACGTATTGCTTCACTACAGGGATCTGTTCTGAAAAATGTGTCATTAGGTGATTTTGTTGTTCTGCGAACATCGTATACAAAACTTAGATGGTAGAGCCTACTCCACCCCTAGGCTCTGTGGCATAGCCGGTTGCTTCTAGGCTACACACCTACACAGCCTGCGACTGTACTAAATACTGCAGGCAGTAGTAACACAGTGGTGAATATTTGTGTCTCTAAACATAGAACAGGTACAGGCAAAATACAGTGTCTTCATCTTATGAGACCACCATCATATATGTAGTCTGTGATTGACCGAAATCTTATGTGCCCTGTGACTGTGTCTAGGTTCATGGCTCTCAATCTTACTAAATTTACTTTCTCTTTTGAGAAACAACAACACCATGCTCTCCTTTGTGAGGTTTCAAAATGAATATTGGGCATAAAAGTAAATCAAAGAAGTTGTCATGTAAGATGTGTCTTTTTGAAGTACAAGGACCCCCTGGTGGTTCTGACATTGAGAATTGAGTGCACCCTGTAAGAAAAGTTGTGTGCTCCTCAGCTTCAACTCACCTAAAAATTAGGGCTTTGTAATTTAATTCTGTTAATCCTGTGATGTGCTATTATCAATGAATGAAGAAATAAGACTGAGAGGATATAATTAACCTACCCGAGACAGGTAAGGCTGCTCGTATACAGTGGGGTCAAACTATTATCATCTCAGGAAGGCACACAGTGACTTGCTCACATTGCCAGGGCTGAACCTTGCACTGGAGCCCTCTGGTTGACAAGGCCAGCCGTCTAACCACTACACTGCAGGACGAGACCACTCAGATGTGGCTGCTTTGTCTGACTTCTATGTCCAAGTCCTTTCCACTTCCTCATATCCACAACACGCTGAGAGAGAAAATTAAAGTATTCTTCCTAGATATTTGACTGTATGATTCCAAATATTTTGGGGTTCACAGACCCCTTTGGGAATCTGACAAAAACTGTAAGTACCCACCTACACAAAAGCTTGTTTACAAGTTCACGGAGCTCAGAGCACCAGGAAACTCATCAGGAATCCACAGACTCAATGCTCAGAACCCACTTCATCCATTAAGCACAGAACCTCAAATGCCCTTATAGACACCACATGGCATTGTGCGTTTCACACATACACAAACTTTTCCTGCACTTGAACGACCTGAGCATGGGAGCCTCCTTACATTTTGCATCCCAGGTGTGTCTTGTTTGCCTCCCACTGGTCCAGGTTCAGCATCCTAGGTGCCAAAGTGTGCAAAAAGGCCAGCAGCTAGTTGTGATGAGAAGGAACCTGAGAAAACTTCCTTGATTACAATGTGGAAAGCACCAGCGCTTTGATGAAGGGGTTGCACAAGCCCCACAGTGGACAAGGAGGAGCCTCGTCTATGTCTTGGGCTCTGGACCCCCATTCCGTGGTTCTGTTCAGTTCTCATGTCTGTGCTTGAGAGTGG
Organism: Homo sapiens; assembly: GCF_000001405.40. NCBI lineage: Eukaryota > Metazoa > Chordata > Mammalia > Primates > Hominidae > Homo > Homo sapiens. The sequence continues at coordinate 1,850,146 of NW_018654717.1, forward strand.
GTGCAACTGCTCCCACTTCACACTCCCAGCTGGCAGGTGCAGAGCCAGACTGACCTGGCTGGCAGGAAGCCCCAATGCTTTCATCTATACCACACTGTCTTACAGGAAGTGGAATGTGCCAGAGGCCTCAGATGCCTCTTCTCTTTCTTCCAAGGGTCCTGTCAAAACCCCAGCATGCTGATGGCACTGGGGTGCACCACGATTAGGGATGATCATTCAATTATCTTTGCTTTTCCTCTTTCAAGCTTTCATCCTCATGTCTTAACCTTGATTTTCATTTAAGGTTTTGCCCTTGTGTCTTTAACTCAAGAACCACTTTACCAGATACCCCTGGTGGGCCAGGCACTGCGCTGGGTGCTGGGACCTGGAGGCACATGTAGGGCATGTCCTTGTCCTCAGGAGCTTTGGTCCAGAGAACCTGGCAGGCCTGCAAACCAGAGCCCTGGGTGTGTGCTGGTGGTTGCTGGGGACACACAAATGGGCTTGGGCACTGTGACTGGGAGGAGACACTCGCACCTGCCCTGGACGTCAGAGCAAATGCAAGTTGCCTAGGTGGGAAGGTGGGGAAGGGATTCAGGCAAGCAGGAGCACGCCAGGGAACATTCCACAAATGGGAGGGCTGCTGTGGGGTAGCAGCAGGCTGGCAGTGGGGTAGCAGATGTGACAGGAAAGGCACTGCAGGCCCACATGTAATCACCAACTTTTAGCTGTGATTTTCCTGTAAGAGTTTTGTGATTGATTTCCATCTCAGTATGTTGAGATTTCCATCTACGTGCTGTCTTCCTGCGGCTTCATCATTTTTTCTTCCTCCTCACCTGCTTTGGAAGCTTTTCTCTAATCAGGCGCAGCATCACCTTTGAGTAGGGCTCACCTGCTCTGCTGGGCCTGCAAGAGGGGCCAGGTTTCTCTGTCTTGCTGTTACCTCTCTATACACGTGAACCCTGCAAGCCAGGATGCTGGCCACCGGTGGCCAGTCCCCAAGGCTGCAGACCCCAGGCTGCAGGTGGGCTCACAAGGTCAGAATCCTCACTCAAATGGGATCTGGCCCTTTGAGTCCCCTCTCTACATCCTAGAGGCCACAGTTTACTCTCGAGGAAGGGCTGTCGAGCCCAGCTCACAGCCACTTGGCTGACCAGATTCTGTGGGGTGGTTGAGCCCAGAGGACGGCAGATTCCTGGCTGGAATTCTGTACTCCCCCAGGGGCCTGGGTCCTCATTCTCTCCATTCCTGGCTTTCTGCTTCCTTCCTGGAGAGGAGTCAGGTCTGGGTAGCTGGGCCTGTGCTTGGGGTGCCAGGAGCCTGCACCAGTGCAGTGAGCTTCGCTGGGCAGATGAGGGTGTATTCCATCCTGCAGCCCCTGCCACAGAGCAAAGGCTCAAAAATGCATGCTGGGCCAGTCACAGTGACTCATGCCTGCAATCCCAGCACTGTGGGAGGCCAAAGTGGGAGGATGGCTTGAAGCCAGGGGTTGGAGATCAGCCCAGGCAACAAAGCGAGACCCCATCTCTTCAAAAAATAAGATTAAAAAATTAGCCAGATACAGTGGCGTACCTGTGGTCCCAGCTACTCAGGAGGCTGAGTTGGGAGGATCGCTTGAGCCCAGGAGGTCAGTGCTGCAGTGAGCGATGATCTCTTGCCACTGCACTCCAGCCTGGGCAACAGAGCAAGACCCCATCTCTGAAAAACAAAAAACATAAACGAAAAACAACCCCCACAAAACCCATTGGACACCAACAACAACAATATAATCATCCATGAGAAATACTATGAAGAGAGGCAAATACAGAGCTATTCTGGAATCAGGTAGGGGTTGGGAGAGAGAATGATGGATGGTCAAAAATTCAAAAGGCCTGCTATATTCCAGAATGTTCAAAGAGAAGGTGTGATCACCAGGCCATGAACGCCAGTTTTCCCAAGAATGCTCAGGATTTGGCTACTCCTGCTCTGAGGAAGAATGAGTCTAATTTTTTTTAACTCTTTATTTTGCAGTAATTTTAGATTTGGAGAAAAATTACAAGGGATAGCACAGAGAATTTCCATATTTCCTTCACCAGGTTCTTCTAATGTGAACACCTTACGTAACCATGGTACATTTGCCAGAACTAAGGAGTAATTGTTACCACAATATTAGCGAGACCCCAGGTCTTGTTAAAATTTCACCTATTTTTCCACTAATGACCTTTGCGGTGTTGCTTTAGGATCCAATACAGGATGCGAATTCTGGGTTTGGGTGTCCTGACCATCATGTCTCCTCTGATCTGTGACGCTTTGCCTGTCTTTCTTTGTTTTTCATGACCTTGACATTTTTGAAGGTGAAATATGTTGTGGAATCTTCCCCAGTTTGGATTTGTCTGATGTTTTCTCATGATTTGACTGGGGTTATGAGTTGGCGGGAAGAACCGCACTGTCGTGGCAGTTCACAATAGCAGCCCAGCTTATTCCCGGTGATGCTAAGCTTGGTCCCTTGGTGAAGCTGGCATCTGCAGGTTTCTCCTCTACAGAGCTACTATTTCTCCCTTTCCATACTCTTAGTCCAAACCTCACTCAAGGTGAGGGGAATTAAGTCCCACTCTCCCGAGGGAGGAGGATATGCACATATCACAGCAATTTCTTCTCTGTTACTGCAAACGCACAATTCCTTAGTTCCTTGGTAATGTGGGTGGATGAGGGTGAACTTCATCCACCCGCATTACCAGATAAATGGAAACGTTGTCAAAACCTTACAATTTACACAAATCCTTTCAAAATATGTGATCAACTATGCTTTCCTTTTCACAGTTGGTGTTTCCTGGTGAAATAGATCTCTTAAACAAGAAGATCATCATTACATCTATTCAGTTACCCCATTCCTGAATGCCTGAAAAATGGAACAACTTCATTCAGAAACAAACAAATAAAACGAAAGCAACAGTCATTTGCCTTGAGCCAGATGCTCCCCGCCTGTGACCACTAACCTCTGTCAGCTCTGCACAGTCAATATCACCTCCTATCAAGAGGCCGAGTGACTCGCCGGGAGCGCAGCAGTGGCCTGTGTGTGCCCGCTCAACCCCCTCTCTACATCCCACGTCCCTTCTCTCCTCTGTGGCACATTCACTGCCTTTTCCAAAAAGCAGAATCTACCCTGGATGGATGACCTTTTATAAATTAAAAATTCTCAAAACTGGAAATGCACAAACCATGGAGAAATCTATTCATAGCTGAGGCAGCGATCCATTCATGCCTCTTCCTCCGTCTGTGGCACCCACAGCAATGTCCTTGCTTGCTTGCCCCACTACAGGCCTTACAGCACCATTTGCACAATTTAAAGGAAGACGATAAAGAACCCGGAAGACGCAGGGCCTCACCTTGGCAATGCTTCAGTGGTGTTTCACCATAGCTCTTCAGATCCCGACACCCTTACAGTGGAGCAGGCTCCTAGCGACAACGAGCAACTTCCAACACCATCCTAAAGCAAAAGCCAGTCCCAGATGAATTCTTCTCATCTCAATCAGTTTTCATGGCTTGTGGCTTTCTGCCGGCAGCAGACAGAGGTGGCAGCACCCCCGGTCTGCGATCAGAGCCTCCCCAGTCCCCAGTGAGCAAGTGCAACAGGGGCCCCGCCCTCCAGCCGAGCCCTTCTGAAGCTCCTGTGGGCTCCCTGGGTTTGGGGGTATCCCTCTGCTCCAGGAAAACTCGTGAGGAAGGACCATGAGCAGCTGCCCTGTCCCTGGCCCTGGGCAACGTGGGTCACAATGCCCTTCTGTCACCAGAAAGTTTTCTCCTGGGGTTTTGGTTTAACAGCACGGCTGGTATTTTTTCTGCACCAAGTCCGGCAGAGTTAGCAAACCTCCATGCTGACTCTACAAGGTAATTTGCCCTGCCGTGTGGACAAACGCTGCAGATCTCATGGAGAGGGCTTGGGCTCTGCCATGTGCCATCTGTGTGCACCAGGGCAGCCGTTCTTTCAGCCTCACTGGTTTTGCTTTGTCTTTAAATGATGCTAATAATAGCTAGCTCACAGGATACTATCAGCATTAAATGGTAGAATGGGTATGAATGGTGGGCATAGAATTGGTGTTTGGTAAAAGCTAATTTCCCATGTGTTTTACAGTACCCTAGCCAGTAGTTAGTTGACTTGGATCTCAGAGCCTCTTCAATGGTGGAAATTTGCTTGGCTATGAAAACTCAGAGGAGTAGAGAACAAGAATAATGGAGGTAACGGGAGAAGGATCCCAACATCTAGAGCGGTGAGTGGTGTCTGGAGTGGTGGGTGGCATCCTGTACACAGCAGTCAAAGGACCAATGGGACCAAGAAGGCTTCTGTGATGACGTCAGAGTCTTGCTGGTCCAGCCAGACACAGTGAGCCACTGGTCAGCTGGTTCCTTTCCACTAGTGTCTTGATATTGGCTTATAAGAGGAAGTCACTCGGTGGGCTCTCTCTTCTCCCTTCATAGTCTTGGATCCTTGAGAGTGGGTGTGGGAGGCAGACAGGGTAGCTTCTACCCCATGGTCCAGAATGTCAGCTTTCTCAAGGAGTTCATTTCCTTGGATTGGACTGAGACAATGCTGAGCTATGAGTTGCAGGTTTGACAGGTGTTCATGTCAATAGACGCAGCAACGCAGAGTTCTGGGGTTTTAAGACACTATGGAAATAATCTGTTTCACTTCCCCAAGGGGTTTTGTGAGAATAAATGGATTCATGCATAAAAAGTATCTATTACAGTATTTAGCACATAATAAACTCCAAATACCTGGAAGCTGATGTGAATGTGGCTAATTGCTTTAAGTCCCAAAGCTGATCTTCTCCACGTGGTAGCAGAGGGCTCACAACAATGTCCAGAACCCTGGGCCTGCTCAGTCCATGGCAGCTCCTGTTAATTTACTCTTACATTCACTTCCTGATACCTACTACATGGATCCAAACATGAAACATGAGTTCCAAACTCTGCGAGCTTCTGATTTAAAAAGTGACTGATTTGAGATGAGGTAACTTAGTCTTCCTATTTCAATTCAATTAATGCAGCACTGTTTTTCTGAACACCTGCTCTGTGCTAAGCACCTGCTGGAGGCTGGGGATACCAACGCAGCTACACTCCATCCTCCTCTGAGAGTCTCAGCCTAAGGAGCTTGGAGAAGGGGCCTGATAAGCAGATCACTGCAGTGGAGCGTAGTAGATGTAGCCACAGAGGCCTCAACGGGGCACAGTGCTAGACCAGAGGCGGAGGCAATAATTCTATCAGGGGTCACTGGGGGAAGCTGCCAAGGAGAAGGCTTTGAACATGATTCGTGACTAAGACTCCTACAGACTCTCAGAGACAGATCCCTAGGCTGAGTCTTTTACTGAACCAGGATGTTGTGACGCTGCCTGAACCGCCTCTAACATTTTTTCAATAGGGCCTAAATAGCTGACGTTTGGACAACTTTTATATACTTGGACTTGAGGGTATAGAGAATGTAGTGGAGAGCAGGAAACCCAGCATCCTACAAAGAAAATACATGGTCTGTCTACCCAAGGTTAGAGTGGGAGGGGATGTGAGAGTTTGCAGGGAGGTGTGCTGGCCCTTATGTGATCTGTGATAAGACATCACCTTTATGCCCACCCCAACAGACAGAGGTTGGAAAATAACAATACCAGACACACACACACACACACACACACACACACACACACACGATTCCAGCAGCCACTCAGAAAGAAAACAAGGAAATGACTTTGCTCATGGGTTCCAGATGTCTGAGCAGAAGTGAAAGTTAATTTCAGCCATTTTCACCCTCACAGTCACGGGCCCATGAGAAAGGCGGAAGAGAGGTGGGGAAAGGACCCCGGGGAGAAGATGGGAACAGTGACACTTGTTAGGGGAGGCTGGGGAGCCTTTTGTTAGAAAACCTCAAAGCGGTTTTCTCAAGGCGGGACTGAGACTAGACCCTAGCTCTGAAACGCCCAGTTCAGCGTTCAGCATCACTGGTTCTGCCATTTATTTTTGTACATTTGAGGTGACTTATGCAAAATTCAGCTCTCCTTCCATGTGCCTTCACCAGCCTCCTAATATCAGTACATCTCTGATCAAAATCAAAAGCTGTAGGCAATAAAGTAAGTGGAAGAAACATAAAACCAATCCAGTCCAAGATTCACCTCAGAAGGGTCTAAGAAGTTGGCCAATTTCTTTTTGAAGAAAACAAGTATAAAACTAGACAAAATTGTCAAAAACAAAAATTTCTGGGTACTAGAAAATGTTTGTTTCTGGGTACTAGAAAAACCAAAAGCAGACAATGATCTGATAAGTGTTTAATCTTAAAAATGGCCTGCGTCAGAATGGCCATGAGTCTACGGACATCTTGCCTGAAGCTCCCCAGCCCCTGGCCTGAGTGAGGAAAAGCACAGGTTACCTAATGGGAATGGTGGACTTGGTTTGAGGGCTGTCACTGAAAACCAGTAGCTAGGCAGGGAGCGGTGGCTTAAGCCTGCAATCACAACACTTTGGGAGGCTGAGGGCGGGGCAGATCACTTGAGGTCAGGAGTTCGAGACCAGCCTGGACAACATGGTGAAACCCCATCTCTACTAAAAATACAAAAATTATTTCGGTGTGGTGGTGGGTACCTGTAGTCCTAGCTACTAGGGAGGCTGAGGCACAGGAATCGCTTGAACCCGGGAGGCAGAGGTTGCAGTGAGCTGAGATCGCACCACTGCAATCCAGCCTGGGTGACAGAGCGAGACTCCACCTCAAACATAAATTAAATAAATAAATAGATAAAAAGAAAACTAGTAGCTATACCAGCAGAAGTTGGTAGATTTGGTCTGGGATGGGGGAGATGAGAATCTGCAGTTTTATGGGTTAAAGTTCATGGAATCAGTTCTAGGGAGAAAATAAAAATCTGCAGCTTTACTGGCTTGAGATTATAGCTTCTTTTCATGGTAGACAGGAGATCAGCCAGAATTGTGATGAGAACTTGGAAGTAAGCAAGCCATGAGAGGGCTGGGACAATAAACTCCCTGCACATCTCTGACTAGGGAAGAAACCCAAAAAGGCAGCAAAAAGTGAGAGCCAAGGGAGACCTGACGATGTGCAAAAATTTTTTTGTTTAGTTTAAAATTTATTTGTTTTTATGTATTTAAGGGGTACAAGTGCATGTTTCTTACAATGCATATATTGCATAGTGGCGAAGTCTGGGTTTTTAGTGTGCCCATCACCTAAATGGTAAACATTGTACCCAATAGGTAGTTTTTTTTTTCCTTCTTTGAGACAGGGTCTCACTCTGTCCCCCAAGCTGGAGTGCCATAATGTAGTCACAGCTCATTACAGCCTTGACTTCCTGGGCTCAAGTGATCCTCTCATCTCAGCCTCCAAGTAGCTGGGACCACAGGCACATGCCACCACACCCAGCTAGTGTTTTGTATTTTTTTGTAGAGACAGGGTTTTGCCACAAAAAGTACCTATCGGAACAAATAGGTACTTTTTCAACCCTCACCCCTGTCTCACCCTCCCACCTTCCGTGAGGACTTGTACATGTGAATGTGTTTCTTCGGCCACACACAGCTCTGGCAGCAGAAGATGGGAGGCTTAGTTGTTCAAGGTACCTGAGCATAACTTCTGTCTAAATAATTGTCTCATCATCATATAATACAAGAATAGAGGACACCTTTAGGGAGCCAGACTGAAAAACAAAGAAAAATATTATAATAAAAACTGCACTGTAGTATCAGTGGCTGCACACCATGGAGGAGATTAATTCTGCAATTTAAGTCCAGAAAAGTTACTAAAACAGAAAACCAACAACTTTTAGGAAAGTGAATGGAATCTAGAATCACTGCAATGTCTAGTTTTCAACCAGGAATTACTAGACATACAATGAAACAGGAAAGTGTGACCAGAAAAACCAACACAGACAGTAGATTAAGACACAACTTCAAAGAAGTTGTTATAGCTATGCTCAAGGAATTAAGGAAAAATGTTCAAAGAATTAAAGAAAATTTTGTTAACAGTGAACCAATAGATACTTTGGATAGATAGATGAAAATTATAAAAAAGGAATCACATGGGATTTCTACAGCTGAAAATTACAAAAATTCACTACATGGGTTCAAGAGCGGATCTGAGACGGCAGAAGAAAGAAGCTGTACATTTGAAGATAGAGCAGAAGTTATGCAATCCAAAGAACAGAGAACGACAAGTTAAGTAAACAGAGCCTTAGAGACCTGCCAGACAATATAAAGTGTTCAAACACAAATGTAATAGGAGTCCCAAAAGGAGAGGAAAGAGAAAGAGGCACAGAACAATTATTTTTTTAAAAAGTTGAAAAGTCTCCATGTGAGTAAATACCATTAACTTACAGAGTCAAGAAACTGAATAAACCCAAGGTAAAAAACAAAAACAAAAACAAAACAAAAAAAAACTTAAAGAGAATCACACCTAGATGTCATAGTCAAAATGCCAAAAGCCAAATAAAGGAGATAACATTGCAAGCACTAAGAGAAAGAGAGAGAAACAGAGATACATCACATTAAAGACAACATGATTGGTGGTTGACTTCTCATCAGAAATAACGGTGACTGGAAGGTGGTGGAATGACATGTTTAAAGTGCTGAAAGAACAACAAAAACAAGAACAAGAACTTTCACCTACAAATTTACTATCTGATAAAACTACCCTTCAAAAATTGAGGTGAAATAAATATTTTTCCAGATAAACAAAACAGGGAATTTAGTTCTGTTGGACTTACACTACAAGAAAAGTTAAAGGCAGTCCTTTAAAATGAAAGAAATTAATATCAGATAGTAAACCAGTTCACAGAAAGAAAAGAAGAGCACTGGGAATGGTAAGCATGTAGGTAAAGTGAAAATATATAATATAATAAAAATATAAAAGGTATATGTATACATTACTTTTTCTTGTCTTATTTTAAAACACACACACAATTATTTAAATCAGAAATTATAATGCCATACTGTGGTTTTATAACTGTGGGTTTATAACACAGTATGGCATATGTACAAATAGAATATACATGACAATAACAGCACAGAGGAGGGAGGGTAAGAAATGAAGCTATAATTGTGCAGTTTTTATTTTTCACCAAAAAAAGTAAATCGGTATGAATTTAAAGTAGATTATGATAAATTGAAGATGCATATTGTAATCCCTGCAGCAACTACTAAGGAAAAAAGATTTAAAGAAACAGAGTTAAAAAAATAAACAGAAGAATTTAAATGGTGTACTAAAAATATTTTAATATAAAAGTAGTTGGCCAAGCATGGTGGCTTACGCATGTAATCCCAGCACTTTGGGAGGCTAATGTAGGAGGATTGCTTGAGCCAGGAGTGCAAGACCAGCCTGGGCAACACGGCAAAACCCTGTCTCTACAAAAAATACAAAAATTAATCGGGAGTAGCTGCGGTCCTAGCTACTCAGGTGTCTGAGATGGAAAGATCATTCGAGCCTGGGAGGTAGAGGTTGCAGTGAGCCATGATTGTGCCACTGCACTCCAGCCTGAGTGACAGAGTGAGACCCTGTCTCAAAGATAAATTAAAAATAAAATAATAAAACTAGTCAAAGAATAATAGAGGAACAAAAAAGACATGACAAGTAGAAAAAATAACAAAATTCTAAATCTAAATCCAAACATAAAAAATTTTATTAAATTTAAAAGAATTAAACACTCCAATCAAAATGCAAAGACTGTTAGACTGAAAAGAAAGCAAGACCCAATTCTATGCTGGCTACAAAAAATAAACTTTAAATTCAAAGACAAACAGATTAAAAGTAAAAGGATCCAAAAAAACTACATACCATGTGAACAATAAATACATTACAACCGGGGTGCCTATATTAATATCAGGCAAAATAGAATTTAAGATAACACATATTACTGGGAAAAAAGGGTGACTTCATAATAAGAAAAGAGCAAGCAATAGCCAGAGCTGTCAAAATTATGTTCATGTACCTTTTTAAAAAGTCCTAAAACACGTGAGGCAAAATCTGACTGAACTAAAAAGTTCAATACACAATATACCAATGATAGTTGAAGATTTTGAGAATTTTCTTCCAGTAATTGATAGAACAAGTGGAGAGAAAGTCAGAAAGGATAAAAAAGATCTGAACAACATTATCAAACAACTTGATTAAACTGACATATATTAGCAATCCACCCAGAATATCCATTATTTTCAAGCTTACATAAAACATCACCAGGATAGACCCTATGTAAGCCATAGGGTCTTAAAGAAAGTCTCAATGACTATAAAAGGAGTAAAATTAAACAAAGTATCTTCTCCAACCATAATGGAATTAAATTAGAAATCAATAACAGAAATAATTTTGTTAAATTTATTTGGTGTAAATTTGTTTGGTGTAAATTAAATGACACACTTCTAAATAACCCCAAAGAAGAAATTAAATGAAAAATTAAGAAACACATTGACCTGAGTCAAAATGAAAGTATAGCACATAAAATTTTATGGCAGCAGCTAAAAAATTAGAGGGAAATTTATAGCTATAAATATTAATACTAGAAAAAATACAAGGTTGGTCTACAATCACTGAAAAAGAAGAACAAGTGAAACACAATGTAAGTAAAAGGAAATTAATGAATTAGAGCAGAAATCAATGAAATAGAAGACAAATAAAAAAAGAGATAATCAGTGAAACCAAATATGGGCTTGATAAAACTAGCTATCAACAAAGAAAAGAGAAGATTCTATTTTCATCACAGAATCTCCAGAAATTTCAGGAATTAGAAGTGAGGGTAAGTTTTCACTTCTCTCTCTCGTCTTCTGGAACTTACAGAATGTGTATTTGTTTCACTTGATGCTATACCATAAATCTCATAGGATTTCTTTATTTTTTTAAATTCTTTTTCATGCCTCTGACTGTAATTTCAAATTACTCGTCTTCGAGTTAACTGATTCTTCTGTGCAAGTCTGCTGTTGAAGCTCTCTACTGCATTTTTCATTTCATTGATGGTATCCTGCAACTCCAGAATTTCTGCTTGGTTCTTTTTTTTTTTTTTTTTTTTAATTATTTCTATCTCCTGAACATCTCCTTTTGTTCATGTACTCTTTTCCTGAGTTCAGGAACTCTGTTTTCTTGTAACTCACTGAGCTTCTTTAAAATGATATTTTGAATTCTTTGTCAGGAAATTCATAGATCTCAATTTTGAGGGGGTTATTCACTAGATATTTATTGTGTTAATTTGTTGCTGTCATGTTTCCTTGATTTTTTGGTGCACCTTTTACCCTTGCCTTGTGCCTTCACATAAAGGAGTAGCCACCTCTTCCAGACTTTACAAACCAGCTTTGGTAGGAAAAGGCCTTTACCTATGGGTGGGCACAAGGGCACTGGCTGGAAAGGGCGTGAGCAGTGCTGGGTTTGGCACAAGGTCCAGGGATGCTGATTCTAAGGCATGCAGAGGTGCCATTTCTGGGTGCACATGGTGATGCTAGGTCTGGCCAGTGGGCACATGGCCACCATTAGTGATGGGTCTGATTGGTGGGTACATATACAATGCGATGGGGTGCAAGAATGCACATGGTGGTGACTCCAGCCCTGGGGGAGGCATAGTGGTGACTCAGGTCCCAGGAAAGGAGCAGTGATGGCTCTGGCTCTGGAGGGCACAGTGCTATGGACTTTGGGCAGCTCTGTCAGCTAGGATGAGCATTGGCGAAGACTCTGTGGTATTCAGTGGCAAAGGCTGCAGGTGCCTGTTGCAGCAAGCAACAGCAGTAAGGGCTGTTAGTGTCCTCAGTTGTAAAGGTTTCCAGGGTCCTGCTATCCTTTTTTCCCATTGGAAGAAGTTGTGACCAAGGGTGTACCTCTTGGCATCCGAGCTGTGCCAGCTTGGGATTGGGGTGATGCAAATGAAATGCTTCCAGCAGTTTTCTCCGTGGCTGTCCTCTGTTATTGCAATCCACTGGGGTGTTGCAGCTTTCTAATTATACTTTGGAGTTCTCTCAGAGCCATTTTCATACATGGGTAGTTGTTAAATCACAGTTGTTATGGGTGAACAGGGGTGGGACTGCCTAGTCTGCCTTTTTGCTGATACCACTTCATCTCTATTTCATTTTCCAAAGTTGGTTTTGACCAACTAAGTTGATTTTCACTACCACTCAGCCATCAAGCCTCACAGGGCAAAAAAACAAAAATAAACCCCCCAAAACCACTGGTGTGGAGTGTTCAGAAGGAACATTTTTCAGCCTTGGAAGCAACTGAGTCCAACAGGATGAGCACTTTACCATCACGCATCTCAAAGTTGAAATTTTAGTTTCATAAACTTACCAGCTGTGAGATTCCAGCTGTGTCAATTCACCACTGAGCCTCAGTTTTCTCAAAAACTGAGATTACAAGAGTTCCTAGAGTTCTTCTGAGAGCAGGCTGTAAAGTGGCTGGCCCTCAAAAGGCAGTCAGAAAATGTTCATTGCCTTTTCTTTTAAATTAAAGGCAAGATGCATGAATAGTGTGGGTCTTTACATGTGTGTCCTCATGTGTCTCTGAAAAAGCTTAATGGTTAACACCTTGGATTCTAGAGCAAGACTCCCTGGACTCGAACGCTGCCACAGACATTCAACAGCTCCAAGAATTGGAAAAGTTGCCCAACCTAGCCGTGGTTAGTTTCCTAGCCTTAAAATGGGGATAGTAGTAATACCTATCTCTTTGTGAGGATTCTACAAGCTGAAGTATACAAAGCATTTAGAATTGTTTCTGACATACAAGACATTTACCGTCGTCACTGTAGCCATGGTGACTGAACACATGAAATGAATGACAGTCAGGAGGGAAACAAGGCTCCTTTATTCTGAACTGAGGTAAAGGAGGGACTCAGAGGGACTCAGTGATTTCCCTTCCCTTCCCTTCCCTTGTCTTCCTCCCTCTCCCTCTGTCTTTCTTTCTCCCTTCCTTCCCTCCCTCCCTCTCCCTCCCTCCTTCCCTCCCTCCTTCCCTCCCTCCCTCCCTCCCTCCCTTCCTTCCTTCCTTCTTTCCTTCCTTCCTTCCTTCCTTCCTTCCTTCTTTCTTTCTTTCGTTCTCACTCTGTTGCCCAGCCTGGAGTGCAGTGGTATGATCATAGCTCATCACGGCCTCGACCTCCCAGGCTCAAGTGACCCTGTCACCTTACCCTCACAAGTAGCTGGGGCTACAGTTGCATGTCACTTTGCCTGGCTTCTTTTTAAAAACTTTTCATAGAGACAGGGTCTCGTCATGTTGCCCAGGCTGGAAACTCAGTTATTTCTAAAGTCCTCCTAAAGTCTGTATTCTGCACATCTCGAAATTCTGTGGATAGAGTTTGTTATGAAGGGCATTGTGTTTCCCTAAAATTCATATGTTGGAGCTCTGACCCTAGCACCTCAGAATGACTATACTTCGGGATAGAGCCCTAAAGGGGTGATTACATTAAAATGAGTTATTTCAGGAGGGCCTGTGTCCAACCTGACTGGTGTCCTTATAAGATGAGGAAGCATATAGAGACACCAGGGATGTGTATGAACAGAGGAGAGACAGTGTGAGAACACGGGGGGAAAGACAGCTGTCTGCAAGTCAAGGAGAGAGGACTCAGAAGAAACCAAACCAGCAGGCACTTTGATCTTGGACTTCCAGCCTCCAGAACTGTAAGACAATAACCTTCTATTGTTTAAGCCACCCAGTCTTGTGGCATTTTGTTATGGCAGCCTGAGCAGACTGGTATAGAGTTCCATGGACAGCCATAGGCTGAGTACTTTAAGCCGACTGCCTACTCTCTGAGACAGTAGACAAAATAGTTTGGGGGCAATCTGTAGAAGACTGTGGATGCTGTTGTTTTTAGTTTTGCCTCAGTGTTTTGTTTGGTTGGTGTTTTTGTCCACCTTTCAAAATTCCCCGTCCCCCTTCCTCCGGTAAGAACAGTGCTCCCTGGTCACAGGGGACAGTAATGACCTGGCGCCTGCTAATTATAATGCCCCACTTCTCTGATGACAGGCATTGCTCCATGGAGTGGTTTTGTGGCCCCAGCATGGCCCCCTACAGCCGTGTGGGGGATTCCCATGCAGAGAATACTCATAACAGCCAACACTGATTGCACTCTTACTATGACCACCTGCTGTTTTAATTTCTTTTCAGGTATTATCTCCTCTAGTTCTCAGACAACTCAGTGAGATACTGCAGTTTCTTTTACTGTTCTCTGAGACGTTAAGTGACTTGTCCAAAATCACAAGGTTAGTAAAAGGCTGAGCCAGGGCGGCAAGCCAGAGAGCCCCACCTCACGGCCCAAGCCCTCCGTGGAGGTCAGTAAGCTCTGGCTGCTGGTGGGTGTTTTCCCGACGACACGGAGACGTCCTGTGTGTAGTCATGGACAGACGCTCAGTGGTTCAGGGTGACAGCACTGGGAGAACAAGGCAGCAGATCCATCCTATTTGATCGCACCCTCCACAGAGTGATGCTGATGTCCTTTACTCTGCTTTCTAGTGGAAGCCACGGGCCTCATTTGGCAGCACTGAGATGGGGCTGGGCTATGAGGACCCATCAAAGTCCCTGAAGATGAGCCTGTGTCCTCCCAGGGCCTTGGACAGGTCGTAGCTCACCTACTCAACTGCAGAGATCCCAGGCCCTGTCCTGAGATAAAGATCCTGATAGGATTCAGTTCTGTGTCACCACCCAAATCTCACGTCTAATTGTCATCCCCAGTGTTGGAGGTGGGGCCTGGTGGGAGGTGATTGGATCCTGGGGGTGGATATCCCCTCATGATAGTAAGTGGGTTATCCTGAGATCTAGCTTAAAAGCACGTAGCACCTTCCCCGCTGTCTCTTCCTCCTGCTCCCCCCGCCATGTAAGACGTGCCTACTTCCCCTTTTGCCCTCCGCCATGATTGTAAGTTTTCTGAGGCTTCCCCAGCCAGGCTTCCTGTACAAACTGTGGAATCTTGTGCCAGTTAAACCTCTTTTCTTTATAAGTTACCTGGTCTCAGGTATTTCTTTATAGCAGCGCAAGAAAGGACTAATACAGATGCCAACTCAGCCAACAACCTGGAGTGCTTCCCTACTGACCTCCTGCCCTGTCAATTTGCAGTTAGAGACAGCAATCATCACCAGACAGAGTGACTGTGTGTGTGAACAATGAACTGATCTAATATTGAGCAAGGCGCAGGTGCTCACTAGGGTTCCTGATTATTTGGACCCCATTGTCACTTGGGGACAATGGAGTTCGTCTCTGTGTATCTGCGGCTTGCTAAGATGCTTCTTTATACCAGAGCTCACCAACCATGGCTGTATCACCAGAACCCAAACTTCTCATTTTCGAGCCCTGATATAAGTGTAAGAGCTGCCATGTGGAATCTCGGGGGCACCCATCCCAGGAGCTGGCACCCTCTGTTGTCTTCCAAAGCTCCCTCAGGGAAAGGAGCCCTCCCTGCTGGAGGTGCTGCCACACTGAGCTATTTGGAGGCCTCCAGAGGTTTCTGAACTACTCAAAGCTAGGCCCCACTCTAAAAATATCCCGGGAACTTTGTCAATAGTGCCTGTGGATTGGTACATTGTTCTCTTGCTCCTACATAACAGCACCCCCTCAAAGAAAAAAAAGAAAGACAGAAATGCCCTATCAGAAAATAAGATGCCCAGTGTGGCTGAGCCCTTGGAGAAAGTCCACTGGCTGCTTTCCTATTTGTCAGCTAACTGAAGCCGGCCTCTGGGCCCAGGACTTATGTGTGGATTTTGTGCAGAGAGCTGGCAATGGCCCCAGAGCCACCTGCAGGGGAAGTTAAGGGCCAGCACAGGCTCAGGCTCGAGGCGCTAGGGGCAGAGAGGAGTGTGAGTGTATTTGAAAGGGAATAGAGCAGGGAGGAGACAGTAAAGAGTTCTAGAGCCCTGCAGCCATGCCTCCGGTAGCCCCTCACCACCTGTGAGTCCCTGTGTTGGCTATAGCTCTGCACCACGCTCTCCAGTCATGTGCCTGCCTGTCTGCATCACATCTTCACTTGGTGTCACTTGGTGCCACTTGGGTGTCAACTTAGGGCTTCAGACCTAATATGTCCAAGACCAAGCTCTCGATTTTTCCTCTTAGACCTACTTCTTCCCCAGCTCAATGACTCAGCAGCATCATTGACTATGTTGCTCAACCCTGAAACCCTGGTGGTCATCATCCTGGTGACTATATTCTCCCAGTCTGCAAATCCTAAGGGCTCTACCTCCACGGTTATCTGCAGTCAACCCACTTTTCCCCATCTCCATTGCTATCAGCTGGGACGAGGCATCAGTTACCTGGACAATTGCCTTCTCTGATCACCTTTAACTCCCCTGCCCCCAGTACTCTCCCGTGAGCCACCCTATTTTGTTTTCTTAATGGTATTTATCAATACCTAAAGGTGCCTGTTGCATTGGTGGATTTGATTGCTACTGCCTTGCCGTTCTTTTCCGCCACTCTACCCCCAGCAACCTCGAACACTCCTTAGCTCATTAAAGGTGCTTGGTCGTAATTACTCAGTGATTAAAGGGACCCTCACACACAGGCCTTATTCTCCCCATTTTACAGGGTCAAGAGAAGGAAAGAGATTTGCTCAGGGTTGCAGTCCAGTGAGGAGTGACACCCAGACTGGATCCTAGGTCTCCCAACCCGCAGTCCAGTCCTCTTTTCTCTCCAACACTTGGCCTTTTAGGAAACATTTCCCAGACTTCCATGCCACAATCCCACTAACTGGTTTGAGTTGAAAGCAGATGTTCTAGGAACTTCAACCCCTGAAGGCTGAGCTGCCACATATCAAACTTTCTCAGTAATTTCAATAATTTAAATGGCAATGTTTATAGCTCAGAAACTCCAGGCCATCCCAAGACCCCTCAGGGGGCCACCCCGCCCTGGTAGGGCCCACCCCTGGTGAGTCATGGCTGAGTCAAGGGAAGCTCTTTCAGGCCTGAATGCCTAGGAGAGTCCTGACCTCGCCCAGGGCAGCACCAGAAGCGGAGACTAAGCCAGCATCACTCGATGGACACAAACCAAACTCCAGGAGCAGGAGGGTGTGGCTGGAGCTGGGGTGGGCTGGGGAGGTGTGGTGGCTGCGGACGTTGGCATGGGTGGGGGGGGTTCTCTCTGGGGAGGTGAGAGAGGTTCTGGATGGGACAGGGAAGCCTGGAGGCCCCCAGAAGATCTTGGAATCTCCTAACTCACTGGGGTGAGGCCCCAAATAGCCCCCACACTACCTGAAATGCTTCACTTTAACTTTTCATTCACAGAGTGCCTTACTACCTTGTTCTAAAAAAAACACTGCACAACTATAATACACCAAATAAAACATTTTTAAAGAAGCTGGTGAGGGGAGGGGTGGAATGAGTCAAAGGGGAAGATAAGAGCAGAGGAGTATGATGGAGCTGGGAGTGGGGACTGCAGGCACGAAGCCTGCCATGAGTGCCTCTCCACGTGATGGGGCGGTGGGTAAGCAGTGTACTGTTTACTCTTATAGCCTCCAGTGGTATGCTGAGTTGATCACGACCCTCATACTTTCAGCCTTCAACACCCCAACACTCCTTATCTAGGAGCCAGGGTGAAGAGCACAGCCCCACCGTTCATGGATCCATGTCCAAAAGGGAAAAAACAGCCAGCTGTTCAAAGAAGCCCAGTTCTCCTGAGGTTGAGATCACACAAAGTTCACCCAAAATTCCGGAATGTCTGGTGAGTCCCCTTGGGGGGGATGCTGTGTAATGTAGGACATGACCCCCCCCGTGTGGCAGACTGTCACAATTACTACTTGAGACCATCATTATAACAGTTACTGCTGTTAGTAATTGAGACCGTCATTACGAGACTGAACGAAGGAGGACAAACACAGAAATGAAAACTTAAAACAAAAAAAAACTCTTTTAAAGAAAAGGGCCAGGGGAAGAAGAAAAGAGCTCCCTACTTCTAGTGAGCAAAGCAGTAGCCCTGAGCTTCTACAGCCCTTCGTATTATTGGGGAGTGAGAGCAGGGAGGAGGAGGTAACGATTGGTCAGCTGCTTGATTGATCACAGGTTCACGTTATTGCTAACAGGCTTCAGATTTGCCTAATCACAAGAAACACTTGTGCCTGGGTTGTGACTGCCCTCAGCATTCCTTCTGAGCTGCAGACGCAGTTTGTCAGTTTGCCCAACATCCTGCTCTCATGAGAATAGTTTGCTGTTTACTCATATAGCGTCCAGTGGTATACTGAGTTGATCACGAACCTCACACTTCCGGCCTTCAACACTCCAACACTCCTTACAGAAGCCCAGAACGAGGCTCATGGGCTGTTTCCTGTCCCACACTACATGCCAAGGGGCGGGAAGGCCCAGGGAAAGCAGAGTGGGCAGGAGAATCCATGGACCCCATTTGAAGACCCTTTGGGCCTTGGGTCCTTTTTAAAACAGGCCTTGGACAAATCATTTTAACTCTGGAGGCTCAATTTCCTCATCAATCAAAAGAAAATGATACATTTACAGAATGACTACAAGGGTCCCAGCTACTCAGGAGGCTGAGGCAGGAGAATGGCGTGAACCCGGGAGGCGAGGCTTGCAGCGAGCCGAGATCGCACCACTGCACTCCAGCCTGGGCAACAGAGCAAGACTCCATCTTAAAAAAAAAAAAAAAGAATGACTACAAGGAAGAGCAAAATTACAAATATCAATGCATTATAAAGCCATAATAATTAAAATAGTGTGGTATCAATTAACTCAGGAATATACAGCTAGATCAATAGAATTGAATAGAATGACCCATGCATATATTGAAATAAAGTGTATTAAAATGTTGGCATTTTCAACCATCAGAGAAAGGATAAATGATGCAATAAACAGCTCACTACATGACGATGGAGTACTTGGGTATCCATACAAAAAAAAAAAAAATTACATGCTCACCTAAGTGGTAACAAGAGAAATGAAAAGTAACAGTAAGATATTGTTCTCCCATATCACACACAAAAATGTCAGTCACTATCAGGAGTTGGCTTGGTTCATAGGTAAACAGGTCCCTAGTGGTTGGCATATACATGGTTACATCGATATATAGAGTGAATTCTGTCAGTCTCTAGTAAAACAGAACATGTGCTGGCCCATTCACCTAGGATGTCACCTCTGGGAGCCTGTGCTCGAGAAGAATGGGTGAACAGGATGCTGTCTCAGTGCAGTGACTGAGAACAGCTGAAATGCCCAACAGGAAGGGAGTGGGTTGTTGAAGTGGCTTAAATCTGTGTGTATCAATAGCAAATGCCAAGCTGGGTGCAGGGGCTCAGGCCGGTAATCCCAGCACTTTGGGAGGCTGAGGCAGGCAGATCACATGAGGTCAGGAGTTCAAGATCAGCCCGGCCAACATAGTGAAACCCCGTCTCTACTAAAAATAAAAAAATTAGCTGTGTGTGGTGGTGTGTGCCTGTAATCCCAGCTACTCAGGAGGTTGAGGCAGGAGAATCACTTCAACCCAGGAGGTGGAGGTTGCAGTGAGCCAAGATCGCCCCACTACACTCTAGCCTGGGTGACAGAGCAAGACTCTGTCTCATAAAAATCAAACAAAAAAAAATCAAAATACCAATTGCAAGAAACAAAAAAAAGCAAATTGCAGAGCAATGCATATAACTATAATGTTAAAACCATTAAAAAATACAAATAAACAAAATAAAACTGTATGTGCTTTATATACACCTGCACGTAGAAGTCATAACAACGGGTTAGGGAAATATACCCTTAACTCATAGTAGAGATTATTATGGGGAGGAGGAGCCAGAAGCAGCTTTGAGGGGTGGGGGTTGGTTAAAAAGGGCTTAGCCTTACCTATAATGTTAGAATTTTCTAGAAGAAGAATCAATTTACTTACATCTAGCATACTTTTAAAAATAATATGGGCTATGAAAAACATAGAGGAAATTATGCTGAAATGTCAATAGCAGTTCGTTATGGTTCATGGGAATATAGATGACTGCTATTTTCTTCTGGGGAGAAATTTTTATTTTTCCTTTTTTTCAAATTTCCGACATCCAAAAAGAAATGGGACAGAAACAAAAACTAAAGGATCTATTTTTTAAAAAAAATCTAAACATATGATTGAAAAACGATAAAGAAATACGTGTGCTGAGTGCCGGGTGTGACTGGTGCATGCCAGCCACGGCTGCTGCTTCATATGGCGGACTCTGGAGAAAACAGAGGACTTAACTGTGTCCTGGGACCTGAAATTCCCCAGTTAGATGGCTCGGGGTAAAGGATCACTCTCTTTTAAAAAGCAAACATTCTAGAAGGATCTATCTAGGAAGCCAGTGCTTGGCCTCCCCTAACTGGGTTTCTTTCCTTTGTGGTAGCCAGAGTGGGTCTCCCTGAGGTAAGGAAGCCTCATAAGATGTCCAAGTGCAAGGAGTAGTAGGATTAGGTGGAAGAGAGAAGGATAAAGAATTCCCAAGCTGGAGACAGCCCTGTGGGATGGAGTGCAGGCTCCATGGGGTGGGGGCATGGGGTGCGGAGCACAGGCTCCCAGAGACCCCCCAACAAGGGCTAATTGAACAAGGCTATGGGAATTCGGGTGGGAGCTGAAAAGGGAACGGGAGGGGGCTTTGAGTGCTTCCGCCAGAAAGAAGGGGATGGGAGAGGATGGACGCCTCCTTCAGAGAAGGGGCTGAGAGGAAGGAGGGGGTGGGTGGGCCTTGTTCCGAGCCCTTCCTGCCTAAGGCCTGCCCTTCTCCTCAGCCGTGGCCTTCAGCCACTTGCTCCTCCCTGGCAGGAAAAGCAGACCCTCAGCTCCCAGACCCTTAACTCCCCTCAGCTTTCCTCAGCTCCCAGAGGAGCTGCCTTTCCTCACCTGACTGCCTTGGGGACCGGCTCTGTGGTGGGCAAACAGGCCGGGCTGGGCAGGCCCAGGCCCAGGATAAGTCCAGGGAACGGAGGCCTCTTTGTCTTTGCGGATCCAGGCCGATGTCGCCCTTGGCCTCGGTTCCTCTCCTCAGGGCCTCCCCAGGGGTGGGTGGCCCCAGCTTTGCTCAGACACACTCTCCCTTCCCACCACCCCAATTTCTTTGTCACAGACTCAGGCCCTGCCTCCTCCCTGGCACCCCCACTCCAGCCCAAAACACCATCTCCCAAACAAGGCACACAGGAGAGCGTTTTAGGTCTACATAGGGCTCTAAGCCAGAGGCTGCCTAAGTTCCCACCCTGTCGCTCAGGCCAAGGCAGTGATCCCCCCAGGAATGGTTTTAAGGCCCTGGGGCCCCGTGTTCCCTTCCTTGGCTCTATCCTCCCCCACCCCGGCTCACATGAATCTCCAGAAACCCAGGTGCAAACACCTGGGCTCCCAGAGGCTTTGGAGGGAGGTGGGGCAAGTCATAGAATTTTCCCAAGTTGTCCTATGTCTGAGCAGAAAACACTTGCACAGGCCTGGCTCCTGGCTCAGGGCGGAAGGCTGTGGGAGGATAAACGCCGCCATCAAGCCTGGGCAGGGACTCATATTTGCTACCAGCACTGGGTGCTAGGGAGGTTGGTGAGTCCACGCCCAGCTTCCCCTGTGGCCTGGGGGCACCTCGTGAAGGGATCTGAGCCTCTCTGTCTATAGAAAGGATGCGTCAAAGTTTGTCAAAGTTTGCCTTTTGCCGATTTCCCGAGAAAGAAGATGGAATCTTCTACAACTCCATTTTAGCTCCTTAGAAAAGAGGCAAGATCACACAATCCCATTAAAAACAGTGGGGAGATCCATGCCTGTCCTTCTGTCATTGACTGGGGATGGGGGAAAGCCGGGGGGCGGGGGTGGGCACTGGTGGCCACATCACATCAGCAGTGAACTAAGGGTGCTGCTTCCTCTGGCCTCTCCTTCCTCTCCTCCTGCTTCATTCCTAAGGTTGGAGAGGACAAACGGCTTGGCTCACACACCACCCAGCCCGGCACCAACTACCCATCTGGAACATTCCTGGCTTCCCTGGGTTGGCTCATCTCCCACCCATTCCTTCTTCAACAGAGGAAACTAAGCAGAAGGGTTATTGAGAATGCACGCTCATTCATTCATCCATTTGTTCACTTGTAGAAGCATCATTGATTACGTACCCACTGCATTCCAGCCCTGCACTAGGCACTGGGAACATTCCTTACTCAAAGATGAATAAGAAACCACCCCTGAGCTCATAGGACTCGTAGTCTACTGGGAGGATAACCAAGAGGTCTGCGTCCACAGGGGTGAGTGTGGGAGTGGCAGGTATCCCAGGTGATAGGGAAACACAGGTGAAGGGCAGCAATTTGAGTTGGGGGAGGGGACATAGAGCAGGGGAAAGGAGCTAGAATCAATACATTTAGGGAAAGATTAGAGAATCTGTGTGTTCTAGGACCTGCAAATAGGCACATCTGACCTGATTGAGTCAGATCATATAATTGGTACTGGATATGTTTGTATGGGTGTGCTTGTGTGGGGTGGGTTTTTAAAACGTAATGGCTCTTCTGATGGCAAGAAGACTTTTGCAGGAGGTTCAGAAGGAGTATGATGTGTAAAAGGTTGGATCTCAACTGTATTTTAATCTTGGCTTCTGCTTGATTTCTTTTGGGCCTCATCTGATTTCTTTTAGACTCTGAGATCCTAGAAGCCTGAGTGACTTGCGCAGCTGAACATCAGGGTGAGAAGGCCCAGCTGGGGGTGGGGTGAGGTTGAGAGGCTTTTATGCAGACACTCTAAAGTATTTGCAATTGCCAACAGATCGTTTTTCCTCTTGGAAAACTTCTAAGAAAATCCAAGTCCTTCAACTCTGTGAGCATGCACAAGGGTGCAGAGAGGCCCATAGGGAAACCGAGTAGGAAAACTGAGGCCAGGCTGGAGGGGCACAGGGAGGGGGTCCCAGAGGAAAAGCCGAGGAACCTGTCCTAAGGTGGGGGCACCACGGTGGGCCTTGGCTGCAGAACTGTTAGCCCCAGGCTGGTCTGGCCCTTCCTGCAACCACTGGACTGCCCAGTCTGCTGGATCAAGGCCTTTATGAGACAGTAAGAGGGGAAGAGTCCTGCTCATTTGTTTATTCTGACAGTGTCCAGGGGACTCCCATGGGCTCCTCACTCCAGGACACTTGGCTGCTGGGCAGAGTGCAACCCACTCTGAACCTTTCTCTCTTCCCTTCCTTTTGCCTCCCTTCTCCCTCTCCCCTCCCCTCTCCTTCATGTCGCCTTCGCTGTTGATGTTATTGTGATTCTTCTTCTTCCTCCCCCTCCCCCTCTGCCTCCTCATCTTCCTCCTTACCCCCTCCTTTTCCTCTCCCTTTCTCCTTCCTACTCCCTGTCTCCTCCCCGTAAGCCTATGGCGTCATCCCACAGAGCCATTTGTCCAGGAGGGCTGATTGTGAAACATTTTGATCAGACCATGAAACATCAGTGGGTTCTTGCAGAAGTGATTTCTCTGTGTGTTCATCAGTCTGTCCTCTGCACTGTGGCTTCTCGCATCTTCCAGGACCCTAGGTAAGCCCATCTCTGGGTGCCTGTATTGATTTTTCTCTTCTTTTCTGCCTCTAGTTCTGTCTGTGAAGCAGAAACCAAGTCTCAATCCTAAGATGTGAACCATAGCCTGGCAGCTGACCAGGTTGGAGTGGCTTGCTGCTTTCCTGGGCCAGGAAGTGCTCTGGAGTCTGTGCCCAAAAACTGTGGCTGAACCACGGGGCATGTTTGTCTGTTCCATGCGCCGTCCTGTTTTGCTGGTGTCAGGTTCCAAACAGGGCTACCTCATGCTCTGGGAAGACAAACAAGGCAGCTAAGATATCCAGGAATGCTGCCAGTTTGCTTGTTGAATATTTGTTCATGCTGTGCCTGGTACCAGAATGAGTGAAAGCCACACCCCTTTCCAGGTGGTGCGCAAACCAAGAGCAGTTGGCGCGCAGACGTGATAAAACAGTGTTGGCCGGGCACGGTGGCTCGTGCCTGTAATCCCAGCACTTTGGGAGGCCAAGGCAGGCGGATCACCTGAGGTCAGGGGTTCAAGATCAGCCTGGCCAACATGGTGAAACCCCGTCTCTACTAAAAATACAAAAAATTAGCCGGGCATGGTGGCGCATGCCTGTAATCCCAGCTACTCAGGATGCTGAGGCAGGAAAATCGCTTGAACCCAGGAGGCAAAGATTGGCAGTGAGCTGGTATTGCGCCACTGCACTCCAGCCTGGGTGACAGAGTGAGACTCTGTCTCAAAAAAAAAGAAGAAAGAAAGAAAAGAAAAAGAAAAAGAAACAAACAAAAAAACCACCATTCCCTGTGTGCTACTCCCTGTCTAAGACTGTCAGGCATTTTCTAGGCGTTAATTCTAATCCTCACAGTGAACTTCATGGTAGCTCTTGGTACTGCCAATGTGTAGAGGAGGAAACTGAAGCTCAAGAGACTAAGGGATTTGCCCAAAGCAGCCTGACAGCAAGGGGCAGACCCAGGGATAGAACCGCACCCTGCACTGCGTACACTTCCTCCCCACCTCCCTGGCCAGGATGGGGATGGGAAAGAAGGTGTGCGTTCTTTTTGTTTGAACATCTACGTGGCAGTGGGTTAGAGCTGATTTTAGGAGAGAAGTTACGTATAAGGGAGGCTTTGTCCTCAGTATCTCTTCGGGGTACAGTTGTTGAAAAGAGGTTGAATATTAAGAGCCCAAGTCCCGTTTCCCCAAAAATCCCCCCCAGCACTGGTGAATGACAGGCAGTCCTTCTCTTTTAGCACCTTGTTTCACTCCTGCCTCCAAAGCCTGCCTCATGTCTCGGCCTTCCTGATGACAGAATGATCATCCCTGTATGCAACAAGCTTCCCCCCACACCAGTGTTCATCAGTCTGTCCTCTGCACCTTGGTTTCTCAAGGTATCATCAGGGATTGGCCGATGGAGATGAAATGAGCCCCTGTGTCCTCGCTCCTGCATCACTGACGTTGCCGTGGGCTATTGAGTTGGAGAAGACATTGGGCTTCCCTGTCCTGGCTTCCATAAGGGGCAGAGCTCTACTGCAGGTCCTGGTCTTGCCTGCAGGTCAAGGGCCACCTCACCCTGAGTTCAAGCAGGCTCTTCCCCAGGATGGGGGTGCCGCCTTGTTCCTGAACATCCTGGGCTGGCTCTCATCCCAGCCTCAAAACCAGCCTGTTTCTTTTATCTTGCTGGCCTTGATTTATAGTAACTGCCAGACACCACTAATTGACAGTTCCTGGTCCGGCCTCCTGCCTCTGCCCAGCAGGATAGAGTCTATTCAGCAGGTGCAGAGTGTCATGGAATCAGGAGTCAGAGGATGGCAGAGCTGGAACCACTCGTTCTAGTGAAAAGAAAGCCATCCAACCAAAGGAAGTGATTTGACAAAGTTCCAGTTAGTAAAAGAGCCCACCCTGGAACCTGGATCTCCTGGCTCCTACTCAGGGCTCTTTCCATTACTCAAAGTAGCCAGGCTCACTGGGTGAGAGGACTGCTTAGAATCACGTCTAGAAGGCTCTCCCCTGCCCATCAGGGTTTCCAGTCTTCTGTTGTTAGTGGTGACATTTCTGGTGCCCTTCAAATGCTGTGCATGCAAGAATCGCTAGAACCCAGGAGACGGAGGTTGCAGTGAGCCGAGATCACGCCACTGCACTCCAGCCTGGGCAACAGAGAGAGACCTTGTCTCAAAAAAAAAAAAAAAAAAAACCCAAAAAACAAAAAACAAAACAAAACAAAAACAAATGCTGTGCATGTTCAGGAGGCCTCCTTCCAGCTGTCACCAAGGATGTGCTGGTGCTGGGCATTCCACAGCATATTCTAGAAGATGTTCTTACAAGTGTTCACAAGATAAAACAGCAAACTCCACAAACTCAAAGACATCACAATGGAGAGGGGCAGGATACGGGAGGTGATCGCTCATGTCTGTGTGCGGTGTGCTGCGTAATCTGCTCCTTAAACAAACCAGCAAGAAAGGCTCAAATCAGTCCCAGCCTGACATTTGAGAGGCCCAAAGTGAATGCACAAAGGGAGGCCCACATGCCGTGTCTCTAAATATTTGAAAGTTATAAATCAAGTTAATAAACTGGAAAATAGGTTTCGTTCTTTCCTCCTGCCTTGACAAATATGCCTTTATAACAACTTCAAAAGCAAGGCTCTGATTTGCATCCTTGGACCCTTGAACAAAGAAGGGAGGTGGGAGTGAGGCCTCAGGCCCCACCTGTGGCCCCCCTCTTACTTTTCCCACCCAGAGCTTGGACAGGGGAGCAGCTCAGCCTGAGAGCGCAGCCTTCATCCAAACCCCATAGACCAGGAAGAGGCCACACAGGCCTGAACGTGGCCCATCTGAGCAGGAGATCCCTGGGCCCTAGGTCCCAGGTGGAAAGGAGGGAGTGGATTCTGAGAGGACACCCCCTGACCCCCGGCCATCTTGCCTGGAGAAAGCGCAGGGCAGGGTTCTCTAAAACCCAGCCCAGGCAGCCCTCTCGCTCACGGATCAAGGCAGTACTATGAACAGTAAAATCATTTCCATCTTATTGATGATGTAACTGTAGCTCAGAAAACTTAAGTGACCGCCCATGGTACATACTAATCACCAGAGGAGCTGGGATGCAACCCGGGTCTGCCTGACTCGTGGTCCCCTGCTGTCACCACCTCTATTGCCGTCCCAATGTCATCATCACCTGGGACATGCGGGGGGCCTCATCACCTTGAGCCAGCAGAAACACAGAAACAACCTCTGTGTGGGCCTCCTGTCTCAACCCCTCACCTGCCCAGCTCTTCTGAGCTAGGAGAGCCGTGATGCGCTCCTTCCTCATCCCCTGCCTTTGCAGTTGCGCCGAGCCCTGCAGCTGTGCCCTTGTGCCCGCCACTCCTCACCTCGGCCGCTGAGCAACCTCCTGCTCTGCACAAAGCCTCCGCACATGCCCTTCCAGATGCAGTTCCCTCTGCTGCCTCAGAGTGGGCACCTCTCCTAGCTGAAGCCCACTCCTCCGCCTCACCTAGGCTCAGGTGGAATCTGTCACCTCCCTACTCCAGCACTAAGGTGGACGCTCTGTGTGGTGACTGCTCTGTTAATTATCTTCCTACCAAAAAGCCACGTGCGCCACACTCCCGTGTCTAGCCCCCGGGTGGCACAGAGCCAGCCGCCCCTAAATGGAACTAACAGGTTCCCTAGAAGACAGAAAGCTGGCCCTCATTGTCCTTCTGAACTTCAGCCTGAATCAGCCTCTTCTGAGAGATGAGAGCAGGGAGGAGCCATTGCAGCTGAACATGCCTAAGACAGTCACTTCCCGCTTCTTCTTGAAACTCTGGGCCCACGGATGGACAAGTCCCTTCACAGGAAAACAGCAGAGACCGGTGGACTCTGGCCCTGGGCTGAGAGTCTTCATTGCTGCCTGGAGCAGGGCAGGGATGTCGCCACCCTTAGTGTCCTCTGTCCCACAGAGCCCAACAGAAATTTCATCCTTCCTTCTCTTGTATCCCTAGAATCCAGGAATCGCCTTCAAGTAGCTTATAGACTCAAAAGGGATCAGGAGAGACTGATTTAGAGAGGGCTTTGTGCCCTGAGAGTGACAAGAGAGCAGAGTCTGGTTCCAGCTGTGCATTTGGAGCTCCCCTCGGGGGAAGGCCAGTCCTCACGAGGTCTGCCAGGCCCAAGGGCTCTGCCGCAGCACCTGCCCTGCCCTGTCTCTGATGTCATCTCCCACCCATGCTCTACTCCCTGCCTGCTGCATTCTGGCCTCGAGGCACCCATGCTGGCCCCTGATTGTGGCAGGCACGTTTGTTGGCCCAGGGCCTCTGCACTGACCCTTTCCCTAGAACACCCTTCCCCGAGACACCACAAGACCCCCTCCATCGTCTCCCTCAAATCTTTGCTAGAAAACCACCTTATTAGCGAGGCCAGCCCTGCCTACCTTGCCTGAAAACGTGCACACTCTTCCCCTCCTCTGCCATTACTTCCAATCCAAGTCTACAATTCTGTTTTTCTATCACTCACAATATTGCTTATTTACTTAGCGTATTTGTCGGTCATCGTCTGCCTGCTTTCCTCTGCTAGATTATCAGTTCTCAAGGGCGAGGTCCTTCATCTAACTTGTTCACTAACATTTCCCAAGAGCCTAGAACAATGTCTGGTATTTAGTGGTACTAATACGTATTTATTGAACAGATGAATAAACGAATTGGGAGAAATTCTGAAAGAATATTTTAAGTTTAAATCTTTTATTTATTTATTTATTTATTTATTAATTTATTTTTGAGACAGGGTCTTGCTGTGTTGCCCAGGCTGGAGTGCGGTGGTGCAATCATGGCTGACTGCAACCTTCAACTCCTGGGTTCCAGCAGTCCCACCTCAGCCTCCCAAGTAGCTGGGACTTCAGGTGTGTACCACCATGCCCAGCTGAGTTTTCTTTCTTCTTCTTCATTTTTTTTTTTGTAGAAGTGGGGTCTCACCATGTTGCCCAGGCTGGTCTCCAATTCCTGGGCTCAAGCAATCCCCCTGCCTCGGCCTCCCAAATTGCTGGGATTACAGGTGTGAGCTACCATGCCTGGTTGGGCATTTTTCTTGACTCATCTATTTCACAGCTTCCTGTAGGATTATAAGAGGCAATGTCTCATGCATCATGCACCAACGGAAAGAAAACTTCTCTGTAAGGAATCAAAGGGAAGAGAGAACCTCTAGGTGGCCTTGCCTTCTCTGGCCCACCCAGATCCTCCCACCATCACTGGGTTTCAGTGTGCCTGACACAAAAGGAAGTGCCATCAGAAACACCAACACAGTGCCATCTTCCCTTTTGAGTAGTGTTTCTTGATGTTTCTCATTACAAAACGATTCATTGTAGAAAACGAATGCAGGCTTACAGAAGACATTTTAAATCCTCCATTATCCTGCAGCCCAGAGATAACGACAGCTAATATTTGCATACACTCTTCCAATCTATTTTCCCATGCATACATATGAATTAGATATTGGAATGAGAAGTTTCATAATGTACACAGGATTTGGTGTCCCAGTCTTATTTACTTAGCGTTAAATCGTTAGTATTTTTCTATATGATCAAATAGCTTTTGAGAATATTATTTCTATGGCTACATACCATTCTGTGCTAACTCATTTATTTGACCACTCCATATGATTTCACGTTGGAGTTGAGGCTACTCCAACCAAGACTGCTCTTCCTCCTCCCCTTCCTCTTTCCTCTGGCCCACTCTCCTCCTGGTCCCCATCACTGATTACCCTCCTGCCCGCAGACAAATGCCAGGCAGAATGGGAGCCACAGGGCAAGACACCACCCTTGCCTTGGACAGGCTGCCTGTCCATTTGAGGCATGCCACAATTCCCCCATGAGAAAGCATCTGCACTCCCAGAAATAGAAGCCATAGGTCAAACAGGGAGCCAGGAGGTAGAGGTGGGACAAAGCATTTCCAGATGGGGCTGAATGGCCCATCCAAAAAGATCTTGGAGCATTCACCACGTGCCAGGGCCATGGGCACACCAGTGAGCAATGCAGCCAACTAGGGCTCAGCACCGGGGCTGTGGTCAGAAACAGCCAGCACCCAGAAGGATGCTTTATCCCCAAGTCCAGATTGAGGCTCCTGCTTGCAAACATGGTTCATGCCCTTCCGGAGCCTACTGCCTCAGAGGGAGACACATACTAATCAAATAACCTCACAGGTAAACTTGGAATTATAACTGGTCCATGAAGGACATAAGGCAGGGGGCTGCCAGCACCTGTAACCTGGGGTTCCCTTAGGAGGCAGAGCTGCAGCAGCCTGTCGGGAGGAGCAGGTGCACAATGGGACTGGAAGAGGGTCTGTTGTCTGGGGAGCAGGGTCTGTGCAAGACAAGGCCCTAGAGACGGACAGAGGCCAGCCAGGCCCCTGCAGCCAAGCTAGCTCTTAATCCTCAGAGGACTGGGGGCGTTGAAGGCCTTTAAGCAGAAGCAGCTGAGACTGGATTTCCATTCTTAAGAGTTTCCCCTGTTTGTGGAGGAGTAACTGGCTTGGCAGGCGCTGAGAGAGGGTAAAGGGAGATCAGTATGGAGACTGCGTGCACGCTTGGACCCGGGTGGCAGGTCCCAGAACTGGGTAGGGCAAGCTGCTGGTGGCTTGGGTAGGGACAGTGGCAGCGGGCAGGAAGAAGGAAGGAGTGATGTTTAGGAGCTGGAATCAGAAGATCTGGATCAAGGCTGTGACTCTCCAAAAGATGCTTGTTAATACACCCGCTAGCTTAGGACCGTTCCCTCATTAGCATGACTAGGTCTGTACTGGCAAGATGTCTCCTTAGACGACGTCCCTCAGAGGACCTTCCAGTGAAGGTCAGAAAGGAAGGGAGTAGGTCAGGGCTGGATGCGGAGTTGCAGTGAAGGACGCGGGCACCAGAGGGCAGCACGAGTGTCTCGGGCCCCTGCAGGGGCTAAGACCCCACAGAAGGCCCGACCAGCCGCGCACCTGCCTGGAGCCTGCGCCAGTCACTTTGCAGCCCCACCACTCAGCTTCGCGTCTGGCCATGTAGGCGGCGCCTGCGCGCACGCCCAGGGCTATCGTGAGAATGGCAGACTGGAGCCCTTTGAAAGACGCTTCCAGCCCCGGGCATCTAGGAAAGGTGCTTGATGAGGTCTGGGGTAAGAGACCCCCATCCAGTAACCAGCCTTGGGGCCTCCAGTGTCTGGCCTGGGCCCCTCGTCAGAAGCTGGGACTGGTCCTGAAGACCTGCGGTCCGGGCAGCTCGGGCTGCTGTCCTGCCTGTGCCTTAGGGTTTGCAGCTCTGGGCTCTGATGCAGCAGGGACTGGGTCTTAGAATCTAACGACAGCCAGAGGTGGCCGATGCCGCGCCCCTGGCGGGACAGACACCCTGTGGTTAGTGGGGCAAACGCTCGCGTCTTTGCACCTCAGTTTCCTCATCTGGCAGCCAGAGATGCCTACACTTGCCCTGCTGGGTCGTCGGGGGGCGTGGCCCACGGTAGGCGCTCGCGGGCAGTCGTGGCCGCGGGTCCTATGAACTCCTGCCGTTTGGGGGTGGGTGAGGCCCTGGGCGTGGGGTCCCCCTGCGCCCTCCATGCGGACAAACTTCTGACAGTGGCGCAGTCACGTTGCCACAATTGGGGGAAACTGCCTTGGTTTCGGGTTTAATGAGAAAATGGATGTTTGGGTTTGGTTTCATCTGAGGTTTGGCGAAGGCATGCAGTTCCTCTCCACTCGCGGGGGCTGCCCGGGCCGGTGAACCGACAGGGCGCTAGGACCCGGGGCGCGCTCGGACCCGGGGCGAGAACGCGAGGCCGGGATCGCGGTGAAAGGCTCGCGGCGGAGAGCTCGGCCGTCGCCAGGCAACCGCCCTGACGCAACGCAGGGGGAAAAAAAAAAGTCCTTTCCGAAAGGAGCAGCGCCGAGAATTCACCGGAGCTCGGGGAGGCGAGGCGGGAGCCCTGAGCTGAGGCCGGGCAGCGCGGACCCGCGCAGGAGGAGGCGGCGGGGACACCGGCGAGTCCCCAGCAGGGCCCCTGGGCTCCCGGAAGGTGGGTTCGCGCCGGCGGCGGGGACTTTCCCAGGGACTGGGAGGTGTGGCCGCGGCGGGCGGCGCAGTCTGGGCAGGGGCTGAGGCGTCGCAGGTCCCCAGCGCGAGCAGTGGCCCGGAGCAGCCCGATCCCAAAGCGCCCTGGAGGGGACGCGCTCCTACCGCCCCCCCGGGAGAGGCCGCTCATGCGCTCCCGCGGGTTCGCTGCCCTCCCAGAGGAGCCGGGCAGCCAGGGCTGGACTTCATCTCCTAGCTCCCTGCTGGCCGTGTCCGGGCTCGGATTCTGGGTGGAGGTTCGGGGTCTGCCGTCTGAGAGGGAGGGCCGCACTCAGCCTCTCCGGGTCCACTCCCAGGCGGCTGGTGACCTCCAAGCCCAGCCTGGCTCCTGTGTATAGGTTCAGTGAGATGGAAGTTTCTGTCCCCACGGATGCGGTCCCTAACTAATGGGAGGTGGCCCAGGGCACCTGGACCCAAGGGTGCTCTAAGGACCCAAGCCAGTGTGACCTGAGGGAACGGCACAGCCGCAGGGGCCCCCGGGAATGAGCAGGTCAGCCGTGAAGGTGGGCACCCTGAGTCACCGAGACACCGGAGCACAGACGGCGGGGGGGAGGGTGTCTTCTTCAGCCAAGTTAGGTTGGATGTATAGGTTTTCTGCACACCCGTTACTGCCTGGTTTTTATTCCCGGCGGGGCTTGGAGGGAATTCTGAGGACTGGGACCTCCTGGGAAGATCTGGAAGGAGGGTTGACTCTAGGTTGGGGGCTGGCCACTGCCGTATGCCTGCAAGCAGGTTCTCCCAAGTCAAGTTTCCACAAACTCCCCGTCATTGCTGGAGAATCCCAGAAGATGAGATCAGGTCCTATCCACAGGGTTTTCACCAAGGGGCACATGCTCCAAAGCAGCTTCCCACTGACACAGTAGACACAGTCCTGCCCCTCACTAAGCTCGGGATGGAGCGTGGAGAGCGTGGACAAAGTCTTGGGAAAGCAGAGGTGCTGTGGCGCCTGTTGCCTGAGGGCGTTGGCAGGATAGGAACTTCTGCAGCGTGTTTTTAAGGAGCTTGGAAAGCAGCCATGGGCTGTGCTTGGAATGGATAAAGATGACAGCTCTTCTTTCTTGAGTGCATTTATGGACCATGCACTACTTAGAAACCCTTCGCATCCCTTGGTCACTCCATCCTCCCCATCAGTCTTCAAGGAGACTCTATTATCCGTTTTGCCAATGGGACTCTAAGAAATTGAGTGACCTGGTGTGGCTCCCACACCTGGTGAGAGAGCAGAGAGTCAGCCTCACGTGCCTGACTCCCGGGACAGTGCTCTCAGACGAAGGCTGCTTTGGGAAATCTGAGGCATCTAAGGCCCAGAGAGGGGCAGAAACCACTCACGCCCAGATGAAATGAGAACTGTGTCGTGGGGCTCATCTTATGACCTGAGAAGGTCCCCTGCCTGCTTGAGGAACCCTGTGGAGCCAGGAAAGCCATTTCTTCTATTAGGAGCTTGCAAGGCTGTGTTGTTGGGCCTGGCCGGCCTCAATTCTTCCCACCTGAAGCAGAAGAAAGGGTTGCTCCCCCACACCCTGTTCTCCTCCTTGCCTGCCCAGAGCCCCCAGACTCCCTGCGCACTTGCTCCTGTTCTTCTGGTCCTCGCAATTACATGCATGGATTTCTACTAAATTGCCAGTCCCCGCCTTCCTGTCTACTAGCTTGGCCCCCCTCCAGGAGGAACTCTGGCAGGGAAATAAATTAAGGCCATGCCTAACTATTTGCTGAGAGAGAGCCACAGAGCCCCAGGCCAATGAGGAAGAAACTACTTGCTAGGCTTCTCACACCCTGGCTGCTGTGTTCTCTAGGCAAATCTTGCTCACAGAAAGCCCCGTTGGCCCTACAGGAGCCCCGGTATTCCCAGAACCCTTTGGGAGCTGTGCTTTCCCAAGGGACTTGAGCTGCTTGCAAAGGCGGAAAATGAGTAACTGAGCACTTTGCTCCTGGTTTCCAGACCAGGGGTGGGAGAGCACGCACGTGCCACTAACTGGAAATCCCTTAGGATTAGCCTGGCTGGCTGTTACTGTGCAAATGCACCCCGAGACTTGGATTGCCATGTGGAGACAGGAAGGAAAAGCACAGACTGAAACAGACCTTGAGGGGCTGAGGATGGGCTACATGGTGGGCAGGGGGAGGTGGGGAGCAGGAAGGATGGGACAGGGTGGGAAAAGAGTTTAGGAGGGGCGGCAGGTGAGCCTCACTGGCTCTGCAATCACCTGTAGAGTCTGAGCTGCCACCGAGGGCCGTGTTGCCAGGATGAGTCAGGTAGGCCGCAGGTCTCAGCTTTTCCCTGGTTAGGACCGTTGCCCTGTCCATTAAAGGCCAACTCTTCCCCACCCTGACCCCTACCACTTCTCTCTGGAGAAGTGTTGGAGAGGAAGGACAAGCATGGAGAAAGAAGGTGAGCAGAGCAGTTCAAGGGGGGGCTGCTCCCACCTCACCCCCTTTCCTTCTGCACACTGCCTGCCTGCTCATCTCTGCCAGGCAGCATCAAATCTCATCCATCAGCCACTCTCGAGAGGACTTTGCTGAGCAGTAGCCCAGTCTCCCTGTGGGCACAGCCGTCAAGGGGGCCTCTCTTCTCTAGCAGCAGCTGTCTAGCGTCAGGCTCCTCTCCATGCCAGGGCCCTGCCACGTGGCCTTAGCAAGCACATAGTAGCTCCCCCCAAGTTGTCATCTATAGTGGGGGGTGGCTTTGCTCCCCCACCACAAAGCTCTCTTCACTGAGGAATTTCCAGAAGGTCCCTCGGGTGCCCATAAGTGTGATCCTCCTCCCCAGCGGCCTTTGCAGAAACCTGAAGAGGACGAGGGTTCACCTTCTCCCACTGGGGGCATGGACCAAGCCCCCATTTCTTCAGTGTGGCCGGAAGTTCCCTCCAGGGCATCCTGATCCAAAGGTGGAAGCTGGCAGTAGATGCCCAAGGGCTCCCTCGCAGGGCTTGTCCCTTGGGCATCCCTAGAGGGACAGGCCCAGGTCAGACCCCATTTTCCAGGTCCAGTGGCAGGTATGGAAAGAGCCTAGGCAGTGACTTGTGCACTGGCTACAGTTCCAGGCCTTCTCGAAGGCTGGGCAGTGTTTCCTCATTCCAGGAAGCCAGCGGAGCCTCTGCGAGCTGGCTGGGCACAGCAGCCCCTAGGTCAGCAGGCTCATGCTTAGGGTGGTGGCCACCCAGGAAGGTTCTGGATGAGGGTCTTTGCCTTAGGGACCTGGCCCCCACTGTCCACCATCAAGTTGAAAGTGACACTACCTCCCTAGTCTTGTGATCAGCTCCACGCACTTCGCCCTGGAAGTCCCATGCCAGGCGTGAACTGACCTAAGTCCCTCCAGTCACAAAGGCACTTCCCAAATTTGGTTGTGTGGCTGCTGCTATTTTGTTTATTTGTTTGATAGCAGCCACTGAAAACTTGGAGGAAGGTGAAGCCAGCCTCATTATCAAGTTTGAATGAAAGCAGCCTCAGAGCAAATTCTGCCAGACGTACACATTTTTGGACAAATATTTACCTGAAACAAGTCCAGCGGAGTCCATACAGCCTGTCCTGTGGGCTCGGTGAAGCCCAGCAATCTGCTCTCTGCTGCCCTGACCACACCTCCCTGGAGCTCTCATGGATTCTTTTACCTGCTCTTTCCTGAGTCAAGAGTGTCTCTGAATTCATTTAGCCAACCCACACATCTTGAATACCTCTGTCTTTACCAATGAGAACGCATTTCTAATATTTACTTTGCTAATCATCAAATGCCCAATGCTGACCAGAGATAAAGACGCTGAAGTGCCTGTCCCTGCTGCCTCTGGAGCAGATGCTTTCTGCTTCGAGGCAGTGGCTGCGAGTGGGGTAGGGGTGGGCGTTGCTGATTTGAATACATCTAGGTTGTAGCTGGCATAATGAAACCACACAGAACAGCCCACCATCTCTGCAAAGGAGTTTAGGATCCAAATGCACCACCCTACCAAGGAAGCAGAAGGTGAAGGCCGTGCCCTCAGGGAGCGTGCAGTCTGGCGAGGTTGCTGATGCAGTAGAGTCCTGAGCTCACAGTAAAATGCTGTTCTGCACGCTTCAGTTAACTTTCGCAGTGCAGGAGCCATTTCCCAATTCGATGGACCAAGGAGAGTGACAGCCAAGCACAGTCAAGAGCAGGAGGTGACAGTCGTATTAGAGGTGTAACTAAAAATTCACGTAAACTTGATCTCATTTGGTCCTTCCAAGACTGTGAGGTACGATCCATTACAATCCTGTTTCATGGATGTGGAACCTAGGCCTAGGAGGGTTGAATCTGTTGATCAAGGTCATAGAACTAGTAAGTGGCAGGCTGGCTGTCAACCAACCCACGTCCCCCGACACCCGGCTCTGCCCTGTTCTAACTTGCTCCATCCCTTTCTCCTGCTCCTGATTCCTTTCCTCTGCGAGGTGTGAACCCGGGAGGCTTCAGCAGCCAAGTACCTCCAGCGCAAGCTGACACGGCAGGGAAGCAAAGTCACACATCCCATTTTCTGCCCTGCCTGCGGGCACTCAGGCCATATGTCCCTGCCAAACCCCAGTGCAGGCACAGCGCTGCACCTGCAGCCACTTACAGGCTGCACTGGGCAGTCCAAGCCAGGCTGAGGCCACACTGGGACCCCACTGCGTCCAAACACCAGGAAACCCTAAGGACCCTTCTAGCCCCTGAGAGGTCAGGACCCCCAGCCCGAACGTGGAGGTGCCCAGTTGGCATAAGCACAGGGAACACCGTGAAAGGCCTTACGAAGCCTTTTAGAAACTCTGGGCTTTGGAACTTGTGCTGCAGAGTAAAATAGAAATCAGATCATCTGGACAAATCCCCCCTTGAGCTGGCGTTTGTTGATTCTGCCTATTTTCAACTTGGAGCCAATTATCCTGTGGATTCAAATAGTCCTAGATCTGCCTTGTTTGGAGGCTGAGGCCAATGCCAGCTGGTTAGGAGCCACTCTGGTGGGCTGAAGCCACAGGGGAGGGCACACATCCCCCGTGTCCTTAGCTGTGCCCTGGTGTCTGAGTTTCAGCCAGCTGGGAAGTGTTTCCTGTTTGTATAGCCAGGGTACCGGCCTGCGCTGCATTCTGCTTTCATCTCTGCAGATTGCTTTAAAGGCCACTCTGTGTCTACTTTCTGCCCTCTAATCCCCACTGCCACCATGGCCTTTGGCCAGAAAAGCCCTGGGTCTCATGTGGCGGTTGGCGGGGCGGCAGCAGGCTGCCTTAGCCCGTCTGGGCATCCCTGCCTTGTCGAGCGTTTCCCGGGAGGAAAACCACATCCTTCTCTTTTTTTCCCATGGCTACTTTCCCCCTCCCCATCTCCTCCAAACTGTCAGATTCTCAGGCACCTCTTCCTGCCTGCCAGGGCCGCCCTTTCCCAGAGCCCCGCAGCCTTGGAAGGGACACACCAGCGACTGGGCGTCCCAAGAGCCCCTCTCCCTGCAGTGGCCCTGGGCTTTCTCCCCGCCTTGCAGGGAGCCCATAAATTAGATCTGTGGCTCCCAGGAGCCAGGGCCTCTTTCTGACCAACAGGGAAGCAGTATTTCTTGGCAATTTTCTCAGCAGCCTCTTTCACCGGGCTAAATGAAAAGGAAGGTTTCCGCGCTCCCAGCCTTCCTGCAGGAGGACTGTGCGTCAGCTTGAAGCAGCCTGAGCCCATCAATTATTCAGCATGGACCCAGCACTTTGAATTTGCAAAGGTCTTAAGTATTTTTATAGATTCTTTTCTCATAATGTCCCAGCGAGACAAGCAAGGTTTCCCTGTTTCCTAGACAATAGATGCAGGGTTCAACTCGGAGTCAGAAGACTTGGGTGCAAGCGCAGCCAGCCCCACTCATGGAGCTGTGGGACCTGGGGCAGTTCTTTCGATGGCTCTGGTGTGCAGTTCTCTGTGGTATAATTCTTAGGAAGGCCTCCCTAGCCCAGGTCATTGTGTGTGTGGGGAAAAAAATTTGCAAATGCAGTGTGATTAAAAAATGCATGTGGTTGCTCTTGTTGCACCAGGTGTGGAAACGGAAGCTTCTATCCTGAGCTGAAGTGCAACCATTAGCATAGGACACTGCAAACCGGGCTCTGCTGGGAGACAGTCCCCAGGGAAACGTGGGCGAGTCGGCGCCTCTACTCCCTGGCCCCGTGGGGGTGGCTCCATGACATGGTGGTCCCACTACCTGCTGCTGTGGGCTGACTCTGCATGTGTCAGGGTGGAAGAGGGCACGGAGGTCATCACACCCAAACCAATGGCTTAGGGTGGGATGGGACCCCAGTAGCTGACTCCCAGGTCGGGAACTCTTTTCTCTTCCACACCAGGCTGGCTCTGTCCAAAATGTTTCTCCCGCTCCCATCGGCAATGCTGGGACCCCAGGCAGGAGGCACCGAGGGCTGCCTAAAGCCGGAGTGTTAGGGCAATCTACGGGTGCAGCCCACTAGGGCGCCTGCCCCTCCCAGAGCCCTGTAGTGGGTTTCATGCCATGTACCCATCCTCTCACACTGGTGGCCCCAGCATCACAGCTGTCCCTGGGACTGGCCCAGGAGCCACCTCCATCAACCAAAACAAGCAGACAAATGAAATGAGTCCCTGGCCTGGTGCGGTGGCTCACGCCTGTAATCGCAGCACTTTGGGAGGCCGAGGCAGGCAGATCACCTGATGTCAGGAGTTCAAGACCAGCCTGGCCAATATGGTGAAACCCCGTCTCTACTAAAAATACAAAAATTAGCCAGGTGTGGTGGTGGGTGTGGTGGTGGGTGCCTGTAATCCCAGCTACTCAGGAGGCTGAGGCAGGAGAATCACTTGAACCTTGGGAAGCAGAGTTTGCAGTAAGCCGAGGTCGTGCCGCTGCATTCCAGCCTGGGTGAGAAGAGCAAAACTCTGTCTCAAAAAAAGAAAAGAAATGAAATGAATCCCTGTTCCAGTTGAATTCCAAAGAGTCGTGTGACTTGTCCAGCGTCACAGGTTGTTAATGGCAGAACTTCCCTTAGGCTGAGGTCCCCTCACTGCCCAGCCCTGCCCAAGGACTAAGACCCCAGCCCCGGAAAGAGGCCCTCCTGCCACAGCAGCTGTACTCACAGCACCCACGTGCTTGGCACTGCAGACCGAGGCGCTCGGTCTCTTCTTCCTCTTCTGCCCAGAACAATTTTACAGAAAAACAAAGCATTGCCTTGGGAATATTTCAGTGTTATTTGCCCCTGAGGTTTCTAGGAACACTGGACTTGTAAGTACTATAAAGCTCACATGCCTGTTACTTCTGTGCAAATGGAGCCACCTGAAAGATGGTCACAATGGTGGAGTTGGGGAGACTTGAGCTGGAATGGTGGTTCCTTCCCTGACCTGCTTGTGAACTGTGGTTTCCTTGCCTGCAGTAGAGATAATACGAGACACTAGATAATACCAGTCATGCCTCAGGGTCATTTCAAGGGCTAAACTAGATATTGCACAGTGCCTGGCACAATAAAAAAGGTCTCCTCTTTTCCTCCTCCTTCTAACAATTTTCATTTATTTCTGTATAAATGAGAAATAGAGAAATGGGTGATAGAGAGAAAAGTAGTCATTCATGCGTTTATTTTATTATCAGAAAGTATGTGTTGAAGTTGTACTGGTTATACCCAGCAGGTGGCCATGAGCAGCAGGGGGAAGAACTGGGGGCGAATTCGCCCTCCTGAAGCCCAGGCTAGTGTGGGCAGTGCCGTTCCAGCCTCTCTTGATGGCAAGAGAATCTTCTGGTGCATTTCACTGGGAAGTTCAGCTCTTTAGGTTCTGCTGGGCCTAAGGGCTCAGAAGATGTCAGGATGCTCTCTCTTTCTCTCTCTTTCTGTTTTTTTTTTCCCTTAGTTCGCCTTACCTCAGGCTTATTCCCTTTTTACTACAGACGGGCTTTCTCCAGACTCTGGAAACTCCAAGCTTATATCCTCCCAGCTGAGCTGCTCCTGATGAAAATACCCTATTTCTCCAAGTGTCTGTGTTTAAATCCCATGAAAATATTCTGATTGGTCTTTTGTGGCCCATTGCACATCCCCAGGCCCAGTCACTATTGCCAGAGTAAGGGCTAAAATGAACGTCTCTTTCTAGGTGTCGTGAGTGTTCCTGGGGCAGGGGTGATGGGCAGGTGCTGTGACTCATGGTCCCTTCAGAACCACCTGAAATTAGACAGGAGTGATGCCCACAGAAGGGATGCTGGAAAAAGATAGATCTGTTCACCCGAGAGGCACATCAGAAATGTGACTCAGTAAAACCATCCAGCAGGTGCACTGCTGCACTGAGAGTGGGCAGGAAAGTGCTCAGATCCAAGTGTGAAGGGAGGAAGCCATCAGCTCCATTCGGAAGAGCACAAAAGACTGTCGAGTGAGGTGCTGTTTGATCCAGGCTTGAAGACTGAGTCAAATTCAAACATAAGGCTATCGCGGAAGGATGAGACATAAAGTTGAGACCAGCATCCCAAACCACCCCATCTCAACTCAAGAAAGATGACTCAGCCACCAGAAGCATTCTGACTTTGAAAGTCTTACCCATGAAGCTGTGGGAGGTCTTCTGCTGGGGAGATGTCATCTGGAGCTGTGAACGACTCTGGCTGGACTTTGTTCGCTGACTTCACCGCATCAGCGTCATCAGCACACACTGAACATCTGCTGTTTACAGGGCCCTGTGCTCGGGACACAAAAGGTGCAGCAGTGTCCTGCCCCTCAAGGAGCTGATGTCTGGTCAGGAAGACAGGACCACAGACTCCCACAGTTCAAGGTCATGCGGGCCAGTGTGCAGTCAGCATGAGGAAAGCAAGTGACTGGAGAATTCAGAGAAAGGTGGCCTGGAAGGTGGGGAGTGTGAGAGGGCTTCAGGGAGGAGGCGAGCCCTCGGATGAGCTTTCAGGCAGTGCAGGGCCTAGCTCGCCAGTGAGGGCCAAAGACAAGGACAAAGGGCCAGATGGACTGCCCAGAAAGTCCTCTTCATTCATTCATGTACCCACTCTCTTACTCAGCAAGTTTCCTGAGCACCCGCTGTGTGCCGGGCACTGCTCTGAGTGCCGGGGTCACAGTCAGGAACAGAATTCGGAAGCCCCTGCCTGCTAGGAGCTGGCATTCTCAAGGGTGGGACACACAGACACCAACAAACATCACGGAGTAAGTGATGAGCTCCAGAAGCACCAGGAAGGCGAGCGCTGGGCTCCATCCTGTGGCCCAGGCTGGGGTTTGCGTGGAGATGAGGTTCAAGCAGAACCAGGCATGAAGCAGCCAGCATATGACATTGTGGCACAGCATCAATGTCCTTCAGAAGAGACTGCCGAGTTCTCACAAGGGTGTGCAGCAGGGAGGGGAAACCCCGGCAGCAAACAGGAGGCTTCCAGGAAGGGGGAAGGCTAGTGCTGTCCTGGCTGGACATGTGCCAGAGGGAATGCTTACCCGGCAGGGTAGACCACAGGGGTGCTTGGAGAAAACCCCAGGAGCGCTGTCCTGTGGAGCCCTGATCCCACCCACACCCCTAACCCAGCCCCGCCCACTTCCCCAACCCAGCCCCGCCCACTTCCCCAACCCAGCCCCGCCCACTTCCCCAACCCAGCCCCACCCACTTCCTTAACCCAGCCCCGCCCATACCCCTAACCCAGCCCCGCCCACTTCCCTAACCCAGCCCCGCCCACTTCCCTAACCCAGCCCCGCTCATACCCCTAATCCAGCCCCACCCACTTCCCGAACCCAATCCCCCCATTTCCCTAACCCAGGGCCCAACTCACTTCCCTAACTCAGCCCTGCCCACTTCCCTAACCCAGCCCCACCCACGTCCCTAACCCAGCCCCACTCACTTCCCTTAGCCAGCCGCACTCCCCTAATCCGGCACCACCCACGTCCTTCACCCAGCCCCGCCCATGTCTCTTACCCAGCCACACCTACATCCCTAACAGCTCTGCACATGTCACTAACTCAGCCCTAGCCATACCCAGAGCACACACCCAATAGAGCAACCACCTCACACTCGTATATTCACACACCTAGCAGGGCAGCTACCCACACTCTCACACTCATCCACCCAGCAATGCAACCACCCCCCACACTCACACTCACACACCCAGCAGGGCAGCCAGCCCCCACACTCACACTCACACACCCATCAGGGCAACCACCCCCCAAGCACTCACACATACAGCAGGGCAACCACCCACACTCACACACTCATACACCCAGCAAGGCAACCACCCCCCACACTCACACTCACACTCACACACCAGGCAGGGCAACCACCCCACACACACACCCAGCAGGGCAACCACCCCACACTCACACCCATACACACCCAGCAGGGCAACCACCTCACACTCACACTGATACCCACAAGGCAACCAACCCTTACACTCACACACACAGCAAGGCAACCACCCCCCACACTCACAGCAAGGCAACCACCCAACACTCACATACCCCCAGCAGGGCAACCACCCCTGACACTCACACTCACACTCATGCACAGCAAGGCAACCACCCCTCATTCACACACCCAGCAAGGCAACTACCCCCCACACTCACACTCACACACAGCAAGGCAACTACCCCCCACACTCACACTCACACACAGCAAGGCAACCACCCCCCACATTCACACTCACACACAGCAAGGCAACCACCCCCCACACTCACACTCACAGCAAGGCAACCACCCCCCACACTCACACTCACACTCACACACCAGGCAGAGCAACCACCCCACACACGCACCCAGCAGGGCAACCACCCCACACTCACACCCATACACACCCAGCAGGGCAACCACCTCACACTCACACTGATACCCACAAGGCAACCAACCCTCACACTCACACTCACAGCAAGGCAAACACCCCCCACACTCACACCCATACACACCCAGCAGGGCAACCACCTTACACTCACACTGATACCCACAAGGCAACCACCCCCCACACTCACTCACACTCACACAGCAAGGCAACCACCCCCCACATTCACACACACACACAGCAAGGCAACCACCTCCCACATTCACACACACACACAGCAAGGCAACCACCTCCCACACTCACACTCACACACAGCAAGGCAACCACCCCACACTCACACTCATACCCAGCAGGGCAACCACCCTACACTCCCACTCATACCCACAAGGCAACCACCCCCCACACTCACTCACAGCAAGGCAACCACCCCACATTCACGCACACCCAGCAGGGCAACCACCCCTCACACTCACACTCACACTCAGCAAGGCAACCACCCCACACTCACACTCATACCCATAAGGCAACCAACCCTCACACTCACACTCATACACAGCAAGGCAACCACCCAACACTCACACAACCCCAGCAGGGCAACCACCCCCAATACACTCACACTCATGCACAGCAAGGCAACCACCCCCGACACTCACACACTCATACACCCCGCAGAGCAGCCATCCCCCACACCCACACTCACATTCACACACAGCAAGGCAACCACCCCCAACACTCACACCCAGCAGAGCAACCACCCTGCACACTCACACTCAGGTGAGGCAACCATCCCACACTCAAACTCAAAGCAAGGCAACCACCCCCCACACTCAGACTCACACACCCAGCAGGGCAACCACCCCACACACTCACACTCACACACCCATCAGGGCAACCACTCCCCACACTCACACATACCCAGCAGAGCAGCCACCCCCCACACTCACACACACCCAGCAGAGCAGCCACCCCCCACACTCACAATCACACTCACGCAAGGCAACCATCCCACACTCACACTCCTCACACTCATACACAGCAAGGCAACCACCCCCCACACTCACACACACCCAGGAGGGTAACCACCCCCCCCAGACACACACAGAGCAAGGCAACCACCACCCACACTCACACAGCAAGGCAACAACCCCACCACAGTCACACACACACACAGAGCAAGGCAACCACCACCCACACTCAGCAAGGCAACAACCCCACCACAGTCACACACACACACACGCACACACACATATCCCAGCAACCCATCCCTGCCACGTGCAGCACTGGGGCCGGGGTCAGGTCTCGGCAGGATGTCATCTCCATGTCAGGGCTCCTGACACCGGCTCTGACCAAGGCTTGGAATGCAGATGAGGCTGGAAAGGCAAGAGATGAGCGCCAGGGCTAGACAGCAGGGTCCCTCCTGCTCAGTTGCCATGGCAACCCCGGAGGAGGAGGGGACCACTAGGGCAGCCTGGCTCCCGGCAGCAGCTCTGTGGGGCCCAGGGCTGTGTCCCTGTCCTCTCGGCTGCCACCTGGTCAGTGCTGAGCCCGGCCAGAGGCCAGCCCAGTCCTGTCTGGTCCTCTGGGTGAGATAAGTGTTGGGTTTCTGATTAAACCCGGGCAGAAAAGCCTGCACACCCCAGGCTCGCCTCCCTAGGCCGACTGTGGAGCCATGTCCCAGACCTCCTGACCTCTTACTCACCCAGAACAAAGGGATTTGCCTTTTCAGAAAACAAAAGGAAAAGATGCAGGCATGAGCTTTGCCCTGCACCACCCTGAATTTTCTGTGTATGAAACCCCTTAGAGCCTCTGCACTCCCTTGGCTGTGGGGCTGGCCTCACTGTTCTCTGGCCTCTGAAGCCACCGCAGGTCCCAGCTCATGGCCCCTGCCTTTGTCTCCGGTTGAAATCAGGGCTGTGCCCTCTACTGATGGGC
Organism: Homo sapiens; assembly: GCF_000001405.40. Classification (NCBI taxonomy): domain Eukaryota; kingdom Metazoa; phylum Chordata; class Mammalia; order Primates; family Hominidae; genus Homo; species Homo sapiens. Next base: position 1,894,131 of record NW_018654717.1, read on the forward strand.
CTGGCCTGGCTGAAACCGCAACATCAGGGCAAGGTAGAGTGGAGATGCCTCTTCCTGCCACCCCTGCACCAGACAGGTGTTGACGGAGGAATCAGGAGATGCTGTCCTTGAGTGAAGCCACGACTCTCTCTGATGTGGAGTTTTAGGCTTGGTGACACACACAGCAGGCTCAGCAGAGGAAACAGAGCGCTTTGCACACACACGTGGGCCTCCACTCTCCAGCCAAGCCCACCCTGGCTTTGGCAGCAGAGCCATGGGCAACCCAGACGGTGTCGGGGTCAAGAAGATGAGGCCGGCACTAAAGACATCCCATCCCCCAAGACCTGCCCTGCTGAGGATCCTGCAGGGCCCTAAGTCACAGTGTAGCTAATTCTTCCTTCCAGAAATTTCTGGGAGAACCCAGTTATACCTGCAGATGGAAAGCTTTCCACACGCGTGATAGCTAGTCCTGCCAGATAGTAGGTTCTAGAAGATGGCACAGCAACCCCAAGGAGTGTGGGCAGTAGGCTCTGGGCTGTCACTGAGGAGCCCCGGGCCTTAGGCTGGTCACATAGGCTGCCACCTCGGTTTGCTGCATGATGGGGTAAGAAGACCCAGCCTTCCCTGCAGTGTAGATGTGCTGCGGTGTAGACGTGCTCCATAAACTCAGTGAAGGTGGTTCTGCTGTGGAGTGGCCAGCGTCATAGGACAGCACAGAACCAAGACAGAGCTGGCTATCTCGGGGGGCAACTTGATTCCCAGAGGACACTCTTGCTTTGTTCTGTTTGAGTAGACCATGGGGAGGGTCACAGAGCCTCTGACCCGGTCCTGGTCCCCAGCTCAGCCTTCCTGGCTCCTGCTGCAGCCCTCCCCTCCACCTCCACAGGGAGCTGTGCATCTGCTGGTTTCAGTCCTTGCCCTGCCAGGTACAGTCTGAGTGCCACTGGGCCCGTGCCTTATCATCTCTGTGCCTCGGTCTCTTCATCTGTGTAATGGGACAATCATAGTGCATACTTCACAAGATTCTCATGCAAATAAGTGAGGTGCTATCTCCTTATAGTGCCTGGCACATATTGAGTGCTTCATACATATTAGCAGCTTGACAGTGTTACTAAAATGTTATTTAGAGTCAGGCATGGTGGCACATGCCTGCAGTTCCAGCTACTTGGGAGGCTGAGGCAGGAGATCACTTGACCCCAGGAGTCTGAGGCTGCAGTGAGCTGTGATTGTACCACTTGCGCTCCAGCCTGGGCAACAGTGAGACCTCATCTCAATAACAAAGTTACTTAGTAGGAAAGTTATTAAGGGGCAGGATTCGAGTTGCATTTTAGAAGGATAACCGGCAGCAGGACAGAGGAGAGGAAGCCTGGAGGAGGGAGCCTTGTGGAGAAGGGGACAGCGTCCACGTCCCCAGGCTCAGGCTGAGGGGTCAGGAGTGCAGGGGCATGGGGGCAGCCGTGATGAAGGGGACAGAGCGGGGAGATCACCCCAGCTTTCCTGCAGCAGATCTGTGTTCTGGGAACCAGCCAGCTTCTGTGGCCTCCACTTTCTCCTGCGTGAAGTCAGAAGGACGTGAGGCCCGAATGTGTGTGCTGATGCTCGGTGAACTCTAAGGAGACCTACCATTGCTCAGCCCGTGCTGGCACTGGGGAACATGCCTGCACATTCCCCCAGCATTCATAGGTGCTAAATAAAGCACCCTTTTTTCTGGGCCAGGATCTCAGGCCGTCACGTCTGTTTATGGGAGCTTGGGCTTCGGTTTCATGAGAAAAGTTATCTGTTTCCTCACCTGTAAAATGGGGATTTGAATAGGGTTAGTGCACCTCTTTCAGGCTGCAGAAACAGACCCGAGGCAACCTCGTGGGGTGGAGGCTGATGATGAGAAGGGAGGGAGCTGCAGGTGGAGGAAGCAGCAGCCTGTGGGAGACAGATGCAGCCACAGGCTCACTCCTTCATGCTCTATCTGCCTCTGCTCACCCCCTCTCCCTCTGGGGACTGTCACAGTCCTGAAACAGCCCAGAGGCACCACTCCCAAAAGAGCACAGCTCACCAGACTTCTCGGCCCTTCAGTTGTTTGCCCCGATGTCCGGCTGTAGCCCAGCTGGGCTGGTCTCATGACCCAGCGTGTATCCATTTTGCACAGGGAACCATGGGCGGCGTTTCTGCCAGAGGAGCAGAGCAAGGATAAATTCATTCATATGCGAAATTGTCATTCTGTCCTCATCAAGCATAGCCTGTCATGGATTGTGAGTTAGGAGACAAGTCAACTCTGCATGTGGACAGACTCAGTAAGATTTCATTAGGAGGACAGTGACCATCCACCCTGTGGTTCTCAATGGGAGGTCGCACAGCACCCCCTCCCTGCCCCCCACCACCAAGGGACACGTGGAATGGTGGCAGAGGGAGCCTTTTGGATTGTCATGACATTTTATGACACTGGCTTGCTCTCAGTTGTATATTTTCCTCCCCAAATGAGTTGTGCTTCCTGTCTCATTTCAGTTACAGCTCTTGGTTGTGAGCAAGAGAAAATGACATTATTGTAAGGCTGTCAGGTGCCCACAGAATTGGCAGGAAGTAAAGACCAGAAAACAGGCAGAACCAGGGCAGATCCAGAAGGCAGAGGCAGGAGATCCCGGGCCAGTCCTTCAGCAGAGACAATTTGGCTAAGAGGATGCCACCACCCCTGCACTTCACATCTGCCTCCAGGGTTGGTTCACAGATGCGCCCTAACCATCCCTTCCTCTGAGACTCACACGCACCCAATTCAGAGTCGGGGCCTGAGCAGCTGACTGGCCAAGCTCAGGTCACATGCTCACACCTGGTCACCAGGGCATGAGCTGGGAAGAGGAGCACGTGGTCCTCTGGTTGCAGAGAAGGCTGCACGGCCTGCCTGCTGTTCTGCACAAAATGGGGAGCTCCCTCCACACAGGAAAGGAGAGGGTGTTGGATATGGCAAACAGACACACAGTCCAACGAAAGACAAATAGCAGCAAGCATCCACTGTGCTCTTTAATATTCCTTCTCCAGTGCGTGCTGTGTCAGTCACTTACGAATGTCAGAAACCCCACTCCAAGTAGCTGAAGCAAAAAAGGCGGAAGGTATACGCTGTGTAACCTGGGCAGGGCGGGTGGCTTCCCACGGGGCCCAGCTGCGGGCCCCCAGCTCCTTGCCACTGGGCTCTGATGGCCAAGCTACCACACTGTCGGCTTGGCTTTGCTCTCCAGTTAGACCCTTTCCCCACATGTGCTGAGCATGGTGGCCCCAGCGGCCCCGGCCAGCTCAGAGCAAGGCTGGCCTCTGAGTGGTTCTGACACCAAAACTTCATCCTGTGTCTCCCCACGCCCCAGGAGAAAGGAAATCCCAGGGATGGGCTCCTGTGGGAAAGGGGGATGCACTTTCCAGAAGAGGGAGGAAGCTGCTGGATGGCAATGACCTCATCCTGCACTGGACTCCAAGGAGGCCCTCATGCTAGGTCTTTCACATCAGACTGTCCCCTCCAACTCCAGCACATAGTCCTGGGATTTGGGATGAGCTGCAGCTGTTCCTGTCTTTGTCCCACTGCAGGCCCAGAGCCTGCACACCTATGTCTGGACACTTGTGGTCAGGGCAGGCAGGGTGGGTGGCATCCGTGGGGACAGGAGGGGAGGCACCATCCCAGGAAGCCTGGGTGTCTTTTTCTGCCTCTCTGAGCCCATCCAGGCTGGCTCAGATTTGAGCAAGGACAGGTCGCTGTGAGTGGGAGGAAATCTGTTTTATTGGCTCATTCATTCCACAGCATTTAAAGAGAGCAGCATTGTGCTAAGTACTGGAGGGTCCAGCATAAAAGGCTTGGTTCTCGTCCTGAAGTTGAGAGTCTGCTAGAGGCGACCATTGACAAAGGCCCTGGGTGTAAGTGCTGTGGCTTAAGAGGGGCAGTAAGCCCAGTGGTTAGGGGCCAGCTCAGAGCTAGACTGCAGAGGTTCAAATCCCAGCTTCACCACTTATAAGCTCTGTGGCTTCAGGCAAGGTCCCGAACCTGTCTATGCCTCAGTCTCTTCATCTGTAAAATGGGGATGATGATACCCCAGATTCATAGGGCTGTTGTGAGGATTAAATGTGTTAATACATGTAAAGCTTTTAGCACCACAGCTCGTGTGGTGTGCTGTAAGCATTAGCTAATGTTGCGATGACATAATTGTTTCTCTGATGTGCTCGGGTTGTCCTGGGTACACACAGCCCAGCCTGGGCAAATCAAGCAAAACTTCCCCCAGGAGAAAATCCCTGAGAACTGAACTAAGGCACAGAAGGGAGTGAAGGGCTTTCCAGGCTGGAGGAAAGCTTGTGCCGAGTCAGGGGTGTGAAAGAGCATGGTGTCCGGCGGGACAGGAGTGCTGGGTCGGGGTTGGAAAGATTGTGTCTTATGGAGAAGAAACGAAAGGGTTCTAGTGGAGAATGCGAGGCTGGAAGGAACAGCAGGAGCGCGTGGTGAGAGGAGGTGTGGAGGGGATGGGTCAGCAGTGCCTGCGTCTTCCCCTGCCCTTGGGAGCCCATCGAGGAAGTGGATGTGACCGTTTTCCAGGTGAACAGATTAGGTCATAATGAGACAAGGTGTTGGCTGAGCTGCCCCCACCTGGCTCCTCCAGCAGCCAGAGGAGTTAGCTCATGGTTGGCGAAGGCTCCTCTAAGGAGCCGCTGTGGGCCTGGGAGCCAGGGAGCTTGTTGGAACAGCAGTCTCTGTGTGTGGCATGGGTCCTCGGCACTGGCACACAGAGCTGCAGAAAGGCTGACGCGCCCCCCCAAGGGCTTGTCCCCACTGCTGCTGGGTGGCCTGCCTGGCGGGGCGTGCCTGGGCCTGGTGGGATTACAGGGTCTGATGTCGTTTTTCTAGACACCCTAGGTCCCAGGTCTGGCAGCGTCCTTTGGCTTCCTTCTCCGGCCCCTCCACCCCTAGGAACGACCCAGGTTACATGTAAAGAAAGCCCGTTTGTTTAGAGTGTTGGGGGGCTCTTCCTCCCGGGGCCTGGGCCCCAGGAGTCCCTGGTTTGTCAAGCGAGGGGAGGCCTCCACTGCTTTTCCAGCCCAGGAAGCTGCCCAGTGCTGGCATCTGTTCCCCGGCACCCGGCCAGCACCTCTCTGCCGGCTCAGGCCGGGTCCAGCTCAGTGCCCAGTGAGCAGTGACAAGCTTTTCTGCTGTCACGTCCCTGCGCCTGTGTGGGTGACATTCCAGCTGAGCTCCTGTGCCTAGTGGGAGGGAAGAAACCCCTTTGGGCTTGTTCAGGCACCAGGGCACCCAGGGGGACAGTGCTCCCCAAACACTGACGACCAGGAAAACACATGCTGCTTGAGCAACTCCTCGCGGTCTGACTGTGCTGGGGGCAATCCCATTCCTGCAGCAGCTCCTCACCATCTGGCTGTGCTGGGGGCAATCCCGTTCCTGCCAGCTACGGGTGACCACCTGCTCTAAAATAGTGACTCCCCAACTCAGGCCTCTCCACATTGCACACACGCCTATTCAGGTGGGTACAGCTCTTTATAGTTTAAAGAGAGCTCTCACATACCAGGTTCCATAGATCCTCAGCCATTGCACAGATTAGGGAACTGAGGCCACGAGGAAAGGACTGAGCCTGGGTGCTCGGCTTGTCAGCAGTGCTGGGACCAGAAACCAGGCTTCTGGGGCCTGGCCTTGGTCTGCCATGCAGAGAGCACAGGGTGGAGTCTCTCCAACACCCCGAGCCGTGGGCGGGGCATTCACAATGTGAGCAGAGAGGGAAGGGAGCAGGCATGGAATGGTTTTAGTAAGTGGAGCTGTTCTCTCCCTTCTATGGCAGAACAGACTCCACTAAGTTTTGAGACCTGAAAATCTGGGGGAGGTGGGATCAACTGACTTCGTGTCGTTTGGTGTCCAGGGAAGGATGTGAGGGGGCAGGGATTGTCTTGGGCCACCCAGCAGGTCAGAGACCAACAGAGTGTCTGCTCAGTGCAGTTGGAGGTTCATGATCTGTCATGTGACGGTGATATAACTCTGATAGGTTATGTCATCTTAATAATGACATTTTAAAAACCATGACTAAGGCTACATGACTATGTCTAGGGCTTCCTGTAGACCAGGCAGTGTGCTGAGAGCTCACATTTGTAACCTTATTGAATCCTGATTAGGACTTACGAGGTAGATGTTATTATCCCCAGAACTAGCCTCATGGCTGTGGGCAGTGGCACAGGGCCCCTCGTGTGGGTTCATGCTCTGCTGTCCCTGTCTTGAAATTCTTAGAACTTTTTTTTTTTTTTTTTTTAAGACAGAGTCTCGCCCTGTCGCCCAGGCTGGAATGCAGTAGTGCGATCTTGGCTCACTGCAACCTCCGCCTCCTGGTTTCAAGCGATTCTCCTGCCCCAGTCTCCCAAGTAGCTGGGATTACAGGCGTGCGCCACTATGCCCAGCTAATTTTTGTATTTTTAGTAGAGACGGGGTTTCACTATGTTGGTCAGGCTGGTCTTGAACTCTTGACCTCGTGATCCACCCGCCTCGGCCTCCCAAAGTGCTGGGATTACAGATATGAGCCACGGCGCCCGGCCAATTCTTAGAACTTTTTAAACAAGGAGCCCCGCATCTTCGTTTCATACTGAGCCTTGCGAATTATGTAGTCGTTCCGGTTGTTCTCATTTCTCAGAAGAGGACACAGAGGCCCAGAGTGGTCATGAAGCAATGTGCCAGCGTCACAAAGCCAATGGCTGCCCTGGAGCTCTAACCCAGAGCCCACACTCTCCAGAGTAGAAAGAGGCTGAGACAGAGTCAAATGACTGTGCCCAGGTCCAGCTGCTGGCACCTGCCTGTGACCAGGAGGTGAGGCACTTCACCTGCCCTAGCCTCGATTTCTCCTTGGTGAAATGGGGTGATCCCGCCTGCCTCTGGGGGCTACTTTGGGGCTCACATGGGCAGATGTGCACACTGTGTTTTCTGCACTTCACCAAGCTCAGCAGATCTGAGGACCATCACTAGCTGGTCACAGTTCACAGGGGCTAATGCCCGTGCCACCAGATGGTCCTGACATGGCCTATGCAGGCCTTCACCTGAGGTCAGCAGTTCCAGACCAGCCTGGCCAAGGTGGTGAAACCTTGTCTCTACTAAAAATACAAAAAATTAGCTGGGTATGGTGGCAGCTGCCTGTAACCCCAGCTACTCGGGAGGCTGAGGCAGGAGAATCGCTTGAACCCAAGAGGTGGAGGTGGCAGTGAGCCAAGATCACGCCATTGCACTCCAGCCTGGGTGACAAGAGTGAAAACTCCGTCTCAAAAAAAAGAAAAAGAAAAGAAACCAATAATTGAAATAAATTGTCTGCAATACAGTTACAGACTTGTAGCAGTTTCCTACCCTGAGAGGAGCCCCTCACCCAGCAGTGGTAGCCCAGTGGGATGCCCTCACCTCTGCAGTGGGAGCCTGCTGGTGGGGGAGGGGGTGGGCCACCAGGGCTCCTCATCCATGTTATCTCCTCACAGAACTCAGGGCGGGAGGGTGCTGCTCATCCGCCTGCAGTTGAATCCTCTCCAGGAAGCTTTGATGGATCTAATCAGAGCTCCCCTGCCAGGGAGAAGGAAGCCCTGTAGGTGCAGCTGCCCCAGACATGCTCAAAACAGATCCTGGCACCTCAGCAAAGAGGCAGACGGCGCCTGGGAGGGGCCCCAGAAAGCAGCTGATAAGTCTTTAGATTTGGACAGATTCTGACCGTGAAACTGCACAGGAGACTCCCATGAGTACATTTCGCATTTGCGGACTTAGCGTGCTAAGTCTTCAGAGAGTGCCGGTGAATTTTAGTTCTGCCAATCTGCTAGAACATAGGAGGTTGGTATTTATCACTCCCATTTTACAGATGAAGAAAATGAGACTTAGCAAGCCTGACAAGACGTAGAGCTAGGCCATCTGATCCCAACTCTAGTGTCTGCATCTGGATACAGTGGTTCTCCACCCCGGCTGCACACTCGGATCATCGGGGGAGCTGAACACTGCTGTCTAAGTCCCATCTCTCGACCAATTGAATCAGAATCCAGTTCCTCAGGGGGATTCTCGCTTGCTCCAAGCAGAGCTGGAGGTGACAGCGGGTTTCTCTGCTTACCAGTTGGGGTGGACTATTCCTTCTCATTCTCCATGGATGCCCCTTGCTAGGGCAGGCTCGTAGCCTAGGGCGGCAGAGGTCGGGCAGCAGGACGTCCTCCAGTCACATCCCCACCACAGGCTGGGGCTGAGGAAAACGTCTGGACTGGAAAGTTCTGCTCTGCTTTCTTAAGCGTCTGCGTGCCATGTCGGAGAGGAATCCCAGGACACCGCGAGGTGGTCCTGCTGCCTGTTCAGCTTTTGCCACCCTCATCTTAATTCTTTTCCCTCCTATCCTCACCTCCCTTCTGCCCAGTTCCCCTCACTCCAAACAAGTAATCATGACTATGGCTATTCCCTTCCTTTTTTTTTTTTTTTTTGGCCGGGATGTTTTTAGGCATTTACAAGTCAGTAACAATCCCTCTTTCTTTCTCCTTTTTCACCCCAAGGGTGGCCTACTTTCCAGGCTGCTGAGAATCTTGCTTTTCTTCATTTAAGCTTTATCTCAAACATCATTCCATATCAATTCATTCTTTTTTATAGCTGCATGTCCCCCAGCACAGATTTTTCTTTTTAAAACACACCCTTAAAATCCAGGGCTTACCACCTGGGTCCAAATCAGATGTCTCCTACTCTGATTCACCCATGTCCACTGCCCACCCCATGGACCTCGGACCACAGAGTCTGGAGGCTGCGGTCTCTTCTTACTGGGAGTTAGATTTCTACCCTGTGTCTGATGTTATGGGGTAGGAGCTGGGGCTTATGCCTCCTCTCTGGAGATGGGGAGGCCACATCAGATCCCATAGCTGAAGTCTTTACCAAACAGGTGCTGCCATGCGGGCACTTAGGTGAACACGAGAAGCCTCGTTCTAGAACAATGAGTCACAGCCTGCTCGTTTAGCCATCCAGTCCAGGTGCCACCGCCTTCTTCCCTCCACAGCTGCAGGTTTATTTGCTTCTGTCTCTGAAGAGGTGAGGTAAGGTGTTGTTCTTGGAGGAAGAAGCTAGGAGCGTAGAGTAAGACCTGGATGTAGAAACGGCTGCTGGAGGACAGGACCTGTGGTGGGTGGAGGTGGTGAGGGGGCAGTGGCACCTGGACGGAGCAGACCCACCTTAGCCTGTGTGGGGTGCGGTTTCCCTGCTGGCTGGCTCTGGGGACCCCCCGGCTGTTGCCACAGAGAGGAGAGACCTGTGGCTTCAGATTCAGACAGCCTGAGCTTGTCCCCACAACTTATTGCTGGGAGATCTCGGTGAGTCATTTAACTTCTAGGATATGTGGGTTCCTCGTGTGTGAAATGAGAATAAAAACAAATCCCTGCAGACTTGCTGGGGGCATTAAATAAGATAGTAGAGGCGGAGTCGTTTTTATATAAATGGTAAAACACTGCACAATTTTTCAATTGCCCATTAACTTCTCTGCATTGAATTAAGGCATTAAAATGATCTCACTTCCGTCCCGGACTAGCCATGAGAAGCGCAGCCACCAGTCCACTCTGAGCCTCAGTTTCCCCTCCTGTGGAGTGGACGTGCCCGCCTCTGAGTGGCAGGGCAGGGATCGGGACTGATGCGGTTCTCATCCCTCCCACAGGGTCTCCAGCCACCTGCCCTTCCCGAGAAGAGAGAGCTCTGGGCCTTCTTCCTGCCAGTCTGGTCTTCGAGTGCGTTCAGGACAGATAGACCTTGGCACAGGCTGCCCCGAGATTCCTGCGACGCTGTCTGTTCCTGCCTTCTGTGGAGCATGGCACCCACAGGCTTCCAGGACGGATCATAGACCCGAGCCTCCAGGAGGGCGCCCTGTGCGGCTCACTGCGCGGTCCCTCTCAGCTCCCCTGCCACCCAGCCTCCGAGGCCGGCTCCTGTCCCGGAAATGCCCTCGGGCACCTGGATGAGGCCATCCCAGAGCGGGACCCAACTGTGCCACCCACCAAGCCTCCCCCTGCGCCCCCCGTGCCCTCGCATGTCCGGCTGCCAGGGCAGACTGTAGAATGTCTGTGCCCCAGATCCACGTGGAAGAAGTGGGTGCAGAAGAGGGGGCGGGAGCAGCCGCACCACCCGATGACCACCTCCGGAGCCTGAAGGCCCTCACCGAGAAACTGAGGCTGGAGACCCGCAGGCCCTCCTACCTGGAATGGCAGGCCAGGCTGGAGGAGCAGACCTGGCCCTTCCCGAGGCCGGCTGCGGAGCCACAGGCGAGCTTGGAGGAGGGGGAGCGTGGGGGGCAGGAGCCCTTGCTCCCCCTGAGAGAGGCTGGGCAGCACCCCCCTTCTGCCAGGAGTGCCAGCCAAGGTGCCAGACCCCTGTCCAGTGGCAAGCTGGAAGGCTTTCAGAGCATCGATGAAGCTATAGCCTGGCTCAGGAAGGAACTGGTGAGTGGCTGCCCCCAAGAATCCCCAGAAAAGAGGAGATGCCACCGTCTCTCTGTGTCTTTTTCTGTCTCTCTCTGTCTGTCTCCCCACCCCCACCATGTATTTCTTCCCCTCTCTCTAACCCCCAAGTGCACATCTGTAATCTTCCCGTGAGTTGAAGGCAGGCGTCATTTGTATGTGGCTGGGGGGACCCAGGTGTCATCAGCCCCTAATTGCAGACACTAATGAAGGAAGCAGGTGTTTTCTGGCAGAACCTGAACCCATGTTAAGGTGTACCCCCCTCCCCCCAACACCGCTCCCAGTACTGGAGTCTGGCTCCTGGGGTGTGACTGCCCCTCCCTCTGTGCTGGAACCTCCCCACCCTGCTGTCCACCCCAGCTGCCTGCCACTCCGGGGACCACTCTTCTGCACGTGAGCGGCCTCTTCTTGTGCTGGGCGCTGGCCGGGTGGCTCCATGGGGCACAGTGGCTGGGGTGTGGCTGTGCAGGGCGCTGCTGTGAGGAGCTGGCTCGGTGTGGAATGTGCTCGAGTGGTGAGGAGTTGTGGAGCTGCCCAGAGTCGGCGGGATGGGTCCTGCCTGGGGAGAAGCTCGGTGAGGAGGCTCAGAGGAGGAGTTGGCTCAGAAGTCAGGGCGGGGCCAGGTGTGAGGTAAAGGCACATTGTGTTTGAGCTGGGACCGCAGCGCGGTCACTTTCCTGCTCATAGGCAAAGCAGATTCCCAATAGGAGCATCTTTTGTGCATGGTGACTCAGCCTGAGAACAGGGTGGGGGGGCAGAGCTGGGTGCCCTGTCCCCTTCCACCCCCCCAGGGGAGAATCACCCGTGTCTGGCACGACAGCCTCTCAGCAGCACCAGGCATGAAGCTAACCCTACCCCAGCTCTCAACCCCTGCCCCACCCCGTCCCTGAGGCCCAGGTGACACCTGCGAGTCAGGCCACTCTGGCCACAGGTGAGCCAGCCATCAAGGGCAGCTGCCTTCCAGAGCCGGCAGTGGCTCTTGGGTCAGCTGGGTAGGCTGAGGCCTGCTTGGTTTGTTTTGCAGAATCCCGAAAACTAAATCCCCATGAGGCCTGGAATGCCTCAGGGGCTGAGAGAATCCACTGGGGTTTGGAGTGGGGCAGGGCTCAGGGACGCAGGGATCTGACTGATTAATTGGAAGCCTGTTTGCGTTTTAACACTTGATACCGAGAGTGCTTCTCAGAACACACCATTCTATTATATCCGTCTTTAGTAACGAGAGGGTGCACGTGCTGTCGGCTTCGGAGAAGATGAGGCACCTGCGGGTTTGAGCCATATCTCTGGGGTGCTCTATCACCCCTGGTGCTCTTGGTGGGGGGTATAAGAGGTGAGGGGAGATGCACAGTGCCCCAGGACAGACCGCGCACAGCCCCCAGCTGCTCTTTGAATGGCTGAGGCTAAACTGCTTTGATTTGCTTTCTTAGGAAGGAACAAAAAACATTCTTGTTCATCAAAGATACTATTTGTTGGTTTCGAGTTCGAGATTTTATTGCCTGTGGGAGCTGAGGCTTTTTCTTTTTAAGGAAGTTAGCATTCCGCATAGCGCCCACTAGGATGGAGTTTCCTAGAATTTGTCCTGCTTATCGTCCTTTAGTCTCCTCACTCTGGCGTGTACCGTAACCACCTGGGGAGCTTTTAGGATTCCCAAAGCCTACGCCACACCGAAGACCAATCCAATGAATGTCTGGGGGTGATAACCACACGTGTGGTTTTTAAAGCTCCTGCGTGCTTCTCATGTGCAGCCTGGGCCTCGAGTCTACAAGTCATGCTCACATCTCCTGCCAGGCCTGTGAGCCAAGCAGCATGAAGTGCCCTGCCCAGTGTGCTGGCCAAGCGAGGAAGGTGGCCCAGGGTGAGGCACAACCGTGGGTGATGTGTAGAGCCAGGCTCCATAGGCCAACAGCAGAGCAGAAATTGTCAGGACTAATCTGACTACCAAAGGCTGTCGTACATAGGGTAAAGGGAATATTAGCATTATTAAAAGTGCTTTATATTTGCACTGTTTCCGCTCCTCTAGCCACTTCCCTGTGCCACCAGGGGTGTGTCCTGTATGCCAGGCACTTCGCAGGCATTACTCACCTCTTCTAATTGTCGGATGACCTTCCTGGTACCCCTGCTTTTCCTGTTTGATTCCCAAAAATGTAAATCACAAAAATGTCAGCAGGCAACAGAATGCATGGGGGTGGGGGCAGAGAGAGAAACAGGACTGAATGAGTTGCAGCCTCATTCCGTGATCTCTGATTCTTACAACAAGACTACATGATTGCCCTCACTGTGTCCATTTCATGGATGGATAAATTGAGGTCCACAGAAGTCAGGTGACCTGCTTAGGATGACATGATGAGTGAGCCACAGAGCCGGGGCTGGAACTCATACAGGGTAGAGAGCTATGGGGAGAGAGGTAGCAGGTGAGGCTCGTGAGGTGGCCCAACGCAGAGGGTTCCACTGGGCATGCTCAAAGAGCAGCGACCAAGGAGATGCATGCTCCAGAAATCATCCTCATCACAGGATAGAGAATCTCTCAGAGCATTGACTGCCAAACTCTAATGTGCATGCAGGTCACTGGGGCTCATGTGCAGATGAAGATTCTGGTCCCTTTGGTTGGGAATGGAGCTTGTGCTTTCGAATTTCCAACAAGCTCTAAGGTGACACTATTCTGTTAGTCCCTGGGCCACACTTAGGGTATCAGGGAATGAAAGGAGGGCGAGACCAGGGCCAGGGGACCAACAGGGGACCTGAGAGGACAGACCCAGGGATCCCCAAGCGGGAGCTCTGAGCCCTGTGTCTGTCATAACTGCCCATGTGGCTTGGGGCTCCTTCGGTGAATGGGCCTCAGTGAACAAACCCACAGCATCCCACCCTGAGTGGTCCAAGAACCACACTCATTCAGAAGATTGCGACTCTGAGGCCCAAAGCACACCAGACACAGACTGGCTGGCAGGTAGGCAGGCAGGCTGGACGTGCAGTTCCGCCTGCTGCTGGGATTAGAAAGCAACTTGCAAAAACCCTTTGATTGGATTGAAAACTGAGAGTTCAGCGTTGGAGAACAAACACATTCTGCTCTATTTAAGTCTCAGTCAAAACGTTAAACTTAATGCCATGGTTTCCCTCATTCATCCTCTTAACTCATTGAAGGCACCTTTAAAAATTAACCTATTTAACTCAGTGAAAGTGATTTGCATAACCTTTTCTGTCATATTTTAAGCCCAGAAGGTGGTTTTCTCTACACCTGGGCAAGCCCTTCCTACAGATTTGTTAGGCTCAAGTGCAAATGTGTTGTTTGTTCTCACGTGGCCAAGGAAATCGATTAGAAATCTGTAATTCCCTTAGTCGTGTGGATATTTTCTGTAACTTAAAGGGAGTTTTGACTGCAGGAGAAGGCAGACTCTAACCTGTCCTCTGACCACCTAGCAGCTCTCCCAGGAGGCAGTGGTCAATGTCACCTCAACCAGAGGCAGGCAGTGCTGGGTCTGGAAGCATCGTCTTAATCTGCTCCCGCCTCCTGCAAGACCAGCTAAAAGGCAGAATGACTGCCTGACTGTGGCTGATCTCTGAGGCTGGGAGGATCCTAACAGCTCTCAGGGGTCAGCTCTCCCTCTCAGCTTTCAAGGAAATGACTGTCACTCCTGACGCCCCCCAGGGATCAGCAAGTAGATCAGATTTTCCTTCAGGCTAATGTGTTGGGGATTCAAGGCTGATGGAGATCCTCCAAGCCTCTTAGTGCGACTCCCAGCTAAGACGGCCTGACCTTGGGCTCCCCGGGGCGGAGCTGGAGATGTGTGGCTCTCTGGCTGTGGCAGGCAGGGCTGCGGCCACCTGACTCCTCCAGGCGAGGCCCAGTCTCGCTGCTCCTGGGACACTGGCTCAGGGGAGTGGCCGTTGTGCAGCTGCAGTTCTAGGCTGCTCAGGTCCCCAGAAGGTCACAGCCCCCAGGTTTCACCTTCCAGGCAGCCGAGTAGCCTGGGTGGGAGTCGGGGGAGGGCATTGCTTGAGGAAGTAGGGGAGCTAGGAAGAGCATGATCTGGAGCTGTGGGATTCTCTCCTCTCTAGCTGAGTCCGGAATTCAGAGCATTCACACACGCCTCTGCCCGGGCTTTGGTCCATCAGCCAACTCCCTGGGATGGGGCCCTGGGCGCTCAGCACAGGGGAGCAGGGACCCTCCTTTCTGTTTTCTCTCTTCATTCACACCCACAAATTCCCCTTGCCAACCTGGAAGACAGAGAAAAGGGGCAATAAAGTCTTCCGCGTGGTTTATGCAGTGCCAGGATGAAAACCAAAACCTTCCGGCTTCCTAATGGGCAGTTTGTAGTGAGAAGCCCTGGGCACCCACTGATATTTTTCTTCTAGTTTCACGCAGGTGTGTGATCCCTGCAGACACCCTCCTCCCGCAGTCTCCTCCCTCCCCCCGCACCAAGGAGGTGTTTATGGCTGTTAGAGAGAGAGAAGAGAACCTTGACAAGTTTTCATCACTTAGGGCCTGTCATGGCAGGAGGCCTGTGACCTAAACTCAGCTGGCCCCACTGTGGCCACAGCGTGGCTTCGAGGGGGCTGCCCTCTCCCTGTTAACCCTCTGTTGCCTGTGCTGCCTGCTTGGTATGCACAAGACTCTGGTATGTCAGGGGACAGCCCTCTGAGGCAGGTGTCATCCATGTGTGCTAAGCAGTGTGGCCAAATGGCAGGTCATACTCACCAGTGTCTTCCGACGGGAAGTGGGCGATACAGCCAGGTTGATACCCCCCATCTAGGGAACCTTCCATATACACTATCCTGCAAGAAGGCTTGGAAGTATTTGCTATTCCCATCTTACAGAGGAGAAGACTGAGGCTCAGAAAGGTTGTAGAACTGAGGGACAGAAAGTTTAAAGCGACTTGGCCAAGGTCATATGCAAGGATGTGGCTAAGCCACGACACAGACACACATCACTTGGTTCTGGATCCAGATCTCTTTGTTCTGGGCACATCAGATGTCCAAGTCAAGGGGCCCTGAGCTGCCAGAAAGCCCGTGCTTAAACCCTTCAGAACAGGGTACTTGTAAAAGGTCACACAGGAGGTTGCTAGCACTGCCTCATAACAACCATTTCCAGGGACAGGGCAGCTGTACTGTTTCAGGATGAAGGTAGCAAGTTGCTCGGAGCCATCAGCGAGGCACTGGCTGAGCGGGGATTTGGTTCACAAGAGAATTCCTCGTCCCAGCCTCTGTTCTCCCAAGGCTAAGTCTTCTCTGCATAGCCCGGTGCTTTCAGCCTGTCTGGCACCAGCCCTGCAGGAGGAAGATTCCTGTTCTATTCATCTGGGCAGATACGGCCTCGTGGGGGTTACCAAAGAATGTATAAACAAAAGAACCAGGAAAGGAAATACACCAAAACTTGATGATCTTTATTTCTGAGTGGTAATATTATTCTTTTGACTTTTTTATAGTTTTCGAAGTTTCTAAAATAGGAATATATCATGTATAATCAAGGGGAAAGACATTTTTGAAAGACCAAAGAAGCAAAAGTGCTAGCACCAGGCTCTTCTCTCCCTTGCCAATGTAATCGGTATGCATTCTTCACCTTGTACTTCTGTAGCATAGAATCTCCTAGAATAAAATAAAAGTAGGGCCTTCAATCTCCCAACATTCAAATAAAAGTAAGGCCTTCAATCTCCCAACATTCCTGTTTGATGTGAGAGCTGATGAGTTGGGGCTGCTGGCCAGGGAGCTGCAGCTGACCCCAACCGGGAGGTCCTGCCTGCTCTCCCTTTCCTGGCTGTCTTGCAGGGTCAAGGAGAAGGGAGTTGGAGGATCCCCACAGCAGCACCTCACCGGAATAGCAGCTCATGGCGATTCCGGGGCTGAGAGAGGCAGGCGGAAGTCTTTTCATCCAGCCCCATGTCCATTCAGCACTACCGGCCTCCACTGGCCGCCTGGCTTCCGTGCTGGGGTGGGGTGAGGCCAAGGTGGATGGGTCAGGGCTCCTGTCTTTGTGAAGTTTCCCTTCGAAGGAGAAGACAGGCACATAAACACAGTGGCACGGTGTGACAAAAGTTATAATAGAGATGCAGTAAGTTGAGTTCTGAGATGATCTGGTGAGCTGAGGGCCGTGCTGAGTGGATGATGGTGGATGATGAAATTAACCAAAGGGAAATACGCAAATTCCTCACTTCCTTGGCAGCCAGATCCATGCCTGTCCACGTAATTGCATTAAGTTTCTCCTTATTTCCCATTCACGTTTCTTCTATAATAATAAACTCAATTCCTCTGATGGGCACCCTCCCCATTATAACAGCACACCACGGTATGGGGTAGTGACTACTGGGTGAGGCACCTAGAGCGTTTGCTAAAAATGCAGATCCCTCCCAGCCCTCCATGGAAATTCAGATTCCATAAACCTGGGGAGGTGTTGGGGTTTTAACAGGTATCTGCAAGTGATTCTAATACAACTGGCTCATTAACTGGTCGAGAGTGCACTGGAAAAAGCATAATATGTGTAATTAGATTCAACTTCAAGTCAGATTCTACCATATCCTAGTTGTGTGCCTTTAGGTAAACCAATTAACCAAGACTTCTTGGTTTTGTGATTGTAAAATGATAAATCCCTACTTGGCAGCGCGTTGAGCAGGGAGGAGGGGAATGAGTGGCATTAGGACACTGAACAGTTGCTGGGCCCCTGGGATGGTTGGGTACTGTATTACGCATGTTTATACACACGCCTCACATCATTCAGTAGCCACAACAATCTTTCCGGGTAGGCACGATTACTATCCCCATTTCACAGATGAGAAAACTGAGGTTAAAAAACTTGCCCAAGATCAATCAGCAGAGCAGGAATTTGAACTCAGATCTGCCCGACCTCAAAGCCCTGCAGTGGGTCTGGATTCACCCACCATGCTATAGGAAACTGTGAGGCCCCTGGCAGCTGAAGCCCAAAGCATGTTCTTCCCAAGAAGACAGGTACCCGAGTAATGGAGTATGAAGTGACTTTGGAGAACAAAACAGCCTCAAACTTGCCTGGAGGCTGGGGCAGAAAATAGATTTGCCTCACTTCCCTTTGGAGGCGCAGGCAGGAATCTATAGCAACTGCAGGTGCCTGGGAGCCCTATTTAATCCCACAGGTCCCCACTCCAGCAGCTCATGTCCTGTCCTCAGCTCTCCCTCCCTTGAGGTTAGCAGCCTACTGACACCTTCCTAGCTGGTTCTCGCTCAGCATCAGATGTGAAGCTCCCGCTACATCTGTTTCCAAAGCAGGGGATAGAGAACCCAAGAAAAGCCCAGAAATCCCAACAGTTGTGCCCCAGGGGTCTTCTGAGGGCTCTCAGGTGACCCCAGGGCACTTCGGCACTCCATTTCCATAGGACAGTCATCACCTTGGCTAAAGCTTCCAGTTTCATGTAATGCAAGCCCCAATTCCTGCCTGCAGATGGGGGAGGCCTTCCTGCAGGTGGAATTGAGAAGGCCGTGCAGGGGAGCTCCTGTCGGAGCAGGGAGACAGCCCCTGCTAGGGGGTGTCTTCTCTCCCTCCGCCGACTGGCCCAGAGACCCCCAGCAGCATGGCCGAGCTCACAGAGGTGAGGGAGCCAGCCCTTCCTGCAGGTCTTGCCGGGGGCCCAGCAAGAACAGCCGTACCTGGGCCATGCTCGCAGCCTGGCAGGGGCAGCAGTCCTGGGACTGGCTGCTTGGCCTCACGAGGGCCCCCACTTGCTCTCCAGGGGAGTGGCAGGGAAGTTGAGGAAGGCCTTGGCCCCTAGTGGCGGGCCTGGCCCTCCTCATGTGCAAGCTAAGGACACCCCTGAGTGGGAGGGTCCCCACCGCATCTCCAGTCTGAAGTGTATTGGCATTACCAGCCCTTTGACGTTGGCAACACTTGGTGATAGAGACAATAACACAGCCCTACCCAACCCCGGACCATGCTTGGTGACGTGTGACAGGCAGTACAGTTGTCAGCGATAAGGGAGCGCTCAGTAAAGGTGGGTGAAGCTTGGGCTGGGGACCCGCCCTGAGCCAGGCTGTGAGGAGCAAAAAAGGCTCTGGCAGGGACCCGGCCCCCAGGAGCTGGGGCAAGCGCCACATGGGAAGTAAAAACGTAACTGAATGGTTTGCTCTGTGGTTCTGTGTACGAAGACGGGATATGGTGGAACTAGTAATTCCGGAACTCGATGTCCTGTACAAAGTGTGTGGATATGGGCTTATTTAATTCTCATAAATGATCAGTAGTGTGTGCCCATTTAATTACGGTCAATTATTATCAGTAAGTGGGTACTATTATGCTCATGTAGCAGATGAGGAAATTGAAGCTTAGGTGTGGGGTGACTTGCCCAGGGTGGCGTCACCAGCAAGTTGAAGAGAAGGACTTTGAACCAGGGGCTGCTCCTCTGTCCTTTCTACTGGCTGCCTCTCCACAGGCCTGGGGGCAGTGGGAGATCCCAGAGGGTGGCGGTCAGCCCGGGTAGCAGAGGGAGGAGTGAGGTCTCCAGGACTGTCCCAGCCGTGGAGACAGGTACTGGGTAATGGAGTGTGGAAAATCAAGACTTGGCTCTGGGGAAATTTAACTAACGGATTGATTCATTGATTCATTCATCTAACAAATGGCTTTTGAGCACCAGAGCATGCCCTAGGCACTGTGGTGGCCCCAGTCTCTGTCTCTCCTCTGGTGTTTTGTCATCTAGACACATGATAAAAAATGAAACCAATGCCCAACACGTGGGTGCCATGGTGGAGGCCGCATGGAGGGGCAGTGGTAGCAGGCGCCCATGGGGCTGTCATCCCCTCTGCAGGGAGAGGGACAAAGGCTGAGCTGGTCCTGAAGGGTGACAGGTGGAGAAGGGACCACAGGGGAGGGGACAGAACCTCAGTGTGGCTGCCCTGTGGGGGCAAGGGCATCAGAGTGGGAGAGGAGGCTGGAGAGGTCAAGGGAACAGGAGGGTCCCGTGATACCTTTGAAAGATTTGAAGAAGCAGGGAGACCTGCCCATCAGCCTCTTGAGTGGAGACAGATTGAGTGAGGAGGGGAGGCAGGCAGGGAGGAGGCCCAGATGCTGGGAGCTGAGGTGCAGAGGACCCAAATGCAGGGGTGGGTGCCAGTGATGCTGTCCTCTGGGCCTGTCCTCACCCAGCCAGCAGCAGTCACATCTCTCCCACTCTCTCTCCGGCACAGAATGTCTTCCTTGGGTGTACAGCTTCCAGAACCTCCTCAGTTCCAAGATGCAATCTGATGGGAGGGGAGGAAGGTGATCAGCATCCTCTCTCTGTGTAGGGCACATGCCACCTGTCCAGAGTCATCATGTCATCAGAGGCTGCACTAGGACTGGAACCCAGAGCCCCTAGTGGCAGATCTAGGGGCTCTTCGGAATGCATCACTCTGTCCTTCCCAAAGGCCAGCCTCACCCCTGAAGGTGTGTAGTTTGGCCCACACCTTCCAAGTTTGAAAAATTAAAGGCCTGATCACAGGGGTAGAGCTTAACTCTTCCTGTGGAGTCCTCGGCAGGGCCCGAAGAGCCTCCTGCTCTATGCCTGGCTCTGGGGCTGTCGTCTCTCCCTCCCAGCAAACTCACCATTCCCCAGGGGGCACAGGAGCCCCTGGCAGGGAGGATCCCTGGAGGCCTGGCTCAGATGGACTCATCTTGCTGTCTCCTTCCTGCATGCAAGTCAGCCCAGTGACAGGAGCCATTGCACCTGCCCCCCTCCCATCCACAGTCCCAGGCCAGGGGCCTGAAAGAGAACCCAGGACCAGCCAGGCTCAGAGTCCCCGCCCTGCAGTCTCTGGGCTGCAGAGCGTGAGTGCGGCCTCGGCTCGCCAGGAGAGTCAGCTTCAGCTCCCTCCCGCTGGGCTGCAGCCTCCCCGAATAGAGACCTCTGGGAAAGAAACTCCAGCCTTCCTCTGGAAATCAATTCACAAGACCAACCTGGTTCCTAGGGGTGTTTGCGTTTCTTTCTTCACATTTCCCCGGAACCTCCAGTTGCCCTTCAGCAGCGTGTTTGAAGGGCACTCCTGCTTTCTTTCCTGCCAGCGTTAATCTGGCTCTTTCTCAGGGACCAAACCCAAGATCATGTAATACAATTTTACCCAGGCTTCTAAGTGGATTCTCCTGCACAACACTGACGAAAATAATAAGGCAGACCTGCAGGTGAAGTTAAATAAGATAAGGAAAGAGATTACACAAATTGTTTCCTGGGTTCAAGAACTGTGAGTCTCATTCCCAAATCGTGGGACAGTGGAACATGTTCTGGGCCTGCACACACAGCTGGCAAAACAGCCTGGATTTTACACGCACCCTCTTTTCAGCATGCATCAGAGACTAATTGTAGCTATTAGGCTGGGATAGGAGAGATAAGAGCCTGACTTTAAGGGACCAGACAAAATGCCCTTCACCACCTTGGCATTCTGTCTGCCTGCCCAGTTCTGAGCTGATTACCACGCTCTCCAGGACACGCACTCTTTCGCCTCTGGTTGGCCCCTGTGCACTGGGATTTCTCTCAAGCCAGCTTTAAAGATGCATCCAGAAATCTCTGCCCCAAACATGTTTTCAGATTTGCTGCCATCACAGCCCTTATTTCACCAAACTAAAAGAACAGAGGGTTTCATAAGCCAAAGCGCACACAGCCACATTCTTCAGGAATGGAAGCATTAGACGATAGAAAAAAGACAAACTATTAATAGGGTTTCGGGTAAGACTTTTGTTGGAAAGGGGAGGATTTGTCTGGTGGTCCGTGCATTGCCTTTATTTTAGGAAGCAGAAACCATGGTGGGTTAAAGGTAACACCTTCATAGAGTTGCTCCTTGTGCTTCCAATGGTCGGACAATTACATGTTCTTTTTTATTTTTTATTTTTTTTTTATCATACTTTAAGTTCTGGATTACATGTGCACAATGTGCAGATTTGTTACATAGGTATACACATGCCATGGTGGTTTGCTGCACCCAACAACCCGTCACCTACATTAGGTATTTCTCCTAATGTTATCCCTCCCTACCCCCCAACAGGCCCGGGTATGTGATGTTCCCCTCCCTGTGTCCACGTGTTATCATTGTTCAACTCCTACTTATGAGTAAGAACATGCCGTGTTTGGTTTTCTGTTTCTGTGTTGGTTTGCTGAGAATGATGGTTTCCAGCTTCCATCCATGTCCCTGCAAAGGACATGAACTCATCCTTTTTTATGGCTGCATAGTATTCCATGGTGTATCTGTGCCACATTTTCTTAATCCAGTCTATCATTGATTGACATTTGGGTTGGTTCTAAGTCTTTGCTATTGTGAATAGTGCCACAATGAACATACGTGTGCATGTGTCTTTATCATAGAATGATTTATAATCCTTTCAGTATATGCCCAGTAATGGGATTGCTGGGTCAAATGGTATTTCCTGTTCTACATCCTTGAGGAATCGCCATACTGTCTTCCACAATGGTTGAACTAATTTTCACTCCCAACAGTGTAAAAGCATTCCTATTTCTGCACATCCTCTCCAGCATGTTATTTCCTGACTTTTTAGTGATCACCATCCTAACTGGTGTGAGATGGTATCTCCTTGTGATTTTGATTTGCATTTCTCTAATGACCAGTGATGATGAGTGTTTTTTATTTGTCTGTTGGCTACATAAATGTCTTCTTTTGAGAAGTGTCTGTTCATATCCTTTGCCCATTTCTTGATGGGGTTGTTCTTTTCTTGTAAATTTGTTTAAGTTCTTTGTAGATTCTGGATATTAGCCCTTTGTCAGATGGATAGATTGCAAAAATTTTCTCCCATTCTGTAGGTTGCCTGTTCACTCTGATGATAGTACATGTCCTTTTTTAAATTTTTAATTCCTAAAATCTTTGGGCCGTTTTAGACCCATAGACATCAGTCCGTGGGATCAGAGAAAGTACTGGAGCAGATCTCATTGGCAACTAAGAGTATTTGCTTCCCTTGAATGTGAAGAAATCACTCAGTGTTTTAGACCAAGCAAGTGAACACAGATCAGCCAGGGGATGTTGAGTAAGGATGCAAATTCCACAAAAATGCTGCCTTTCCCAAATGCACATCCTATGTTAGACTAGCCTTTGCCAGGGACAGCATGAAACCCACACTGAGAGTTGAGTCACCCCGGCCAGCCTCTCGGGCCTTTGGCAAAGAACAAAATCCTTCTTTTTTTTTTTTTTTTTTTTTTTTTTTTTTGCCAATTGGTCCAGTACCCTCCTTCTGTGGCCCCCATCTCCAGTAACCCCCCAGAGAGGCCCTTCTACCTCCCAGACTACTCTTCAGGGTCTCATCAGCTTCCAGTGTCACTCAGGCTAGAGACAACATCACTGAGACCACCCTCCAACTGTCCAGGCTGGGCCCCCATTCCCCAGCACCTGCGGCCACGCTTGCTGCAGGCAGGCTGACCGGCCATCTCTATTTGCCCAGGACTAAGGAGGTCCCCTGGATGCAGGATTCTCAGTGCTAGAACCAGGTAGGTCCTGGGCAAACTGGATTGAACTGATTGCTCTAAATTTGCAGACTCTGCTGTTGTTGTTTAAATGTCGGTAAAATATGTATAATATAAAGTGTACCATTTTATATGTACAGTTCACTAAATATATTCACATTGCTGTGCAGCCGTCACCACCATCCATCTCGAGAACTTCATCCTCCCAAATGGAAACTCTGTGCTCACTAAACGCTAACTCCCCATCCCCTCTCCCCAGCCCTTGGCACCACTGTCCTGCTTTCCATCACTATGAATTGGACTACGCTAGGAACCTCTTCTAAGTGGAATCCTACGGTATTTGGCCTTTAGTGTCTGGCTAATTCACTTAGCATAATGTCCTCAAGATTCATCCATGTTATGGCATGTGCCAGGATTGTCTTCCTTTTCAAGGCTGAATAATATTCCACTTTATGGATAGGCCACATTGTGTGGATCCATTCATCTGTGGAGGGCACTGGGTTGGTTCCGCCTATTGGTGATTGTGAACGTGGATGTACAAATCCAGGTTCTAGCTTTTGCCTTCATTTGTTTGGGGTGTGTACCTGGAGTGGCATTGCCATGTTATATGGTAATTCTGTTTAACTTTCCGGGACCCGCCATGCTGTTTCCCACACCTTTCTTACGGCTTTTGTTTTATTCCACCCAGCTCCGAGGGTAGGAGTCAGCTCTTCTGACTCCCCAGGAAAATCCCCAGGTCCAGAGAGACCCCCCAGCAAACCACTGGCTTGATGCATTAGACTTTTCTATGATCTGAATGTCCTCGGCTGACCTTCCCCTTGCGTTTTTCCTCTCTGGGTCCTTCTTCCAGGGCCGCCTTGGCCGTCTCCTCCAGCCCCCTTGCCACACCCTCCCCTCACCACGTAAAGCTTGGAAGTAAGGAAATCTCTGTCCTCTTCCAGACCCATTTAATTACCATCTTTAGTGACTTAATCCTGCTCTTGGGGGTTTGCCTTCTACCTTGAGAAACAACCTGGCTCTCTCTCTTGCTCTCTTTCTTTAATTGGTGTTTAAAATTTTTCAAAATGACTTCATTGAGATAAACTTTACATACCATACAGTTCACCTATTTGAAATAGCAATTCAGTGGTTTTTAGTGTTTTCAGAGTTGTGCAACCATCATCACGTATAATTTTAGAACATTTCAACACTTCACCCAGGTGCAGTGGCTCACATCTTAACGAGCATTCTTGTCTGCCCCCAAAAAAACAAACATCTGTAGTACAGATCACAAGCACAGCTGTTTCAAAGGGGCCACGTGTGGCTGCCGCCCTTCCCTTCTTCCAAGCCTGGTGGGGACACCCTGTCACCACAGTGCTTGGACAGCCCCCGACCAATGACATCTCTTCCCTTTCAACAAGTTCTGTGCCCTAATTATGGGGTTGCTGGGATTACAGGCTGCACCTCTGAGAATTCAGCAAGTGCTTTTGTTCTCAGAGAGACACCAGGCCACGCTGGGAGCGGGGACTGGAAATTGGCACATCCTATGGTAGAGCCTTTGCCAGAGACAGCATGAAACCCACACTGAGAGTTGAGTCACCCTGGCCAGCTTTTCAGGCTCTTAATGAGGGCTTAAAACTGGGAGGTCCTTGCTGGGTTCCATGTTCTGTGCCTTGGCCTGGAGAGAAAGGACTTAAGTGATGGTGCACCTCTTACTTTGATTTGGCCAGCGTAGTTCATATTTTCTGCCATGCTATTTGTTGTCGAATTTCATTCTCACTGTCCTTAGAAGAGATGAGAAGAGGCCTTATCTCTTTTCTGTAGATGAGGACACAGAAGTTCCAGGTGGCAGTGACTTGCCACCCAACGAGTGAGGAGTGGAGCTCAGCTTGAACCTGGGTTCTAACCCAGGGCTGTGGATTTTCCCTTTCTGCCACCCCTGGGCCCAGCTCGCCTCTGAGCAGACAGGAGCCTGGGAGAGTCTTCCAGCTCTGGGTGCTGACAGGCCCGAGTGTGGTCCAGATGCCATAGGCTGGCTGGCCATGAGCAGTTCCTTTACTTCTCTGAGACAGTTTCCTTGTAAGACAGACTAAAATCACACCTGCCATCTAGAGTTGTGGGAAAACATGATGAAACAATCTATGTCAAACGTGTGCGGCTGCAGCCGGGGCTGTGTTGTCATCCCCGCCTCCAGGGGGCCCCTTGGCAGAGCTTGAAGGGAAAACAGGAGGAGGCACTCCAGTCCCAGCTCAGACCTGCTCTCCTGAACTGGCGCAGCCCTCTGTGCCTTCCCGGGCAACCGCCGTCCTCCCGACTAACTCCACACAGGACCAGCAAAGACATATCTTCATTGCAAATCTCTAAAAAGATTAATTTATAAAAAGCTTCTTAGCCATCAGAAACCAGAGGACATTATGCTAAGTGAAATTAGCCACTCACAAAGGACAAATACTGTGTGATTCTACTTCTGTGAGGTTCTTAGAGTAGTCATACAGACAGAAAGTAGAAGGGTGGGTGCCAGGGGCTGGAGGAGGGGGATGGGGAGTTAGTGTTTGATGGATGCAGTTTCTGTTTAGAACGATAAAAAGAGCTCTGGAGATGGATGGTGGTTGCGCGACAACGTGAATGTACTTAATTGCCACCGAGCTGTACACTTAAAAATGGTTAAGATGATAACTTCTATGTTGTATGGATTTTATCACAACTAGAAAAAAATTCTAGAAACAAATTAAGCCTCTTATTCTTGCACATTTTGCTCAGATTTCTTCAGAGTCTGTGGGAACTCGTGTGGATTTGGTTCAATTACAGCAGAGTGACCTCCTAATCGGGGCTCAAGTTAGTGTTTAAGGTGCAAAGTCACCTTTGCAAAATGTCTGTGTGGCCCAGGGAGCAGCCGAGCATGGGCCCAGCACAGCCAGGGCTCCCGCATCACGGGGACAAACCCTGTTCTTTGGGGCAGGAGATGAATTTGTTGATTTGTGTGCAGGGATCCCAACACACTATGTATTGTGAGCATCTAAATGTTAGAACCCATAGTGCATCCTAGCGAGATGCTCACGCTGTGAGATGCCCTCAGAACCAAAGCCCACTGAGGAAGTTGCAATTCCCAGCCCCCTCCTCATGTTCTCTCAGAGCGCAAGCAGGGAGACCGGCCGGAATCACCATCCCTGTTGAAGCTGCAGCTTTCTTTCTCTTTTCACCCTTACGCAGAATTGAATGCATGTGCACAGCATGGGCGTGCGAGGCAACGCCATCCAGGCGGCCTTTGTCCAGTCCATGGAAACTGACACAGGCCTTACTGTCAGCCCTCTTTCTAGCTGCCTCTGATGGGTCTTAAAGAGTAAATTGTTCTCTGACCTTTGACCAGATCTGTCAGCCACAGAAAAACAGCCCCTTCCTTCCTGCTACCCCACAGAGATGTGTCCGCCACAGCCTGCATCTCACAGATAGTCTTAGACACCTGGCCACACCCCAAATTCCCCGACTTCAAAGGATCTTTTCACACCAAAGATGCAATTCCTGGGGCCAAAGCTCAAATCTAAACCATAGGGTTCCTAGTTTTTCAAAAAGATCTATTGTCAAATTACAGAACACTCCAAAGAGAAGTGACAGATGACTGTACTAAGGCAATGGGTGTTCGCAGACAATATCTTTCAGGCAGGTTTGACCCCCATCTCCTCAGAAGGGTTTAGGTAGCACCTAGCTCCGTTCCAGGCTCAGTGAGGGACACCATTACAAAACAAATGACCAGCCACCCTATCATCATTAATTTGGTGCTATTCTAGATCAATAGAATTTAATCAGCAATAAATTTGAGTTTCTTCAATGCTTGAGGCCCAAGGATTGAAAAGTAAACTAATGAATGTGGCTATGAACTTTAATCCCAATTTTGCCATTAGATACCTTGCTGACTCCCAAGCAAGACTTTCTATCTTGATTTTTCTTATATAGGAAATCAGGAGAAAAGAGATCTGTACAAGTGCATAAAAAACGAGAGAGGAAAAAAAGAACATTGAGATGCTCGCTGGCAAGGTCACTTAATTTTTCTACCCTGCAATGTGCTCTATTATAAACCTAACAGGGAGAAAGTGAGAACACTGCCTTCATTTGCATAACTACAGGGCATCTCAGGGCTCATTTTTCTAATCAGTTTGGCTCCAGGCACCAGGTAAATGGCACAGCCGAGCATGTCGCAGAAATACTAAATAACCACTTACAAGTGGAGACAGAGGAAATAGTGAGAAGGATTCAGATCTCGAGTCAAGTAGGAGCAGCTGGCAACCTGTCCCAGTGACAAAGTGCTGCTTACAGAAGGCGCTCTGCACTAAGCCAGTCCCTATGTACCATGTCACAACTGAGAAACCAGCCCTCTGAGCTCCAGCTAGCATGCTGGCTGGTAAAATATGGAGCCAGACTGTCCTGCTGGTACCTCAGGAGTGGCTGTGAGGCCCATCAAGGTTAAACATGAGCAGAAAATACATCTCAGGACTCCACAATCACTAAGCCAAAGGGAAAAGTCAAGCTGGGAACTGCATCAGGCAAAGCTGCCTCCCATTTTATTTCTAGATAAGATAGCTGCAAAGACAAAACCTACATACCTCCCTCACAATTGGCCCACAAAGAACTTCCGTGTTGGGCCCCCAGACCTGTACCCTAAAACAGTTCTGTTGAATTTCACCCTGGCAATGTAAATTGACATCTGATCTTCTCAGGTGCGGGACAAAGGACAAAACTCAAAGTCATCCCTCTGCTCGCCTGAGACGAATGCATACCTGATTGCTTCACGTGCCTTGTGTTTATGTTATCTTCTATAAAAATGCAGATTCAGTGAGCCAGACTAAGACACAAGTGACTTTTCCTCTACCCTAAACAAACATGTAAATTGTGTATTCGGTTGATCAAAGACTGATCAACCAAAGGCTGATCAAAGACCCAAAAGAATGCAATCGTTTGTCTCTTATCTACCTACACCTTTAAAAAATTTCTTCCTCTTCCCCCAGTATCCACTCCTTCCCCTTTAAATATTAAGGCCCTCAAAATCATCTTTGAGGAAAGGCATAGACCTGCCTCCCAGGTGTGCATCCTTAACGTCGGCAAAATAAACTTTCTAAATTGTTGACACCTGTCTCAGACACTTTTGGTTTACAGTGGGTTTGGGAAACTGGGAGTGTGAAGCCAGGTGAGAAATAATTATCACATCTCTTTGTTAACAGAAGAAAACAAACTCTGTAAAATACTTAAAGAGGTTTATTCTGAGCCAGTGTAAGTGACCATGGGCCAGGGAACAGTCTCATGAGGTCCTGAGAAAGCTCGCCCTAGGTGGTCCAGTTACTGTTTGGTTTTACACATTTCAGAGAGACAGGAGTTACAAGCAAAGACATAACTCAATACACAGAAGGTATACCTTGGTTCAGCCTAAACAGGTGGGATATCTTGAAGGGGCTTGGAGGGTGGGGGTGCTTACAGGTCTTAGGTAGATTCAAAGATATTTTTATTGCCAGTTGATTGAAAGAGTTAAGTTTTGCCTAAAGACTTGAAGTCAGTAGAAAGAAATGCTTAAGACAAAGGACAGTTGTGGAGGCCAAGGTTCTTGTTATGTAGATGAAGCCTCCAGGTAGAAGCCTTTAGAGAAAACAGATGGTAAATATCTCTTTTCAGACCTTAAATTTGCCAGACTCTCATTTAATCTCTCCTAGATCTTGGAAAGGCCTAGAAAGGGAAGGCTTGATTGCATTAATGGAAATGCTCTACAGATGTAAGTATCTCCCACAAGAGATGGTTTTGCAGGGCCATTTCAAAATATGTCAAAGAAATATACTTCAGGGTAAAATATTTTTATTTTCTTCAGGGTTTGCTACCTGTTATGTGACGCTATACCAGAGGCAGGAATTTGCTACCTTACTGCCACAAAGAGTCTGTTTTGTCAGTCTTATAGCTCTATTTCAATGTTAATGCCGATCTGCTGTGCCTAAACTCCAACAGCAAGGGGGGGGTATAACAAAGCATGTCTGAACTCCATTCCCATCACGGCTGGGAATTCAGTTTTCAGGCTTCTCTGGGGTCCTCTTGATGAAGAGCGGGCTTGTTCAGTCAGTTGGGGGGCTTAGGATTTTACCTTGTGTTTACACATCAATAGGAAACATCAAGCCACTAAAAATATTAGGAACCTTCTACAAGGTCACTAAGCACTCTGCTAGCTCCATACACCACACTGCAGCTCGTCCTTGAGCAGCAGAACTTCATTGTCAGTCATTTTGGTTCTGGAGTCCAGCTGTCCGGCTTCCTCATCCCAGCTCGGCTGTGGATGAGCTTTGTGAGCCGACACAGCTAATTCCCTGGCTGTGCCTCTGTGTCCTCCTCTATAAGCTGTGGGTGATGATGGTGACATCACTTCACAGGTTGTAGTGACGGTTAACTGTTGCATGTTAATAGACCCAAAGGCCTTAGAACTGTTTCATAATAAAACACCCAGTACCTAGGAACCAATTTTTGTTTGGCTGTTTTGAAACTTTACTAAGAAATATTTCAGGCATTCTAAAACGTTTAAAGAGTAATGTAACAACATGACACTCCCCAGCGTAAGAAAGAAAACATGGCCATCACAGTCAAAGCCCCCATATACCTTTCCCAATCACAGTCCCTCCTTCTCACCTAGAGGCAACCATCCTCCTGAATTTGATAGCTGTTACCCTATGTTTTCCTTTATACTCTTACTCCATCTAAATGAAACTCTAAACAATGAGAAAGCACTGGAAGTATCTTCTAGCCAGGACCAATATGCATGTCTTTCAGAAGGACTTAGATACAGCAACTAGCCTAGCACAAAGTATTGTTTTGCGACCGCACCCTCATTTGTCACCTTGCTTTCTGTGTCTTTTCACCTCCCTGAGCAGGGAAAGTGCTAATATTTCTAGATGGACCACTTAATGAACTAAGACATTAGTCAGGGCCCTGCTAACCAGTCTGTGCCTGTCAGGGACTCGAGCCACTCTCTGCTGACCCTGCCTGCTCCCCCTCCCTTCCAGACGGAGATGCGGCTGCAGGACCAGCAACTGGCCAGACAGCTCATGCGCCTGCGTGGCGACATCAACAAGCTGAAAATCGAACACACCTGCCGCCTCCACAGGAGGATGCTCAACGATGCCACCTACGAGCTGGAGGAGCGGGATGAGCTGGCCGACCTCTTCTGTGACTCCCCTCTTGCCTCCTCCTTCAGCCTCTCCACACCACTCAAGCTTATTGGCGTGACCAAGATGAACATCAACTCTCGGAGGTTCTCTCTCTGCTGAGGAGCCCTCAGACTGGGCGGAGGGGCTGGAGCGGAGGGCTTGGGCTGGAGGGGTGTCAGAGGAAGCTGAGGCCAAGTTACTCCAGTGGGTCTCCCGGAGGCAGGGGTCCCTGGGACTGGCGACTCAAGGGCCCCAGGACCTATTCAGTGGTGCTCTCCCACCCAGGGGCCCTGGGTGTGGATGCCAGTGTCTCTGTGACTGGCTCTTGCTTACTACCCAAAGAGCTCTGCAGAAGGGCCGCTCCAACCAAGATGTTAAAGGAGACCTGGGTTCCCACCATAATCCATCCCTCCACGGTCACGTTCCTGTTTCCTGGAATCACTGGTGCTATGAACTGGGATTCCCAAAGGGAGGCCCCCCAACAAAGCTGTCATTTTTGCAGAAGGCTGTCCCGCAAGGGCCTTGGGGGAAATTAGGCATGTCAGATGTGCCTGTCTCACGTGCTGTTGCTGTCCTCTAAGTATTGTCTCAAATTCACCCTAAGTACATGACTCAGCAACATTGACAGGGAGCTACTAGGAAGGGAAAATCGACAGGCATGACAAATGGGCACTTGGGGACGCAGCCCCAGTGGCTGGCAGCCAGTGTCTCTGGTGAGCCTGACACTACAAGGCTGTGTAAATTGTAAATTCTGGCGTGTGCTGGGACATGTGATGGGGGCACTAGCGTAGCTTGGGTGCAACAAGCACAGATGTCCCCATTGTCTCCCCTGGCCACATGCATCTCCAAAGAGCCTCTTCACTGCCACCCACACCCCAGGGTGACAGCCTGGGAGACCACTGGTGACTGAACCAGGCAGGTCCTGAAAGCATTTTCCATAACTGAATTCTCCTGCAGGGGCGTGACCGGGGCCTCCTGGTGGATTCTGGTGGTGTCACCTTACTGCCCTCTCTGGAAAGACAATCTAGGGAGCCCAGAGGCCCATCCTGAGCCTCCTCTGAGATTTTGTGCCTGACCTAAACAACTAGTTTTAATAAGACTGTTACTGATGTGTTGTTCACTTGTTAGTAACTGATTTTTGTCCAAATGCGGAAGCCACTTGTGTAGGTCAACTACAGTGCGTAGGATTTGATTTTAAGAGTTTCTCCCTCCCAACAGGCTTGAGGATCAGCAAGTTAAGACCCCAGCAGGTTAGGGAGGTCAGTCTGGGGTCATACGGCATGGCAGGGGTCCCTCGGCCAGACCCGTAGAATCCTGAGATAAGGAGTGTTTCTGACCTTTGGTGTCATCTAGTCGAGTCCTCTCATTAGTAAAGGAGCAAAGTGAAACCTGGGGGAGGAGAAGGACTTCCCTCAGGTTGCACAGCTGTTTAGGCTATAGAATATTGATGTGTGAAACCATTATTGATAATGCCTAGTAGATCACATGTCAATGAACTTGAACCCCAAAGATGGTCGTGATGCTTTGCCAAACCCGCACACTGCCAACCCCTCTACTCTCCACCTCAGCCCCCACCCACATCTCCCAGAGTATTGCAATTCAGAACATTTGGGTCAAGGTGGAGCAAGGCACTGACAGTGGCCCCACAGGGCATGTGTCACTAATCACTGTCCCATGGTCTACGCACGGCATCTGGCTGCTCTGTCTACTGTGACTTCTTCCTGTGTAATCTCAGTGGGGCCCGTGTCCACCCACACATCGTGACCCACATAGGGGAGAGGTTGCTTTTCTTTTGTGGGCTGAGAGTAGGACAATGCAAATGAATGATCTCTAGTAGACAGAAAAGAACTTGGTCTCTTTTTTAAAATTTCAAAGAGCCAGAAGTTCTATGCCTCCTTCAAAGTAGGCAGAACAACGCAGCCAAGATCTACTGTCTGCCATGCTCTGTGCAATGAAGTCTGCAGGCCTGAGGACCATGTACTGCTGTCCTTCCTCAGAGCTCTGCACAAACACTGCCAAGTCCTGAAGACGCATTCCTTTCCTGCCAACCTCTTTCCAGATAAGCCCTTGAGGTCTCGGGCTGACCTACACACACACACACACACACACACACACACCCCCACACACACACACACGACAGAGAACATGCCATAAACATCCTTGAACCCATGCAGGAAAGCCCATCCCATATTCTGAAAAAATGCCAAATTAGGTTTTTCTTTCTTTTTGGAAATCAGTCATTACAGTAACCGAAACCATTGGGTTCAGCGAAAATGGAAAGATTTAGCTGAATGTAGTCAGTCCAATTAAGTTGGATGCAACTGAGTGATTTAGTTGCTTGGGTAACCCAGTGCTTGCTTGCTTTCTTCATTCTCTGGGTGGAAACTAAGATCAAGACACATGTTTGGGGATAAGTTAAATGTCTGAGCTATTTTGCTCGGTTTATCCTAAGAGAACTTTATTATGGGATGAGGAGGTGACCCAAGATGAGAAGTGGAGGGGGACAGCGATGTTTTCTAAACATCGTCCAGTGTTGACTGGCTTCCTTACTTTGCACAGTGAACACAACTAACCACATTAATTCAGCTTTGTGAAGTCCCTGCTCTCTGTGGGTCTATGAGTCAGCAGCAACATTGGCCTAACCTCCGTCCCAGCCTCCTGGCTCACCACATGTGTACAGTGCTGTTTGCAGTTGTACTCATTATCCATCCATCTCTCTGCCATCCCCAAGCATCGCTGGGTGTAAAACGCAAACTCTCCACCGACACTGCCATGCGTGGTCATGTCTTGATGCCTTCAGGGGCTCAGTAGCTATCAAAGAGGCCTGGAGGGCCTGGGCAGGCTTGACGATGCCTGACCGAGTTCAAGACCCACACCCTGTAGCAATACCAAGTGCTATTACATAATCAATGGACGATTTATACTTTTATTTTTTATGATTATTTGTTTCTATATTGCTGTTAGAAAAAGTGAAATAAAAATACTTCAAAAGAAGATATCCATATAAAAATAAAAGGAGAGAAAAATGCTTGTCCTTTTAGCTTGTCCCTGTTATAGCACACACAGGATGGATGGATGGATGGATGGATGGACGGATGGACAGATGGATGGATGAACAACAGATGGAAGGAAGGAGGGAAGGAAGATTTTTGCAACCAGATGGAGGCAGGGGAGGGAGAAAAAGATTCACCCAAATCACTGTTCTTCCTTGTATCTTCCCCTTGAGGAAGCTGCTTGGTGGTTGTTACTATCCGGAGTTCCACAGGTAAGCTGAGGTAGAATTAAAAAATGCAGGCTTGATTCCTGAGTTTGACAGAAGCCAGAGCCAAAGTAAACCCACTCTCCTCCAGTGGCCTTTTCCAAAGGTGATCATATTATGCTCTGAGATCTTATGCCTGAAATTTTTTCAGCCACTTAAAGCACCTCTTAAACCTCAAAATCGAGCATGCATGAAAGTCACCTGGGCTGCTGTTACAAATGCATATTCCCAGGAGAAGTACTGGGTTCCAGCCCCAGGGATTCTGGCTGTGTCGCTCCGGGCTTCACAGACGCCCCAGGTGATGGACACAGGTGGTCTAAAGACACTTTGAGAAACCTTTGGAAGACAAAGCAGGTGAGGGAAGGCCCTGTTTTTCACTGATCCCATCTCTGTGTTCTCAGCAAAGACCGAAGTCAGAGGGTCAAAGTGGGTGTCACTAATCCCATTTTGTGGAAGGAACCGCTGAACAACAATTGCAGATCTCTGTCCATCCCTTGAGATGATATCCCCTGTCTACACCAAGAGGAGTGCCTGTGATGTCTCTTTCCACAAAGAGCACACAGTATAAGCTGCTTGGGGGAGCGTGGGCGTGAGGTGGGTAGGGAGCAGGTTACTGGGGAATCTGCCATTGCCCTGACCATGTGGTTCAAAGGGCATTCAAGAAGCCAGGGCCTTTCCACCCTGCCGGTGGGACCACACATGCACTTTTGCAGCCCACAGGGAAATGAATGTGACCTCCAAACAAATCCAACCATTCTAAGTGCCACAGAGAAGATAAAATGTGAGATGGCGCCAGGTGTGGAGGGGGCTGCTTTTCCCAAGTGGTCAAAGCTTCCTGGAGAAGAGCTCTTCCAGTGGCAGTGGCAATTGTGCAGAGGTCAGGGAAAAGAGTGCTCTAGGAAGGAAAAGATAATCCCAGACCCCGAGGTCTGCAGAGGGAGGCCAGCGCAGCAGGCAGCTGCAGAGGCTGGCGGGGGCTCTCCAGCCTGGTAGGGCAGAGTCAGGAGCTGGGATTGTATTCGAGTGGCGCAGGAGGTTTTATAGGGTTTTTGAATGATACGTGATCTGATTTAAACTTTCATAAGATCGAAGTAGAAAGTACTGTGTAGAGAGTAAGTGGGGAGGAGGGGCAAAGGGGAGCCCAGAGGGCAATTAGGGGCAGGGACAGTGGACGTGAGTGTGATCTAGATGGGGCAGCAGCTGCGGAGGGGATGAGGAGTGATCTGATGGGTATTTGCTTAGGGACATCTTTGGGGACATACTTTGGGGACAATTTGGATGTGGAGTGTGAAGGAGATGGAGGACCTAGAGATGGCCCTCCTGCTGGCAGTTGGATGAAGAGGCAGAGGGGTGGCAGCAGTGGTGCTGGTTCACGGTATATTTAAATGTCAATTTAATACAAGTGGGGAGTGCGTTGGACACAGGGCCTGGAATTCAGGGAAAAGGCCCATGTTGGAGACACAAATTTGGGAGTCTGGATTCAGATGTTTAGATAATATTAAAAGTATCATACCGGCCGGGCACAGTGGCTCACGCCTGTAATCCCAGCACTTTGGGAGGCCTAGGTGGGTGGATCATGAGGTCAGGAAATCAAGACCATGCTGGCTAACGTGGTGAAACCCATCTCTACTAAAAATACAAAAATTAGCCAGGCGTGGTGGCAGGTGCTTAGTAGTCCCAGCTACTTGGGTGGCTGAGGCAAGAAAATCACTTGAACCTGGGAGGTGGAGGTTGCAGTGAGCTGAGATCGCACCACTGCACTCCAGCCTGGGCAACAGAGCGAGACAGTCAAAAAAAAAAAAAAAAAAGAAAAAGAAAAAAAAAAACCTCTACCTGGGTAAACTCAGGAAAGGAGTGTAGGAGAGAAGAGGGCTGCGCACGGCAGCCTCGGGACTCCAGTGTATGTTTATTCATTTATTTACTTTCACTGGATATTGACAAATTCTAATTGTATATATTTATGATGTACAAAATGTTGCTATATGTACAATGTGGAATGATTGAAACAAGCTAACTAACATATCCATCACCTCAAATGCTCATTATTTATTCCTCCTGCCTAACTGAAACCCTGAACCCTTGGACCAGCACATCCCCACGCCCTGCTCCCAGCCTCAAGTCCCCTATTCTGCTCTCTGCCTCTGTGAGTTAGCTTGCTTTCGAGTCTATGTGGAAGAGTGAACATGCAGTCTGGGTACCCTGACATTTAAATATCTGACAGAGAAAGAGGCATGGTCAAAGGGTACTTAGGAAAAAAAGGTAGCTGTAGACCAAGCTACTCGGGAGGCTAAGGTGGCAGGATCACCTGAGCCCAGGAGGTTAAGGCTGCAGTGAGCTGAGATTGCTCCACCGCACTTCCAGCCTGGACAACAGAAGGAGACGTTGTCTCAAAAAACAAACAAAAAGAAAACTAAAAACAAAGCAAAACAAAAAATCCAGCTAGTAAGGTAGAAGGAAAAGCAGCTGGACAGGGCATCCGGCAGCCTTCAGGAAGAAACTGTTTGAAGGAGAGAGTCGTCTACACCAGCGCTGCTAAGACATCAAGGAAGAAGAGGACAGAGAGGTGGATGCTGGCTTCAGCAAGAGGGAGCCCCTCCTCCACCGTGATGGCAGTGATGGGGGAGATGGCCATCTCAGCTCAGTGGTAAGGCCAGGGTTGAGGAGGAGGCAGGAGATAAAGGCCACCTTGCTGCATCCATGTGCCATAAAGGGAGCAGAGACAAGGAGCTGGACAAGGACATAGATAAGGTCCAGAAAGTGGCTTGTGGTTTTCTCATAACGTCGTATAATATAATGAAGGTGTTGTCATGTGAGATAGGTCAGTGCCTGCTGAAAGAGGAAAGAGGGCAGCCACAGCACTGCAGCTCTGGAGGAGGGGAGAGAACCCCCGGCAGAGTGCGAGTGGAGACCCGGCTCAGAGAACAGGACCAGGCACTTCCTCCTTGAGGCAAGAAGGCAGGGTGCAGCTAAAGGGGTGCCCGTTACTGTCAGGGACATTGGAACCAGGGCGACTGCGGCTCAAACAGGCTGGGGGAAATGAGGCTGAGACCTGCTGGGCTGCATCCCCAGGAAGTTAGGCATTCTTAGCCACAGGATGAGATCGGAGGTCGGCACAAGACACAGGTCACAAAGCCCCCGCAGATAAAACAGGATGTGGTGAAGAAGCCAGCCAAGACCCACCAAAACCAAGAAGGCAATGAAAGTGACCTCTGGTCGACCTCACTGCTTATTATTTGCTAATTATAATGCATTAGCTGCTAAAAGACACGCCTACCAGGCCCGTGACAGTTTACAAATGCCACAGGCAAAGGCCAGAAGTTACCCTACATGGTCTAAAAAGGGCAGGAACCCTCTGTTCCATTCCAGGATTTCCCCACCCCTTTCCCAGAAAATCCATGAATAATCTATCCCTTGTTTAGCATATGATCAAGAAATAACTAGAAATATGCCCATTCAAGCAGCCCCCGCCTGTGGAGCAGCCATTCTTTTCTTTCTTTCTTCATAAATGTGCTTTCACTTTACTCTGTGGATTCACCCCAAATTCTCTCTTGTGCGAGATCCAAGAACCCTCCCTTGGGGTCTGGATCAGGACCCCTTTTCAATAACAAATCAGTGGCACAGAGGAAGGGAGCCCGTGAGGTCGCTCCTATTTGTCTGTGAAATAGGGAAGTGAGTCGGAGGAGGTGGGATATTGGAGGTTTGCAAAGACATTTTTCAAATAATTACCTGAGAACGGGTGAGTTAATTAGGAAAGCGAAGATGGACCGTCTGGTCTGGTGGCGGGATTGCCCATTTGAGGCTGTGGTCATAAATGTGGGGTGTGTCCAGCAAGCCTGGTGGAGTGATTGATTTTTTCAGCAATATTTAGAAGTTCCAATACAGACAAAGACCAGGCAGACAGTGGGAGATAGGATTTGCCAAGCAGGTGACAGAGAACGGAAACAGCAAAAGTGAATGTTTTTTGCAAAGGAGCAATGTTAGTGTTAGACTGAGTCAGGAGGGAAGGACGACGAGAGGAAACGGGCCGGGAGAGCCAACGGAGCTGGAGGTAGGTGCATGGCCAGTGGTCTCCACGTGACCTGGGGGTTGCTAGGGTGAGTCCAGGAGAGATCAAGACTGAACAGGTGGAGACCAGAGTATGGGGAGAGGGGGAGCGACAATTCAGATGTGGTGTGGCTTCTTCATTCAGAGACTCGGCCTGCTGCCACATTAGCTGCTGGTGCCCTGCTGAGGGTGGCCAGGAGCCCTGACCCATGGCTGGTGACGTCAAACTGTGGCTTCCTTGGCCTCCCAGAGATCTCGTCTCTCTTATCTTTGGAAAGGGGGTAAACTCCGTTTACACACACCCTTTTGACTTCTCAACAAGACCAGAAGCACTTCCCACTGGCTCCTTCTCCATGTCTAAGCCTGAAGTCTGTGGCCTAGACGACTTGGGGAAGGAGGCAGGCAGAAGAGGAGGAAGTTGGCAGTGACCAGAGCAGACAGGCCTGTGGTAACCAGACCCTATCTGATGGGAGCTGCTCAGCAGATTGAAGGTTTCAGACAGGGCTGTTTTTAAGTACCCCGTTCACAGGCTCAAAGCAAACAGCAATGGAGACAGCTAGGCGGTCTCCAAAGGAAATTGATTAAGGAAGAGAAACCTCAGATGCGTTGGAACATTTATCATTTCTTTGAGGATACATGCTTGACGTGATGGATATGCTAATTACCCTGATTTGATCACTAGACACGGAATGCACAGAAACATCACTATATACCCCATAAATATGTACAATTTTTTAAAAATTAAAAGGGAAAAAAGGTGTTTTAGCTAGGC
This sequence comes from Homo sapiens, assembly GCF_000001405.40. Taxonomy (NCBI): domain Eukaryota; kingdom Metazoa; phylum Chordata; class Mammalia; order Primates; family Hominidae; genus Homo; species Homo sapiens. The sequence goes on from NW_018654717.1 coordinate 1,932,159, forward strand.
ATGGTGGCTCATGCCTGTAATCCCAGAACTTTGGGAGGCTGACATGGAAGGATTGCTTGAGCCCAGCAGTTCAAGACCAGCCTGGGTAACATAGAGAGACCTCATCTCTTTTTGTTTTTTTGAGACAGAGTCTGGCTCTGTTGCCCAGGCTGGAGTGCAGTGGTAGGATCTCAGCTCACTGCAACCTCTGCCTCATGGGTTCAAGCAATCCTCCTGCGTCAGCCTCCTGAGTAGCTGGGACTACAGGTGTGCACTGCCACAGCTGGCTAATTTTTGTATTTTTGTAGGGATGGAGTTTCACCATGTTGGCCAGCTTGGTCTCAAACTCTTGACCTCAAGTGATCTGCCTGCCTCGGCCTCCCAAAGTGCTGGGATTACAGGAATGAGCCACCATGCCCCACCCTTGTCTATTTTTTATTTTTTAATCATAAAAAAATGAAGGTGTTTGCAGGCTGTAAGAATCCGTCATCCACCACTCGCTGCCAGGAACATTCCCGCCTGCAAGATGGTTACGAGGAAAGTGAGGCTTGGTGCAGCTTTGCAGGACAGTAGGGTATTTCCTGAGCCATTTGTTAAACAGAAAGCCCTGCACTGCTCATTCTCTTACTCCCTTCTCCATGCAAAGACTACTGAAGCTAAGGGGCATTTGCTAAAGAACAGCCAGAGTCCCAAGGGAAACCTGAGTTAGAGATGACAAGCCACACTCCTTGGCTCGCTCCCGGAGACTCACCCACCCAGGTGGGCCTGGCCTAGGCCTGGAGGGAGGGCTTTCAGGGAGCTCACCTCTGCTCCCCCACCCACTGCACTCTCGGCCTCATCTGGGAGGGGTACCTGGGCCTGGAGCAGGACAAATGCGTCTCCAACCTGTCGCCTCTGCACCAGTCTGGGTTTGGTCAATAAAGTGGAAGCCCCCTCAGTCTTCCATGAAGGAAAGGACCTGATTCAGGAACTAAGGGTTCACAGAACCCTTAGAAGGGCGGGGACAGGCAGTGTCCGGGAAGAGGCTGTGAGAAGAGGTGACTCACAGAGCTCATCCCCAAAGTCGCCCGGATTTCACCCAGCTCAGCAGGGGGCCTTTTTTGCACCGCTGTAGCTGGAACGGCTATGGAAAGCTGGTGATTCTCAAGAGGTCTGTCCACACCTCTGCCTGCTGCCACCACCGGGAATAAAGCTTCACTTGCTATTGTGCACTGAATTATGACCCCCAAAAATTCACATGTTGAAATCCTGATCTCCAGCATCTAAGAATGGGACTATGTAAGAGGTAACTAGAGTAAAATGAGGTCATATGGGTGGGTCATAATCCAATCTGACTGACGTCTGCATAAGAAGAGGAGATTAAGACACAGACACTCACAGAGGGACGGCCACATGGAGACACAGGGAGAAGACACCACCTACAAGCTGAGGAGAGAGGCCTGAGAAGGAACCAACCCTGCCAGTACTTTGATCTTGGACCTCCAGCCTCTAGGACTGTGAGAAAACAAATGTCTGTTATTTAAGCCACGCAGTCTATGGTATCTTGTTATGGCAGTCACACCCAACGGGGATATTTGTTTTTCCTCTTTGACCCCTCTTCCTCTCCTCTCTACCCCACCCCCAGCTTTTAAAGCCCCCACCTGGAAGTGACTCATATCATTTCTGCTCACATTTCCTTGGTCTAAACAAGTCAGATGGCCAAACCTGACATCCAAAGTGTGGAGAAGTACCAGCTTAGTCTGGGCCCCCAAGTAGAGGAGAACTGCACTATTTGCAGATGGGATCTTAGTGATTACCTCTCATTCTTCCTCACCCCATCCAGAGTGGACCTGCAAAACCCCATCAGCCTGCAGCCCTAAGGACACCCTGACCAGCAGACTCTGACTTGCAGTGTAGACACGGGGCAGTACCAAGATGATGCAGCATGGAGTGAAAGGAAGAGAAGAGGCCAGGTGCAGTGGCTCCCGCCTGTAATCCCAGCAATTTGGGAGGCCGAGGTGGGAGGATCACTTGAGCCCAGGAGTTCTAGACCAGCCTGGGCAACATGGTGAGACCCTATCTCTACAAAAAGTAGAAAAAATAGCTACCCACATGCCCAGCTACTCAGGAGGCTGAGATGAGAGGATCACCTGAACCTGGGGAGGTCGAGGCTGCAGTGAGCCACAATCACGCCACTGCACTTCAGCCTGGGCCACAGAATGAAACCTTGTCACATGCACGCAAAAAGACGAGAACTTCTATTAATGTTTTAAACCTCTTCTTTTCTGCTTTCAATGTGCTCTAAATATGTATAATATATGGGTACAGACATGTATATTATATAAATCTGTTGGGGAATGCACAAACATTTTCACAGATGGAGGGCAAGTCAGACAAGAGTGAGGCCCGGCCTTTGCCTGCGCCACATTGGATTCACCCCATATCCAAGCCTCAGGCTGTGCCAAACTGGATGAGGGACGATGCTTCCTCATGCGAGGTGGCACGGGCACAGCCTCTGCCCAGTGTCCTACTGCCCCTGTGTGGCCACATATGGCGTCTGCACACACCTGAGTCGCTGGGTAAAAGGCACCATATTTCTGCCAATCTGCTCTGGGCTCTGTTCCCCTTGACAGACCTGTCACAGGACAAACCCCTAAACCGGGTTCAGCCTGGGAGGCCACATGGGTTCTTGGCTTTGCACAGGAAGAAATTCAAGAGTGAGCCGACAGAGTCAAGTGAAAGCAAATGTATTAGGAAAGGAAAGGAATAAAAGAGTGGCTACTCCATAGGCAGAGCAGCCCGGGACTGCTGGTTGGCTATTTCTTTATTGATCATATGCTGAAGAAGGAGTGGATCATTCATGAGTTTTCGAGGAGAGGGGCAGGGAATTCTCGTAACTGAGGGTTCCTCCCCCTTTCAGGCCATATAGGTTAGCTTCCAGGCATTGCCACAGCACTTGTGAACTGTCATGGCGCTGGTGGGAGTGTCCTTTTAGCAGCTAATGCATTATAATTAGCGTATAATGAGCAGTGAGGACGACCAGAGGTTGCCTTTGTTCCCATCTTGGTTTTGCTAGATTTTGATCGGCTTCTTGACCACATCTCATTTTATCAGCAGGGTCTTTGTGATCTGTACCCTGCAAAACAAGCCCTCCCCAACTCCTATCTCAAACCCACAATGAAGCCCATGTCAGAAGCACCAGGGGTAGAAAACAGAAGGTGGGGAGAGAGAGGGGGAGGAAGAGAGGAAGCAAGAGAGAGAGGAAGGGAGAGAGAGAAATGGGGAGAAGGCCAAGAAAGAGAGAAGGTGCAAGAAACAGTGAAACGCAGGAGGTTATTTTTAAGATGGGATATGGTCACCAAATGCAAGCACATGAACCAGCCTTCCTTTCCTGCACTGCCCCCATCTCCCCTTTTCAGAATGTTCTGGTCAAGTCTAAGAACAGGGCCTAGAAATCACAGCTTCTGAGTTTGAGGCTCAGGGGCAGGAGCAGATGCAAGACCCAGCAGCCCTGCAGAAGGCCCCAGTCCCTGACGCCCCATTCCACCACCCAGAGTGGCCTGCCATCACCCATTGTCCATGTGAGCCCAGAGCTAGCTCCAGCCAGGCGGGCGACTGCAGTCCCCTCTCATCTCTGGGCGGGCCCCTGGCAGGTCACCTCCACACAGCACAGCCCTTCAGGGGGCCCAAAGCAGGAAGGCAGGAGGCCCTACTGCCCACTTTCTGCAGGGGACAGAAGGACAGCGGGGTCACCTCCTGGATCCTGGCTCCCATCCAGCCACCTTGCTCTGCAAAGCTGCCTACGTGCTCTCTCTCTCTTTCTGTCTCAGAAAAGACACAGCTGATGGAACCATCATGAAAATGTTGCAGGGCACCCTGAGATGCAGAACTTGATTTCTTTTAAGCAAGAGAATTTGTGTTTAAAAGACTCCAGCCCCTTCTATTTCTAGCAGACGAGACAGTGAGTCTTCCTGAGACAGACGCCAGCATGGCCCCTTTCAGTGAGTGAGAGGAAAGGCAAGTCAGGACTCCTCTTCTTCTGCCGGAGCCAGACCCTCCACTCCCCACTGAGATTGCTAGGGAGGGATGGACAAGTGATTGTATTGGGGCCAAGAAGCCTTCCAGAAGAAAGGGCTCCTGGCTCCTTCCCAGATGAACGCTACTGAAGCATCTCTAACTGCCGGAACGCTGTGATCCCAGACAGGCCAGACTGTGGGACGTGGGTGAGCCCCATCACAGGGGCCATGACACTGGGAACCCAGGCCATGGAGGGGTGACATCCTCCACTTCAAGGGGCAGAGCAGACCTGTGAGGGGCAGCCCCAGGGACAAGCGAGTCTTGGTGAAAAAGGGAGAGGAGAAAGGTTTGTCGTGATGAAATGCGGCTCAGAATTATATCGCATAAAGTATTAGGAGAGGCATGACCTTATGTCGCCCCCGAGCTGCTGGGACACATGACTTAGAGCACGTGTCTCTTAGAGCATCTGGCTCTGCTGTCAGAGCCAGAGGGCTTCAGCAATCAGGGGGGTCTCCTCCTATGACAAGAAGCAGGTCCAGGCGCTGGAGTGGTCGGAACTGTTCATTCGCTCTGCCCTGCAGTGCCTCCTCCACCTACTCCCTGTCAGAGCCACAGTAGAGGAGGTCTGAGAACACATATCTGTCCTGGTCTTGCCCTTCTGCCTCTTAAACAAACGGTTTTTTCACTTTTATCCTGCGGACCCATGGTGTTAAGGAAATCCTAACGCGCCCCCTGCCGGAGACACGGAGATCTCTTTAGAGGTGCATTCTGAGAAACAGTTTGAAAAACGCCCGTGATAGTTGCTTGTGTTCTTGGCATTTGCAATTGCTGTCACTTGCCATGTTTGCTGGAAAATTAAAAGTTCAGATGCTGTTTTCTGCTCAAACCCAAAACCTATGGTTGGAGTGCTCTGTCACAATTCGATTAAATTCTACAAGTACTTTTTAGCATCTAGTACGTGCCAAGCCCGGTATCTGCTCTGGGAAACACAATGACTAGATGCTGAAAATGCATAGAGCGCTTTGGTTTTGCTCATGACATTTAAGCTGAAGTTCATGTTTTATCTTCCTCTGCAACCCAATTCTCTCTCTTTTTTTTTTTTTTTTTTTGACAGAGTCTCACTCTGCTGCCCAGGCTGGAGTGCAGTGGTGCGATCTCAACTCACTGCAACCTCCGCCTCCCGGGTTCAAGCCATTCTCCTGCCTCAGCCTCCCAAGTAGCTGGGATTACAGGCACCCACCACAACACCTGGCTAATTTTTTTTGTATTTTCAGTAGAGATGGGGTTTCACCATGTTGGCCAGGCTGGTCTTGAACTCCTGACCTCAAGTGATTCACCCGCCTCGCCCTCCCAAAGTGCTGGGATTACAGGCGTGATCCACTGTGCCCAGCCTGGAACCCACTTCTTTATAAAGAAAATAAATAGCCATTATTAGCCTATTAAATTTCTTAATCTGTTACTTTGGGGCTTTCCTTCTAATTTTGAAAAGCTACGGTTCCTAAATAATGTAGCCATTTCCCCCATTACAACTGAAAAGCAAGAAATCCTTACATCTTTCTATCATTTGTTTTCATATATTAAAACCCCCCAGACTTCAGATTTCACCCTCTTGGCTTCACCCCCTTTCAAAGCTCTGGCTTTGGTCTTTATCAGCTTGCAGCTAAAAGCTTGGCTGTCTCTCCAAGAGGGACAACTGTCTGGGACCATTACCAAATGTTCCGGTTTGCCTCTTCAGTCTTCCTGGTGCCCATCTCTGTTGCTGCCTTTCTTCCCATGAATCAGAAGCAAACAGATTACAATCACAAAAGGCCGTCTGTTCCTTATAATATAAATTTCCCGGTAACAAATTTTCCCCAATTAGATGTGTCTGAGTTCATCTTGTTATGGTCTTGCTTGCTTTTTATTTTGACCTTTAGGAGAAGATGCCTTTCTGGTTTGCTCCCCTGTCTCCAGATAGCTACCTTCCATGCAAACAACCAGTATTTCTGCACCTTAATTATCCCTGGCAACATGCCAAGACATAAATTACTCCTGTAAGCAAGGTCCCTGTGACAGATTCCTAACAGAGTTTGTATCCCTTTGACACGAAATACTTTTTAAAAAGGATTTCTCAGCTTAATATTAACTCAGGTTCAAGAAATAATGCAACTTATGTCAGTATTTTTTTCAAAACCTGAATAGACAAATGATTGGAACCAAAGAATATACAACAAAAGCCATCTAAGTAACGTCCACATCCTCAGGAGCTGGATGTGTGATGCTCTTTCTGGACCAGTCCAAATGCCAATTTGAAATTAGTTACCAAACTTTAAATTGCTAAGTGTAAACGTATCGTCTGGGGAGCTTTAAACATTTATCTATGCCAGAGTCCCACCCCCGGGGCAATTCAGTGAGAGTCCCTGGGCAGGGGGTTTCAGCCATCCATTGACCAGTCTTCTCTCTATCTCTCTCCCTCTACCTATCTCTATTTTAATTTTGTCTCCGCCCCTTTGAACAGATGGTTGTCTTTTCCCATGTATATCCTGACTCCACAATTGGACTGTAAATTTCCTCTTTAGAGTCTCGATACCAATCCCAGCATCCAGAATAGGCAGACCCCTCAATAAATGTGAGAATGATGAGTAGTCTCAGAATTATTTCAGAAGTCTTATCCACCTCAGATATATACAAAAAGTGGCTCTTTTGGTCCTTGGGGTTGAATAGCACTGTTGCATGGTTACAATTGAGCTCAGCCGGAAGTGGACGTTCTAAAGCTGGATGGTGATGTCCCATTATCTGCACCACTGGCCCCCTCTGCTGGCACTTTTTCCGATTGTCCATAGAAAAAGCAAGTCACAAGCAAAGCAAGACTTGGCCCTTCAAGGTGTGGCCAGCCTCCAAGTGTCCTCGGTAGGAAGACATCACACCTGGGTCTTAGGGGAAAATAAATCAGGCTTTGAAACATGAGCTGCCAGATGAAAAGAAAAGTTCTGGTCTTACTGAGTCCTTGAGAGGGGCCAGAGGCATAAGAAGTAAACAGAGGGAGCCCTGTGAAGGTCTTCCTTTCTCTACGCTTCTCTATTTGAAAAATCTACAAATAACTGGAAACAAAAGAGTATACCACCAAATAGCAAATGGTTCAACAGAGATCCAATTAAAAAAAGGAAGTTAGAAAACATTTTAAACTAATTGAAAAATGGCTACATGATATGTTAAAATTTATATTGCAGGTAATACAATGAGTAGAGGGAAATTTGGCTTACATATTTACATTAAAAAGGAAAACGCTCTAAAATAAATATTCTACCTTAAGAATTTATGTTAAGAACTTAGAAAAAAAGAGCAAATTAAAACTGAAGTAAGCAGAACTAAGAAAACAAAAATTTTTTTTTTGAGACAGAGTCTCACTCTGTTGCTCAGGCTGGAGTGCAGTAATGTCATCATAGCTCACCGTAGCCTTGAATTCTTGGGCTCAAGCAATCCTCCTGCCTTAGCCTTTGAAGTAGCTGGTATTATAGGCACATGCCATCCCACCAGGCTCATTTTTTATAATTTTTTGTAGTGATGGGTGTCTTACATTATTGCCCAGGCTGGTCTTGAACTCCTAGCTTCAAGCCAACCTCCCATCTCAGCCTCTTAAAGTGCTGGGATCACAGGCATGAGCCACTGTGCCTAGCCAAAAACAGTAAATATTAATATAAAAATCAAGGAAATAAAACAGTTAATTGAAAAGGATATAGTTAATTGAAAAGATCAGTAAAAATGCTAAGGCTCTAGCTGCAGTGATCAAGAAAAGAGACACAGGGAGAATACACACACATTACCAATAGCAGGAGTGCAAAGTGATATCACACAGAGTCCTGTAAAAGGCATACTAAGGAAGCATGAGGAAAAACTTGACACCTATATTTAACAACTTGGATGAAATGGAAAAACTCCTTGAGAGACACATGTCTTGGTCCATTTGTGCTGCTATAACAAAATATCTGAGACTAGGTAACTGTTAAAAGAACAGAAATTAATTTATCATGGTTCTGAAGGCTGGGAAGTCCAAGATCAAGGCACCAGCTAACTGGCAAGGGTTCCTCTCCACTTCCAAGATGGAGCCTTAGCCACTGTGTCCTCTTGAGGGCAGGAATGCTGTGCCTCACACAGTAGAAGGTAGAAGGGCAAAAAGAGCCAAATGCTGCATGAAGCTACTTTTTAAGAGCCTTTATCCCATTTATAAGAGAGAGGCCCTCAAGGCCTAATCACCTCTTAAAGGCCTCACCTCTTAATACTATCACATTAGCTGGGGGTGGAGCCAAGATGGCCGAATAGGAACAGCTCCAGTCTACAGCTCCCAGCGTGAGTGACACAGAAGACGGGTGATTTCTGCATTTCCAACTGAGGTACCGGGTTCATCTCACTGGGGAATGCCGGACAGTGGGTGCAGCGCACCGTGCGTGAGCTGAAGCAGGACAAGGCATCGCCTCACCAGGGAAGCGCCAGGGGTCAGGGAATTCCCTTTCCTAGTCAAAGAAAGGGGTGACAGACAGCACCTAGAAAATCAGGTCACTCCCACCCTAATACTGTGCTTTTCCAGCAGGCTTGTCAAGCGGCACACCAGGAGATTACATCCCGCACCTGGCTCGGAGGGTCCTACGCCCATGGAGCCTCGCTCATGGCTAGCACAGCAGTCTGAGATCAAACTACAAGGCAGCAGCCAGGCTGGGGGAGGGGCACCCGCCATTGCCCAGGCTTGAGTAGGTAAACAAAGCGGCCAGAAAGCTGAAACTGGGTGGAACCCACTACAACTCAAGGAGGCCTGCCTGCCTCTGTAGGCTCCACCTCTGGGGGCAGGGCATAGACAAACAAAAGGCAGCAATAACCTCTGCAGACTTAAATGTCCCTGTCTGACAGCTTTGAAGAGAGTAGTGGTTCTCCCAGCACGCAGCTTGAGATATGAGAATGGGCAGACTGCCTCCTCAAGTGGGTCCCTGAACCCCGAGTAGCCTAAATGGGAGGCACCCCCCAGTAGGGGTGGACTAACATCTCACATGGCTGGGTACTCCTCTGAGACAAAAATTCCAGAGGAACGATCAGGCAGCAGCATTTGCGGTTCACCAATATCCACTGTTCTGCAGCCACCACAGCTGATACCCAGGCAAACAGGGTCTGGGTATCAAAAACCCATCTGTACGTCACCATCATCAAAGACCAAAGGTAGATAAAACCACAATGATGGGGAAAAAACAGAGCAGAAGAAACGCAAATTCTAAAAATCAGAGTCCCTCTCCTCCTCCAAAGGAATGCAGCTCCTCACCAGCAACAGAACAAAGCTGGACGGAGAATGACTTTGACGAGTTGAGAGAGGAAGGCTTCACAAGATCAAACTACTCTGAGCTAAAGGAGGAAGTTCAAACTAATGGCAAAAAAGTTAAAAACTTTGAAAAAAAATTAGACAAATGGATAACTAGAATAACCAATGCAGAAAAGTCCTTAAAGGACCTGATGGAGCTGAAAACCACGGCACGAGAACTACGTGACGAATGCACAAGCCTCAGTAGCCAATGCGATCAACTGGAAGAAAGGCTATCAGTGATGGAAGATGAAATGAATGAAATGAAGCGAGAAAAGAAGTTTAGAGAAAAAAGAATAAAAAGAAATGAACAAAGCCTCCAAGAAATATGGGACTATGTGAAAAGACCAAATCTACGTCTGACTGGTGTACCTGAAAGTGACAGGGAGAATAGAACCAAGTTGGAAAACACTCTGCAGGATACTATCCAGGAGAACTTCCCCAGTCTAGCAAGGCAGGCCAACCTTAAAATTCAAGAAATACAGAGAATGCCACAAAGATACTCCTCGAGAAGAGCAACTCCAAGACACATAATTGTCAGATTCACCAAGGTTGAAATGATGGAAAAAATGTTAAGGGCAGCCAGAGAGAAAGGTCAGGTTACCCACAAGGGGAAGCCCATCAGACTAACAGCAGATCTCTCGGCAGAAACTCTACAAGCCAGAAGAGAGTGGGGGCCAATATTCAACATTCTTAAAGAAAAGAATTTTCAACCCAGAATTTCATATCCAGCCAAACTAAGCTTCATAAGTGAAGGAGAAATAAAATACTTTACAGACAAGCAAATGCTGAGAGATTTTGTTACCACCAGGCCTGCCCTAAAAGAGCTCCTGAAGGAAACACTAAACATGGAAAGGAACAACCAGTACCAGCCACTGCAAAAACATGCCAAATTGTAAAGACCATCAAGGCTAGGAAGAAACTGCATCAACTAACGAGCAAAATATACAGCTAACATCATGATGACAGGATCAAATTCACACATAACAATACTAACCTTAAATGTAAATGGGTTAAATACTCCAATTAAAAGGCACAGACTGGCAAATTGGATAAAGAGTCAAGACCCATCAGTGTGCTGTATTCAAGAAACCCATCTCATGTGCAGAGACACACATAGGCTCAAAATAAAGGGATGGAGGAAGATCTACCAAGCAAATGGAAAACAAAAAAAGGCAGGGGTTGCAATCCTAGTCTCGGATAAAACAGACTTTAAACCAACGAAGATCAAAGGAGACAAAGAAGACCATTACATAATGGGAAAGGGATCAATTCAACAAGAAGAACTAACTGTCCTAAATATATATGCACCCAATACAGGAGCACCCAGATTCATAAAGCAAGTCCTTAGTGACCTACAAAGAGACTTAGACTCCCACACATTAATAATGGGAGACTTTAACACCCCACTGTCAACATTAGACAGATCAACAAGACAGAAAGTTAACTACGAAATCCAGGAACTGAACTCAGCTCTGCACCAAGCAGACCTAATAGACATCTACAGAACTCTCTACCCCAAATCAACAGAATATACATTTTTTTCAGCACCACACCACACCTATTCCAAAATTGACCACATAGTTGGAAGTAAAGCTCTCCTCAGGAAGTGTAAAAGAACAGAAATTATAACAAACTGTCAATCAGACCACAGTGCAATCAAGCTAGAACTCAGGATTAAGAAACGCACTCAAAAGCGCTCAACTACATGGAAACTGAACAACCTGCTCCTGAATGACTACTGGAGACATAACGAAATGAAGGCAGAAATAAAGATGTTCTTTGAAACCAACGAGAACAAAGACACAACATACCAGAATGTCTGGGACACATTCAAAGCAGTGTGTAGAGGGAAATTTATAGCACTAAATGCCCACAAGAGAAAGCAGGAAAGATCTAAAATTGACACCCTAACATCACAATTAAAAGAACTAGAGAAGCAAGAGCAAACACATTCAAAAGCTAGCAGAAGGCAAGAAATAACTAATATCAGAGCAGAACTGAAGGAAATGGAGACACAAAAAACCCTTCAAAAAATTAATGAATCCAGGAGCTGGTTTTTTGAAAAGATCAACAAAATTGATAGACCACTAGCAAGACTAATAAAGAAGAAAAGAGAGAAGAATCAAATAGACGCAATACAAAATGACAAAGGGGATATCACCACCGATCTCACAGAAGTACAAACTACCATCAGACAATACTATAAACAGCTCTACGCAAATAAACTAGAAAATCTAGAAGAAATGGATAAACTCCTTGACACATACACTCTCCCAAGACTAAACCAGGAAGAAGTTGAATCTCTGAATAGGCCAATAACAAGCTCTGAAATTGAAGCAATAATTAATAGCTTACCAACCAAAAAGAGTCCAGGACCAGATGAATTCACAGCCGAATTCTACCAGAAGTACAAGGAGGAGCTGGTACCATTCCTTCTGAAACTATTCCAATCAGTAGAAAAAGAGGGAATCCTCCCTAACTCATTTTATGAGGCCAGCATCATCCTGATACCAAAGCCTGGCAGAGACACAACAAAAAAAGAGAATTTTAGACCCATATCCTTGATGAACATTGATGCAAAAATCCTCAATGAAATACTGGCAAACCGAATCCAGCAGCACATCAAAAAGCTTATCCACCATGATCAAGTGGGCTTCATCCCTGGGATGCAAGGCTGGTTCAACATACGAAAATCAATAAATGTAATCCAGCATATAAACAAAACCAAAGACAAAAACCACATGATTATCTCAATAGGTGCAGAAAAGGGCTTTGACAAAATTCAACAACGCTTCATGCTAAAAACTCTCAATAAATTAGGTATTGTTGGGACGTATCTCAAAATAATAAGAGCTATCTATGACAAACCCACAGCCAATATCATACTGAATGGACAAAAACTGGAAGCATTCCCTTTGAAAACTGGCACAAGACAGGGATGCCCTCTCTCACCACTCCTATTCAACATAGTGTTGGAAGTTCTGGCCAGGGCAATCAGGCAGGAGAAGGAAATAAAGGGCATTCAATTAGGAAAAGAGGAAGTCAAATTGTCCCTGTTTGCAGATGACATGATTGTATATCTAGACAACCCCATCGTCTCAGCCCAAAATCTCAAGCTGACAGGCAACTTCAGCAAAGTCTCAGGATCCAAAATCAGTGTGCAAAAATCACAAGCATTCTTATACACCAATAACAGACAAACAGAGAGCCAAATCATGAGTGAACTCCCATTCACAATTGCTTCAAAGAGAATAAAATACCTAGGAATCCAACTTACAAGGGATGTGAATGACCTCTTCAAGGAGAACTACAAACCTCTGCTCAATGAAATAAAAGAGGATACAAACAAATGGAAGAACATTCAATGCTCATGGGTGGGAAGAATCAATATCGTGAAAATGGCCATACTGCCCAAGGTAATTTATAGATTCAATGCCATCCCCATCAAGTTACCAATGACTTTCTTCACAGAATTGGAAAAAACTACTTTAAAGTTCATATGGAACCAAAAAAGAGCCTGGATTGCCAAGTCAATCCTAAGCCAAAAGAACAAAGCTGGAGGCATCACACTACCTGACTTCAAACTATACTACAAGGCTACAGTCACCAAAACAGCATGGTACTGGTACCAAAACAGAGATATAGACCAATGGAACAGAACAGAGCCCTCAGAAATAATGCCGCTTATCTACAACCATCTGATCTTTGACAAACATGACAAAAACAAGCAATGGGGATTCCCTATTTAATAAATGGTGCTGGGAAAACTGGCTAGCCATATGTAGAAAGCTGAAACTGGATCCCTTCCTTACACCTTATACAAAAATTAATTCAAGATGGATTAAAGACTTACATGTTAGACTTAAAACCATAAAAATCCTAGAAAAAACCTAGGCAATACCATTCAGGACATAGGCATGGGCAAGGACTTCATGTCTAAAACACCAAAAGCAATGACAACAAAAGCCAAAATTGACAAATGGGATCTAATTAAACTCAAGAGCTTCTGCACAGCAAAAGAAACCACCATCAGAGTGAACAGGCAACCCACAGAATGGGAGAAAATTTTCACAACCTACTCATCTGACAAAGGGCTAATATCCAGAATCTACAATGAACTCAAACAAATTTACAAGAAGAAAACAAACGACCCCATCAAAAAGTGGGTGAGGCCGGGCGCGTTGGCTCACGCCTGTAATCCCAGCACTTTGGGAGGCCGAGGCGGGTGGATCATGAGGTCAGGAGATCGAGACCATCCTGGCTAACAAGGTGAAACCCCGTCTTTACTAAAAATACAAAAAAATTAGCCAGGCACGGTGGCGGGCACCTGTAGTCCCAGCTACTCGGGAGGCTGAGGCAGGAGAATGGCGTGAACCCGGGAAGCGGAGCTTGCAGTGAGCCGAGATCGCGCCACTGCAGTCCGCAGTCCGGCCTGGGCGACAGAGCGAGACTCCGTCTCAAAAAAAAAAAAGTGGGTGAAGGATATTAACAGACACTTCTCAAAAGAAGACATTTATGCAGCCAAAAAACACATGAAAAAATGCTCATCATCACTGGCCATCAGAGAAATGCAAATCAAAACCACAATGAGATACCATCTCACACCAGTTAGAATGGCGATCATTAACAAGTCAGGAAACAACAGGTGCTGGAGAGGATGCGGAGAAATAGGAACACTTTTTGTTTACACTGTTGGTGGCACTGTAAACTAGTTCAACCATTGTGGAAGTCAGTGTGGCGACTCCCCAGGGATCTAGAACTAGAAATACCACTTGACCCAGCCATCCCATTACTGGGTATATACCCAAAGGATTAGAAATCATGCTGCTATAAAGACACATGCACACATATGTTTATTGTGGCACTATTCACAATAGCAAAGACTTGGAACCAACCCAAATGTCCAACAATGATAGACTGGATTAAGAAAATGTGGCACATATACACCATGGAATACTATGCAGCCATAAAAAATGGTGAGTTCATGTCCTTTGTAGGGACATGGATGAAGCTGGAAACCATCATTCTCAGCCAACTATGGCAAGGACCAAAAACCAAACACTGCATGTTCTCACTCATAGGTGGGAATTGAACAATGAGAACACATGGACACAGGAAGGGGAACATCACACACCGGGGACTGTTGTGGGGTGGGGGGAGGGGGGAGGGATAGCATTAGGAGATATACCTAATGTTAAATGACGAGTTACTGGGTTCAGCACACCAACATGGCACATGTATACATATGTAACAAATCTGCACGTTGTGCACATGGACCCTAAAACTTAAAGTATAATTTAAAAAAATACTATCACATTAGCAACACCTTAATTCTGGAGGGAACACATTCAAACCATAGCAAATGCAAATCATCAAATTTAACTAAAGTAAAAATAGAAAATCCAAGTATTCCTATAGATGCTATAGGAATTAAGTTTCTAATTAAAAGCCTCCCCACAAAGAAAACTCTAGGTCCAACTGGTCTCATTGGTGAATGAAAAGAATACAAATTCTATTCAAACTCTTAGAGGAAGAAGGAACCATTTTCAACTTATTTTATGAGGTCTTCATTACCCCAATAACAAAACTAGACAAAGAAAAGTACAGGTCAATATCTCTCATGAATAAAAATAATAGTAAGTTGACTCTAGCAATATATAGAAAATGGAGTTTATCTCAGGTATTGAAGGTTGGTTACCATTTGAAAATCAACATAGTTCCCCATAACACTATAAAAAATTATCTCCATAGATGTAGAAAAAAAATTAAAAAGATTCTGAAAACATTCCCATTGATGTTTAAAAAAACTCTTAGCAAACTAAGAGTAGAAGACATCTTTAACCTAATAAATAAATGAATAAATGTGTAAAAAATCCAGAGCTAACATCATACCTAATGGCAGAAGACTGAATGTTTTCACCTCCTGTTTAGGAACAAAGCAAGGATGCCCAGTCTCGTAACTTCTCTTCATCAAGGAACTGGAAATCCCAACCTGTGTAATGAGGCAAGAAAAAGAAAAAACAGGCAGAAAGATTAAAAAGTAAAAAGCAAAACTCTTTGTTGCCAACTACATGACCATGTATGTAGGAAAACCCTAGGGAATCCCCCAAAAAAGCTCTTAGAACTAGTGAGGGTGATGCTGTCTCAGGTTGCAAAGTCAATACAGAAAAATCTTATATTTCTATGTATTCACAATGTCAGTGTAAGAAATCGAATTTTTTTAAAAATAGCACCCAAAAATATGAAATAATTAGAGGTAAATCTAACAAAATATGTGTAAGACCTAAATTGTTGAGAGAAACTAAAGAGGCAACATAAATGGAGAGACATACCATTTCCATGAATTGGAAGACTTAATATCCCTAATTAATCTATAGATAGAATACAATTCCAGTCAAAATCCCAGTAATTTTTTTTTTAAGATCTCTCTGTGCTCCTTATTAGATCCTGCTTCTACTATGGGAACTTCTCAGTCAACTGAAACTCCTCTTCTCAAACCCCTGCTGACTAGATACTCTACCTACCTACCTACCTACCTTCCCTCCTTCCTCTCTTTCTTTCTTTCCTTTTGACACAGGGTCTCACTCTGTCACCCAGGATAGAGTGCAGTGGCACAATCTTGGCTCACTGAAGCCTTGACCTCCTGGGTTCAAGCAATCCTCCCACCTCAGCCTTCTGAGTAGCTGGGACCACAGGTGTGTGCCACCACACGCAGTTAATATTTTTTTAAAAAGATTTTAGAGATGGGGTTTTATTATGTTGCCCAGACTGGTCTCAAACTCCTGGGCTAAAGTGATCCACCCACCCACCTCAGCCTCCAAAAGTGCTGGGATGACAGGCCTGAGCCACCATTTCCTTTCTTTTTGGCATGATTTTTGCAAACAATATTATGGAACTTCGTTGGCTTCTTTATGAAGCTTTAGATCTCCCCAAACTTGCTCCTCTAAGACCTATTCTTTCCATTTACTTCTACTCCTCCTTCCTCCTTGTGCCACCTTTGATCTTTCATCCAGTTACCTTGAATCCTTGATGTATCTCCTTCAAGCCTTGACTTCCTACATTTGGTGGTCAGTGAATAGAAAATTACTGCGAGAAAATGTCAGGGGTATGCTGGACTCTGGTTTCTATGGCCAAACTTTAGTTGAGCTTCTGAACCTTCTCCAAGGCTCATCTGTGTACTTTCTTATTAAAAAAAAATATCCTGTAGTGAATTACTATTTTATGTTATAAAATCCTGTAGTAAGTTGTATGTTGCTTCATTATCCTTTTTTGGCGTTTTTTGTGTTTTTGTTTTGTTTTGTTTTTTTAAGTGATGTGGTCTCCTGCTAGGCTGGCCCCAAAATTCCTGAGCTCAAACAATGCTCTCCCACTTCAGCCTCCCAAGTAGCTGGGACTACAAGCGTGCTTCACTGTACCTGGCTTTACCATCTATTTTGAATCATCTTCTGTGTCTCATCTGACTGACCCAGACTCTCTTACTGGCCAGGGCTCTTCTGCAAACTGTTTATTTTGGTGGGGATAAACTGGATATAGGTCAGCTGAGAGCCACAAGAATGTCTGCTAGTATAAACAAATTTGCTGTGAGAGGGACCCTTGGCCACAGGTGGAATACTTAGGCATTAAGCCATCTGCCAGAATAAATAAGTATCCCATGAAAGGCAGACTGTAAAAACCCACCACCCCCTCCCCTGGAGACCCATCAGGGCAGGGCTAGAATTTATATCTAGAGAAACCTCAAGATAAAATTAGAGGAAAACGCAACAAATCCAGTTTTAACAAGAACCCTGGCAAGTCAGTTTAACAAGAACTGCCACCCTTGATACCTGATCACGTTCCTCACCCTCCATCCTTCTGTCCACCCCTGCCAGACCTTTTCCCTCCAACTCCAGCCCCGTGATCACTGGAACTTTAGGCCACTACCCTCCATAGAGGACTCTTGCTGGACTCCAGGTCGACTAAAAAACCTGAGGCTGGCCGGGCGAGGTGGCTCACGCCTGTAATCCCAGCACTTTGGGAGGCCAAGGCGGGCGGATCACAAGGTCAGGAGATCGAGACCACAGTGAAACCTCGTCTCTACTAAAAATACAAAAAATTAGCCAGGCGCGGTGACACCCTCCTGTAGTCCCAGCTACTCGGGAGGCTGAGACAGGAGAATGGCATGAACTCGGGAGGCGGAGCTTGCAGTGAGCTGAGATGGCACCACTGCACTCCATCCTGGGCGACAGAGCGAGACTCCGTCTCCAAAAAAAAAAAAAAAAAAAAAAAAAACCTGAGGCTGAAAAGAGGAGAAATGGTTACTGGGAAACAAGAAATGGATGTTTCGTCCACTCATTTGGACTTTGGAAACATTTAGACAACTGCTAAATATCTCCTCAGTCACTAGTCTAAAATTTAGTCCACAGCCTCTATAAGAAAAACCTCTGAAAATAGGCAAATACGCTCCCAAATTCCTTTTTTGGAAGAAAAAAAAAAACCCTTGCATTATTTTTCTGTGCCTTTGAGATGATTCCCTATCCTGTCTTCTCTAAAACCTGAGAACTATCATTTGGAAATACAAACTTCAGGGAAATGACTGTCATGTTTTTTAAAGGAACTATTTGGGAATTGGGCAAATAAAAATCTCAAGTCTTTTCCACAAACGTTGGTAAAAAAGCTCTTGCCATGTAAGCAGGTAAACTTAACTTCTCCCATCTTTGTCAGAAACACAATTCGGACAAAAATATAAATTGGAAATAAATCAATGAGTTTGTACTACTATGTTTTACTGACTTGTGACTAAATGTTAGAATGAAAGCTGTATTTGTCTGTAAGTTTATGTATGTATATTTGTATATTATGTATATTTAATATTTTTCCACCTCCGGATAGTGTTACTAAATTAATTTATAAAACCCTTAAAGGAGCTCTATTCAAATTGGCTTAGAGATAAACGAGTGCTCAGATAAATTAGGCATTCCTAAAACTCTCAGACATAGACTCTCATCCAAATTTGTTTTTTAAAAAATCACATGACTTGGCTAAGTCTTTGGTAAATAAAGCTAGCTTTTAAATTATTGGTAAAATAAAAGTAGGGGTATCTTCAGAATTGTAAGTGTGAAATATAATTCAGATACACATTTTTCCCTGAGTTTGCTGGCCACACAGGTTTGTGTTTTCCCTGCTTGACGTTTAAAAACATAAAACTAAAAACCCAACCTAAGAGCAGAACACACAGTAAAAATAAATTGCTTGACACATATCATTCATGAAAGTAAAAACATAGATAGATAGATAGATAGATAGATAGATAGATAGATAGAGAATGAATTGTTTAGCTTTTTAGTTCTTTGCCTCTGTGATATTTTTGATACCTGATTTGTAAACAAAAATGAAATAAGATGATGGCTTTAAGTTCTTATAAAAAATGCCCATGAGACATCCAAGAATAATTGTTAAAAACACGTGAATTAAATAATGTACAAGTGACCTAAAAGTATATACATGAACTTTTCAATAATAATTATGTTTTATAAAACAGGTCTACTTAAAAATAGTTTCAGAAAACTTTTTTGGTAACTTGCAACCTTAAAGCTATGCTAAATTAAATTAAGTAATAAATACTCATTACATATCTGAGTCATTTCTTTTTCTTTTTTTTTCCCCCCGAGACTGAGTCTCACTGTTGCCCAAGCTGGAGTGCAATAATGCGATCTCGGCTCACTACAACCTCTGCCTTCTGGGTTCAAGTGATTCTCCTGCCTCAGCCTCCTGAGTAGCTGAGATTATAGGTGTGCGCTACCACACCCAGCTAATTTTTGTACTTTTAGTAGACACGGGGTTTCACCATGTTGGTCAGGGTGGTCTCAAACTCCTGACCTCATGATCCACCCGCCTGGGCCTCCCAAAGTGCTGGGATAACAGGTGTGAGCCACCGTGCCTGGCCATATCTGAGTCATTTCTAAGTCACTTAAAACATTGAAACATTAATTACTAAGCATAAATTTAAGTTTATATACATTGGCATTTTGTTTTTTATATGGTATAGAGAAGACAAAATTTGGATCTGTTAATAGACATGAAAAATTGTACTATGGAGAAGCACATGATTTTTAGAAATTATGGCTTTAATCTATGGAATGTGATAAACTACAATTGCTGAAGATTAAAATTCTAATTAATATATGTAATTAAAACTACTAGAAATAATAAGAGAAACAATCCTGTATGCAAAATACACGAGGAAAGCAAGATGTATTTTTGGTAAGGAAAATTGTAAGGCATGAAACTGTATTTTCTGTTAATGGAAAAAGGAGTAGTTAATTCTGTACGAAACTATGATGAGCAGTTGTTCCAGAATAAGAAAAAGAAAAATGCAGGAAGATAAATAAAGATCAATTTTTAAAAATATTTTAAAAGGGTTGTGGAAAAAGAATCTTTGGGGGAAAATGTTATGTGGTCAAAGCTGGCTAAAATGAGCTTAATTTTATTTATAAGGTTTTCTTACAATTAGCTTCCATATTACTAATACGATGATGCAAAACTAGAATTTCGTCCTCTTTGTCAAAATGGCCAAGTTTTCTTACTGTATCAGTCTGAGAATGTGAAGATTTTTCTTTATCGTTTAAGTTACTGTACTAGGACACAAAGATTTTTTTACAAAAATGATTTCTTGTGCTTCACGTTGTTTTCTATCAGGTCTTTGATTACTTAAGAAAAGCAAGGCCAGGTGCAGTGGCTCACGCCTGTAATCTCAGCACTTCGCGAGGCCAAGGTGGGCGGATTGCTTGAGGTCAGGAGTTCAAGACCAGCCTGGGCAACATGGCAAAACGTCATCTCTACAAAAAATAGAAAAAAATAGCCAGGTGTGGTGGTATGTGCCTGTAGTCCCTGTTACTCAGGAGGCTGAGAGGGGAGGATCAGCTGAGCCCAAGGAGGTCAAAGCTGTAGTGAGCCACGATCATGCTAGTGCACTCCAGCCTAGGTGATGAAATGAGATCCTGACTCAAAAAAAAAAAAAAAAAAAAAAAAAAAAAAAAAAAAAAAAAAAAAGAAGAAAAGAAAAATGAGTCTTCTCAATAATAAAGGAGCTGATTTATTTTTTACAATTCTGTAACCTTCTGTATTTGTCTTTACAATTTTTTGTCATTTTGGTATTGTTTTATAGTGATCTGTGATTCTCTTCAAACAAATGTCCTAAACCTTTCAACGTCTTTAACAACTTCCGAACCAAATCAAATTATAAATTAAATGTTTTTGACCTCAAACTAATTTTGGAACATTTCAGAAGGCCTCTGGAAAGTTCCATAGGATTTGTCTCTCACCTTGTAAAAAAGAGCGATTAAACTAATTAGGCTTACAGGATATGTTAAATTATATGAGAAACATCATCAAATAATAGGTGATGCTAAACCTTTATGTTATGTTTGTGGATATGATATTGATACAAGTGTTCCAGAAATTATACATAATTCCTAGAAATCTGATATGTCCTAGTATAATGCTATCAGTCATAATTTTAGTTATTGTATTAAAATGCAATATGCCACAGAAATAACCACATTTCTTTGACAATTTCATCATTATGATGGTGAACTCTCATCAAATCTTTAACCATGGCCATTGAATGTCTTTTTTCATCCACAGGCAGTTATTGTTTTACTTTGATTCTTCTCTGAAAGCATTTGTAATCAGCTACAGCCCAAAATTGCTTCTTCAAGGAGATTCATAAAAAAGGCTCTACTCTGCAATAAAGGTTTCTGATAACTTTAAGATCACACCATTGGATGGGGTACAAATTTCTAGAACTCTTATGAAGAAACTGGTGGTTTCATGAAACTGCTAACCAAGATCAAGAATATCAACTACATGAGACTACATGAAATGAAGGGGATAATTTTTATGACTTTTATTTGAAACGTTTCTTCTTTAAATATTTTGTTTTCCAGATTTAAGGAAAGCTTTTTTTCTTTTAAGCTACCTATAACTTACAGCAATTTAGTATATCGTTAACAAAATTAGAACATTTCGTTTTTTTTCTTCCTCCCTGATCCCTCCAGAATTTAGAAACTATTTATGAGTACTCTTATTTTTATGACAATTGTAGTTACTTGCACAAGTTTAGTAAGTATATTCTCCTTGAAACAGGACAAAAGTGGAAACACTGATTATATGACCAAGGCTTTGACTGGAATATTATATTTTCAGACATGACCAGACAGTTTTAAGGAACTAAAACCAGTAAAGTTTATTTACTTTACTGGAACCAGTAAAGCCCCCATTGGAAAAACTGGCCTGGCTTAAAAGAGTTTCTAACCTTACAAGTGAGTAAGTAATGTCACTTTCTGACAGGCCCAGGAACTGTAGAATATTTGGGGGATCCTGAGAAGAAAGGAATTCACCCAGATCTATAGGTATTGCAGGCAAAGTCTGATGGCAAGTTAGTGGCCTGGCTTCTGGCCTCAAGAGGCTATTAAAAGTCTAACTTGAGGTTCCTTATCAAAAGTTCCAGTAAAGCAAATTTTGAAAAAGCCTATATAGTCAATCACTATTGTTGCGGCACTTGCACAAATAATCATTACTTTTGCAAACATTACTTTGCGAACAAATTAGTCTTACTTTGATAATCTTTGGTAGAAATGGAAATGACTATAGAAAGAAAAATATTTCAGAAGAAAACTATATGCACTCGTTATTAGATTCCAGCTCATTGTTTTTGAGGTTTTTGTTACTCACCTACAATCTGGACTGGATCCTGAATTCTTCTCGTTTCCAGAAATGTCTGGCTACAGGTCTCCAAACTAATATTTTTCTCCCACCCTTCTGGTTTGGAATCACTGAAATGAGAACTGCTCTATTCCTGAAGCCCTGCGAATGAAAACTGGATGACTTGACACAAGCCGTAGAGAAAGCACAGCAACTTATGTATGCGTGGTCCTCACGCCTGCTGCTATATGGACTACTCAGAAACGCCCCTGGAACACCTGATGCAAACTGTAAAGTGGGGAAACCTGTCAAACTGCCACGGCCTGCTCCCACCCCAGCTGAAGATGCTTTCAGCCAAAACCCAGAAATCTTCTCACCTGGCTGCTTTCTGAGCTTAAAAACCGAGTTTCTAGTTTATTCTAATTACTAACATTGGTTTTTCTTTTGTTCTCATAGAAATGCCTCTCGTGAAATACTCGCGCCATATGGATGTCTAACTTTGGTGGCAGCCCACCTGTAACACTGCTGCCCGAAATAAGATGCAACTGTTGACAGTTTAGCTAGACTGACTGATGCTTGGGACTCAGAGACAGGTTCGGTGGTGTAGGAGACAATCCACCGACCCAACTTCTAGATTGTTAAACTTGTCATGGAGCGGAAATACAAATCTAGTGTTTGATTTGCTCAGATATGCACTTTTAAAGCTCTGAAAAGATGCATGAGAAACTAGAATAAAGTTTACCTAGGGAGGTGTGGGAACAGGGCAGATGGAGGCCAAGGGTGAAAGTGATATTGGTCACATATCCTTTATTAGAAGTTCTAATTCTCTGTAAACAGGTCTCAGAAATTCCCAGCTGCTTATGGAAAAGCAGAAATGTCTCGTTCCAAAGGCTGTATAATGGCCTTGTGAACTTCTTGGAATGATAACTCTTCTGGCTGGCTTTACCTTGACCTGTCCTTGACCAGTGACTTGTTTTCTGTCTTATCTCACTTGGAACTTGGCACAAGTCCTCAGGCCACCCAGTATAGCAGTGGACTTGAGGGCTGTGAGCTAGCGTAGCTGGGAGCCTTCTCTCTGGGAGTAATTCCGTCTTCCCCTCGGCTCCCATCGCCTTAAAGGACACTCCTCAGTGACCCAGCACTAGCAAGTCCCCAGACCTGCCTGCCAAGGTCCTCTTTGTCTAATCGGAGGAATCAAGGGCGCCCTCTCCCAAGCTTTAGCTGAACGACGGACTCTCCTGACACTGTCAGGGAGAAGTGAGGGGAAGGCATGGTGAGGAGGGACTCTTGGGGAGCAGAGCAGGCTTCCTCTTCACCTCAGAGTACCTGCTCTGTGTCTCTCCTCCCACGTTCCCTGCCCAGCAGGGTGACCTCAATCCCCGAGTCCATTCTCTCCCTGTCCACCGTCCAGGCTGGCCCTCCAGCCCTGCCGCCCACCCCTGTGGCCAAGCCTCCCCCTTAGCACCTGCAGAAACAGCGCTAGTGCTGTCAGGCTCCAACACGCCTGGGTTTCATTCTCGCTCTACTGCCCACTAGCTGTGTGGCCCTGGGGGAGCCATGTGGCCCACCTGCATCCTGGTGTCCTCATATATAAAATAGGAAAAAGCATGCCCACCTCACAGGACAGGTGCAAAGCTTAAAGTCAATGGTGCGCCTGTGCTGCCTCCTGCAAGATTTGTAGATGCTTCTGCGTGCTGGCAAGGTTCTGCTTCTTAAGCTAGTTAGGGGCTACACAGGACTTTGCCTTACAACTATTTGTGAAACTGTCCATTTTTGTTTTATGCACTTTCTATATGTATGTTTCATTATACCATTTCTTTAAAAAACACTTATAAAAAAGCAAATCTGGTGCTCGCTTTGGCAGCACATATACTAAAATTGGCACGATACAGAGAAGATTAGCATGGCACCTGCACAAGGATGACATGTAAATTCATGAAGTGTTTCTTTCTTTCTTATTTTTTTTTTAAAGCAAACCTGTAGAAGAAAATGTTAGATGCTGAAAAACATTTAGTTATTCAGGCTGGGGACGGTGGCTCATGCCTGTAATCCCAGTACTCTAAGAGGCCAATGCAGGTGGATCACCTGAGGTCAGGAGTTCGAGACCAGCCTGGCCAACATGGTGAAACCGCCTCTCTACTAAAAATACAAAAATTAGCCAGGTGCGGTGGCACATGCCTATAATCCCAGCTACTTGGGAGGCTGAGGTAGGAGAATCGCTTGAATCCGGGAGGTGGAGGTTGCAGTGAGACAAGATTGCACCACTGCACTCCAGCCTGGGCAACAGATTGAAACTCCATCTCAAACAAACAAACAACAACAACAAAAACCCACATTTAGTTATTCAGGGGAAATTATTCTTCCCCTGATAAGGATAGCGTTCCCTACTTTAACACCATCTCAGTTCTCTCCTTTCTGAAGAATCTCCCTGATTCTCTGTTATTTCAAATAACTGTCCTTTCCCAGCCAAGCTCCTAAGATGGCTATTCTAAAACCGCCACCTCCCCTTTCACTCCCCTTTCCCTTCTGTGAGCTGTGGCTGTCAGGCTGTGCCGCAGCTGAGAATGCACCAATGGCTTCCAGCAGCAAACCCATCTCCCTTACGCTTCTGAGACCCGGACCATTGCTCCCTGCCATCCTTCTCCCACTGCAGGGAGCTCTGCCTTCCAACCTGCATCAGTCGTATCCCAGTGCACGAGGGTGCCCTGGGTACAATTCCAGGGTCAGGTACTGTAAATGACAGGGGATAGTATCACCTGGACTTGCATCAGAGGTAGCTGAAGTTTCTGAAAACACCCATTCCTCAGCCTCACTCCAGACGACTTGTCAGGAAGGAGTTCCAGAAGGAGGACGGTCACCCCCAGCGCCTCCCATGGGCCAGGCACTGCCCATGCTTTGGACACTTTAGTCCTTCCCCAGTTCTAAAGAGTGGGTGCTATAATTGTCCTCATTTTGCAAAGGAGGAAACTGAGGCTCAGAGAAGCTGAGAAACATGGAGTGGGTCCTGTGGGTGGGAGTGGTGGGTCAGAATTTGAAACCAGGACTGTGCGGCTCCCCTGCCCACACTTTGGCCGTGCTTTGCTAACCTAGTATCTAGAGCAGCAGCGTTTCTCAAACTTGTCTGCACACATGCATTGCCCGGGGGTTCTCATTCTTTCTGACCCAGCAGGTCTGGGTGGGGTCTGGGAGGCTGCTTTTCTAACAAGCTCCTGGGTAAGCTGATGCAAGAGGGGAGACAGAATTGGAATAAATGTGACCCACCCCATCACCAGGCTTTCCCTGCTTTACGGTAGGTCAGCTAAGGTTGAGGAAATAGATGGGCCTCTCACCACCATCCTCGCCAGAGCCAGCCGCAGCCTGGAGGCCCCTCACCCGGAGGGGCTGCCTCCTTCCTGCCAGTATAGATCAGACACAAGGCTCAGCTTCTGCCCAGACTGCACAAGAGCTTAAGGCTCTGAAAACATCACTAAAGGTGGGAGGAGATGGCAGGGAGCAGCTCCATCTCAGGGTTAGGGCATCGGGCATCTGACCAGCTTCTCTCAGCTCTGCAGCCTTCCCAGAAGTGCACACTCTGGACATGCGGTCCCCCTGGGAGGTGGAGTCAAGTCCCTGCTCCAGAAGTTTCCCTACCTGGGAGCAGCCTCCAGGCCCCTCTGCCTTTGCCCAGCCTCTGGCTTTCTGGGAAAAAATTTTGTTCATCACATTGCACGTTCCTCAGAGAAAAAGTATTGGCAGCCCTTTGCAAAAGTTTCTGTGTTGTTCTTCTTTTCAAATGTAAATTCTGTCCTTATGGGCCTGAGAAAGAGACGAAGCACCATAGATACTGGTCACTTCCAGGCCTTTTCCAACCAAGAGTCCTTCTCCTGAGGATGTGGAGGGGGCTCTTCTTTGAAGCTCCTTTTGGGGCACAGCTTCCCAGTTAAGCCTGTTGTCAGTGTCTCCACCTGTTTCACCGTGTGGCACACACAGCACATGACACTCTGCGTGCCACATGCCGCGATGCAGAAGGCCGCCGCCCCTGAGGCTGTGAGCGCACCTGGGGTCCCCTGGGGCCGAGGACCTCCGTACCTCACACACTCATTCCGTGTTCACAGCTCTGCAGTCGAGAAGTTCTGGATGGAGACTCTCACCCTCCCCTCCAGGACACTCACTGGCCACACATTCTGCCAGAAGGACAGAGGGCATTAGTAGAAGCCATCAGAATAGCCTGGTGAGACTGAGAAGGCAAGTGTCACTGAGGGGAGCCCAGCAACATTAGGGCTTTGAGGTGACCTGGAGATGGGGCTGAATTCTGAGCTGAGTCCTCGGAGCACAAGCCCGCCCTGTGTCTCCGAGAGGGTGCCCTACCTTCATCTCTCTCTCTCTCCATCCTCCTCCCACCCATCCCTGCTTCTCTCTCAGCCAGAATTGTTCATCACATTGACCCCTCCCTTGTTCCCCCACCTGAGCCCCAGGAGTATGTTCTCTGTGTGGGTACAGCCTGCTGTGAGCTGCAGCAGCACAGCAATGGGCAGAAGTTCCTGCCTCTGAGGCCCTGGCAGCCCGTACTTCAAAATCTGCCCCACTTGAACCAGTGCCTGTGAATGCCAGGGGGTGAACACTTGCTCGCTTGTTCTGCTCACAAGCAGTTTATGGGCAGGGTTGTCAGGCAAAGCAGCAGACCACTTTTCTCTGTGGGTTTTAGTAAATAATTTTAAAGCACCATGATGGAATCTGTGCATGGCCGTCAGGATGCCGGACAACTTTCAAAGACGGCTGCTGTGACAGACACTGAGGTGGCATTTGTTGGGAGTGCATTTCTCCAGCTTCTCTAGGTATTCTGATATCTTGATTCCCACAGACTTAAGTCCAAGTCAGCTATTCCCAAGCAGTGGAGGTAGATAGGGTATCAGTACCTTGTCAAGAATAAAAGCCCTTGGTGAGCTAATAACTGGATTGACTCATTTCCCCAGGCAGGTAGCTTCATGAATGAGAGCCCAGCAACCTGTCGCCAAGGTTGGTTGGGCAGGAAAAAATGCATCCAGTCTCTGCAGCATCTGTCCTGGGAAGGGCCAGCCCTCTTGAGCTCTGAGTGTGTTTTTTTCATGTTGGTTATATCAGGTTCCTTGAGAGGCAAAAGTGAAAGGCAACTCTTGGGTCCTGGCTTCCTTGAGGAGGCTGGAGTGCCACTCCGTCCATCCAGACTTCAAATGGACCCACACTGATGTACATCTGCTCTGTTTCACTGGCACTGTTTCATTTCTGTCTCACAACAATCCTCTAAAACCAATACGACCCTACACAATTTTCATAGAAGATGAAATGCTTGTTTTCCTGGCATCTGGTTCAGTAATGAAAATGTGTTTTGAATGGAGGTGAGCAAACAGGGCTATCAGGAGAGCATCTAGTCCAATGGGCGGCAGGTGTGCAAACAATGACAACAGGTCTTCTTTCTTGGGAAGAAAGGTGCATGTGGATCTGGGGCCTCTGAGCAGGGGTGGCAAGATGGGATTTGCTATGTAAGAGATACGCTTGGACAAGTTCCCATGAGAAACATGGGGAGCTCCTCCTTTGTGAACGGAAGCCTCTCCCAAAACGTTTGATAATTACTGCTTTAGCAAAAGAAATGCTTTTTCCTTGAAAAACAAAAGCTCAGGCACAGTTGGGTTTCTCTCTCACTATTGCTCCTTGCATAGCTCCAACTACCATATTAATTTTTTTAACTCATACAGATTTATCTTAACCATATTAATTTTCATTACTAGCCAAAATGTCTTCTACTTCACAGAGAAAAATGGTGGGTAGAGAAGTGAGAACTGTTTATCTTAGACAAAGATTTCAGCAGAATAGCAAAGTTCATAACCAACCTTCTATAGCCACACACATTCCTTTTACGCCTTCTGAAAGTTCAAAAATGAGCAGTCATGCATCTGATCCCAAGATACAGCCTCTCTAAAGCACAACAAATAAAAAGCAATTGCATATAAACCTAAAATTATGTTGCATAATCAATGTTTTGTCATTTGATAGTATTTAGAGGTCATCTAACTATCAGTGATTATCCATTAACTCAACTTAATATCAGCCCCAAATTCTAAGTCATCTAAACACCTAGAAAAGTATCTTCCAGCTACAAAATATAATTGCTGTTGAAAGAAAAAGTTTGTCACCATAACGAATGAATTTAGTTGAGCACAAATTTCCTGGTTTAATGATCCTCAACATTATGTAACATTAAGTAATCGCTTATTTGATGAGTAAGCTTGTACGAGTTTAGGAAAGACAAACCAAATAAAATGCATGCTTGTGTTATATACATCGATAAATAGGAGAAGTAACGTGGCAATTTTTTAATCAAAATTATTATTAATAATATTTTGAGACAGAGTCTTGCTCTGTTACACAGGCTGGAGTGCAGTGGCACGACCTCAGCTCACTGCAACCTCCGCCTCCTGGGTTCAAGTGATTCTCCTGCCTCAGCCTCCCGAGTAACTGGGATTACAGGTGCGCACCACCACGCCTGGCTAATTTTTGTATTTGTAATAGATACAGGGTTTCACCATGTTGGCCAGGCTGGTCTCCAACTCCTGACCTCAGATGATCCACCCGCCTTGGCCTCCCAAAGTGCTGGGATTACAGGCGTTAGCCCCCACACAGCCTGAATCAAAATTATTAAACTAGTCTAGTTTGCCAAAGATTAATCTTAATTATGTGAACTTGGTTTCTGAATTGGTATTAGAAATTCAATTTTCTTATTTTCTGGGAATTTTAGAAATATTCAGTTTATATGAGCAATTGCTGAGTTGTATGGTAGTTGCATGTTTTGTCTTTTAAGCAACTGCCAAATTGTATGCCAAAGTGGCTGTGGTATTAATATTTTACCTTTTTGCCAGCAGTGTATAAATTATCCAGGTTCTATGCATCCTCACTAGCATTTGGGACTGTCATTTTTTTTTTTATTTTAGTGATTCTGATAGGTATATAATGATATTAAATGTGGCTTTAATTTGCATTTTCCTAATGGGTAATGATGTTGAATATTCTCCCTGTACTTATTTGCGATCTGTATATCTTCTTTGGTGAAGTCACTTCTTCATGTCTTTTGCTTGCTTTCAATTTCAATTTTTTGAGATTTTTTACTATTGAGTTTTGAGAGTTCTTTATCTTTCCTAGATGTTAGTCCTTTGGCAGGTATGTGATTTGCAAATATTTTCTTCCAATCTGTAGCTTATCTTTTCATCTTCATAACAGAGTCACTTGCAAAGTAAAAGTTTTTAATTTTGAAAAAGTACAATGTATCATTTTAGAGGTCATACTTTTAGTGTCAAATCTAAGAACACTTTTCATAGCCATAGTTCCTGAAGATTTTCTCCAATTTTTTTCTAAAAGTTTTAGTTTCATGTTTCAAGTTCATAATCCATTATGAATTGACTTTTGCATAAAGTATGAGACTTAAAGGTTTGTTTTTGTTTTATTTATTTATTTATTGCCTGTGGATGTCCAATTGCTCCCAGCACCATTTGTTGAAAAGGCTACTTTTCTCCATCAGATAGCCTTTGCATCCTTGTAAAAAATGATTTGAGAATATACGTAGGAGTGTGTTTCTATGTTGCTTATTCTGTTCCTTGGATCTATGTGTCTATCTCTCTGCCAATAGCACACAATCTTGGTTACTGTAGCTACAGAGTAAGTCTTGAAATCAAATAGACCACTTTGTCCTACTTCATTCTTCTTTTTCAAAACTGTTTCAGCTATTCTAATTTCTTCCTGTGCCTTTCCGTATAATTTTAGAATAATCTTGACTTTATCTTCAAAATAACTTGCTGAAATTTTAATAGGAATTGTGTTAAATCTGCTTATCAATTTGGAGAGAATTGACACTTATAGCAAACCAGAAATAGAAGGCACCTTCCTGAATCTAATCAACAATAACTATGAAAAGCCTATGGCAAATATTATACTTAATAGTGATAGATTGAAAGACTTCCTCATAAGATAGAAACACGTAAATATGCTTGTGAATATCTCTTCCATTCCACCACATGTTCAAAGTCCTACCCAGTACCAAAATGCAAGATAGAAAAACAAAAGGCATAAGGATTGGAAAGGAAGAAATAAAACTGTCAAGATTCACAAGTAATATGTTTTGTAAAAAATCCAAATGAATCTATAAATAAATGATAAAAAGGAATTGTTTTTTCTAAGTAATTTAGAAAGACCCATTACAAAAGTCAACTCTAGTCCCATTAAAAAAGAGGGAAAAAAAGTAAAAATGTTTAGGGATACTTTTTAAATTGCTTTGAAAAAAACTGAATACTTAGGAATAAATCTAACAAGAGATGTAGAAGTACTCTCTGTACAGAAAGCAAGAAAATATTATTGAGAAAAATTCCAGAAAACCTAAAGAAATTAAGAGACATGCCTTATTTCTGAATTTAAAGGTTCAGTTGTAAGGATGTCACTTCTCCCCAAATTGGTCTATAGCTCTAATGCAATCCCAATAAAACTTCCAGAAGATATTTTGAGGTAACTGACCAGATGATTTTGAAAATCTTGTGTCAATTCAAAGGGCCAAGATTAGCCAGGACACTTTTAAAAAACAAAAGCAAGGTCGGACGATTGGTCTACCCGATCTCAAGACGTTTGATAAAGCTAAAGTAGTTAAGATGGCATTAGTGCAAGAAGAGACAGACTAATAAAACAATGCAGAGTCAAGGACCAGATCCACACTTACCCACTTGATTTATGATCACGGTGACACTGCAGCAGAGTGGGGAGTGCGTGGACTCTTCAGTCACTGGTGCCATGAATATGGTTCTATATCTACTGGGTCTAATGGGTATCCATAGAGAACCAAAAGTCAACCTGAAGTTCTGTCTCACACCATACTCACATCAATTCCAGGTAGATTGCAAGTCTAAATCTGAAAGGTGAAACAACAAAGTATTTAATAGACAACAGAAATCATCTATATGATTGAGGATAAATGAAGATTTCTCAAACAAGCCACAACAAGCCCTAACCACAAAGGGAAAGTGATAAATTAGACTTCGTTAAACTTAAGAATTTCTGCTAATCAAAAGGTTTCACTGAGAGTAAAAAGTCAATCTGTGCAGTAAGAGAAGACATTTGTAATACATATATCTAACGATGATCTTACATTTAGAATATCTAAATAGTTCCTAAAAATGATAAGAAAAACATAGATAACTCAATAAAAAAGTAGGCAATGCCTGTAATCCCAGCACTTTGGGAGGCCAAGGCAGGCAGATCACTTGAGGTTCGGAGTTCCAGACCAGCCTGGCCAACGTGGTGAAACCCCATCTTTACTAAAAATACAAAAAAAGTTAGTCAGGCATGGTGGCATATGTCTGTAATCCCAGCTACTCAGGAGGCTGAGGCAGGAGGATCGCTTGAGCCCGGGAGGCAGAGGTTGCAGTGAGCCGAGATCACACCACTGCACTCCAGCCTGGGTGACAGACCAAGACTCTGTCTCAAAAAAAAAAAAAAAAAAAAAAAAAAAAGGAGGCAAATCCTTGAACAGACATTTTACTGAAAAAAGCATATCCGCAAATCAAAACCGCAATGAGATACCATCCCACACCAATCAGAATGGCAATTATTAAAAAGTCAAAAAATAACAGGTGCTGACGAGGTTGCAGAGAAAAAGAAACACTCATGCAATGTTAGTGGGAGTATAAATTAGTTCAACCATTGTGAAAGACAGTGTGGCGATTCCTCAAATATCTACAGAACGACCATTCAACCCAGCAATCCCATTACTGGGTATATAACCAAAGGAATATAAATTGTTCTATCATAAAGACACATGCATCTGAGTGTTCATTGCAGCACTATTCACAATAGCAAAGACATGGAATCAACCCAAATGCCCACCAATGGTGCACTGGATAAAGAAGATGTGGTACATACACACAGTGGAATACTATGTCACCATAAAAAAGAACAAAGTCATGTCCTCTGCAAGAACATGGATGGAGCTGGAGGCCATTATCCTTAGCAAACTAACACAGGAACAGAAAACCAAATACCGCATGTTCTTACTTATAAGTGGGAGCTAAAAGATATGAACACATGGACACATAGAGGGGAGCACTACACAGTGGGGTCTATTGGAGAGTGAAGCATGGGGGAGGGAGAAGTTCAGAAAAAAGAACTAATAGGTACTAGGCTTAATACCTGAGTGATGAAATAATCTGTACAACAAACCCCCATGACACAAGTTTACCTATGCAACAAACCTGCACATGTACCTCTGAACTTAAAAAGTTAAAAAAAAAAAAGAAAGAAAAAAGCATATCCCAAAATGGTTCACAAATGTATGAAAAAGTGTTCCACTGTATCAGGGATATAAAAAATTAAAAACACAATGCAATATCCATACATCTCTCCCCACCCCCGAATGACTAAAATGAAAAAGAAAGGAAAACATGAAGTGTTAGCAAGAATGTGAAACCACTGGAACTCTCAAACTCTGCTGATGGGAATGTAAATTCACACAACAACGCTGGAAATCAGCGTGCCTGTGTCTACTAATGCTCTATATACACACACATTCCCTATGTCCCAGCAATTCTACACACTGATATATACCCATATAAATGCATGTGTGTATTAAAAGACATGTGCAAAGATGGTCATAGCATTATTATTCATAATGACCCCAAACTAGGAAACTCAAATGCCCATTTAAAGGCAAATGAATTTTGATATATTCTTACAATGCAATATTATCTGACAATAAAATAAAAGTATATTATATTGAGCAAGAGAAGCCATACACAAACTGGTACATACTGTACGATTCCATTTATGTGACTCTCAAAAACAGGCAAAACTAATTCATGATGTTAAGTCCCAAAATGGTGGTTTATCTTTGGAGGCAGGGGCAGAAGACAAACTTTTGCAATGTTGGAAATACTCTATATATCTTGATCTGGATGGTGGTTGCATGTGATATATGTATGTAAAAATGTATTAAGCACCAAGAAATCATTGATAAGCTGGACTTTATTAAAATTAAAAATTTCTGTTCTGTGAAAGACAATGTCAAGAGAATGAGAAGACAAGCCATACACTCAGAGAAAATATTGGCTAAAGGATCTTTGATAAAGAACTGTTATTCAAAATGTACAATGAACTCTTAAAACTCACCAATTTGAAAACACAATTCAATTTAAAAATGGGCAAAAAACCTGAATGACATTACATCAAAAATATACACAACAAAATGTATACTTAGGGAACTGACAATTAATTTTTATTTTTTTAGACAGAGTGGAGTGCAGTGTTCACTTCACCATCCAGGCTGGAGTGCAGTGTTGCCATCTCGGTTCACTGCAAGCTTTGCCTCCCAGGTTCAAGAGATTCTCCAGCCTCATCCGCCCAAGTAGCTGGGATTACAGGTGCCCGCTACCACACCTGGCTAATTTTTGTATTTTTAATAGGTATGGGTTTCACCATGTTGGCCAGGCTGCTCTCAAACTCCTGACCTCAGGTGATCCACTTGTCTTGGCCTCCCAAAGTGCTGGGATTACAGGCATGAGCCACCATGCCTGGCTCAGGAACTGAAAATGAAAGCAACAATGAGGTACCACTACACCCCTATTAGCATGGCCAAAACCCAGCACAGTGGTAACACCAAATGCTGGCAAGAATGTAGAACAACAGGACCTCTCATTCATTGCTGGTAGGAATGCAAAATGGTACAACCACTTTGGAAAAGAGTTTGGCAATTTCTTAGAAAACTAAACATACTCTTATACCACCCAGCAATCACCCAGCAATTATGTGCATTGGTATTTACCCAAGTGATTCGAAAACTTATGTCCACACAAAAACCTGCACACAGATGTTTATAGCAGCTTTATTCATAATTACCCAAACTCAGAAACACCCAAGATGTCACTTCAGTAGGTGAATGGATAAACAGTGGTGCATCCAGACAAGGGAATAATATTCAACATTAAAAGAAAGTGAGTTATCAAGCCATGAAAAGACATGGAGGGACCTTCAATGCATATTACTAAGTGAAAGAATCCAATCGAAAAGGGCTAAATAATGTAGGATTCCACCTATATAACATCTGGAAGAGGCAAAAACATGCAGAGGATGTTAGGGCAGTGAAACTCCTCTATGTGATACTGTAGTGGTGGATACAGGTCATAATACATTTGTCAAAACCCATTCATCAAGAGTAAAGCTAATGTAAACTATGGATTTTGAGTGATAATGGTGAGTCAATGTAGGTTCATGAGTTGTAAAAAATATACCACTCTGGTGCCTGGTGCTGGTTTTAGGGGAGATTGTGCATGTGGGAAGGCAAGGGGTATATGGGAATTCTCTATACTTTCCACTTTATATTGCTGTGAACCTAAAATTGCTTTAAAAAAATAAGGTCTATTAAAGTGACAAAAAAATTAAGCTCCAAAAAACATTTAACAAAACTCTGCCCGTAAGATTTGTGCACTCTTGTGCATTGTATCACAATGGAAATTTAACAAAGAAGTAAAAACCACAGTGAGATCCTACCACCCACTCACTTGATTGGCTAAAACCAAAGTCTCTAGCAATACATAATATTGGCAAAGACATGGAGCCCTGATGTCCCACTTATGAAGAATTGGTGTTTTGTTTGTTTGTTTGTTTGTTTTTTGGAGATGGAGGTCTCACCATGTTGCTCAGGTGGATTGCAGTGACTATTTATAGGTAAAATCCCACTATATTAGTTTGTTTTCAGACTACTACAAAGACATACCCCAAACAGAGTAATTTATAAAGAAAAGAGGTTTAATTGACTTATAGTTCCTCATGGCTGGGGAGGCCTCAGGAAATTTACAATCACGGCGAAGGCAAAAGAGAAGCAAATACCTTCTTCACTAGGCAGCAGGAGAGAGCAGGAGATTGAAGGACTGCCAAACACTTATGAAACCATTAGATCTCATGAGAACTCACTACCACGAGAATAGCAGGAGGAAGCCACCCTCATGATCCAATCACTTCCTACCATGTCCCTCCCTTGACAAGTGGGGATTACATTTCGAGATGAGATTTGGGTGCAGACACAGAACCAAACAATATCACTCACTGTTGATCAGCATGGGAGTTTTGATCTGCTCTGTTTTCAACTTGGGCTGGTCCACCCACTTTAGGCAACCTGTTGGTCCCTCATTCCCGGAAGGTCACCATATTGGTGCCAAACTTAGTGTGGACACCCTATCGGCATAGTACACTGTAGCCCTGAATTCCCGGACTCAAGCAATCCTCATGCCTCAGCTTCCCAAGTAGCTGAGACTACAGGCAGGCACCTCCACACATGGCTGAAGAACTGTTAAGTAGGATATACTAAAGCTGAACTTATGCTACTACCCAGCATATGCTACAGACCCTAGCTCTATACCCAGCAGAAATGCAAGTGTATTCACCAAAAGATGAGTAAAAGAAGGCTCATAGCACTCCTATTCATAACAGCCCCAAACTGGGAAGAACTCAAATGTCCATCAAAGTTAAAATGCATTTTCTAAAATGTTGGTTTCATCATATCCTGGAATACTATACAGCAGTAAAAATGAGCAAACTATGACTGAACAGATCACATGAATGGATCTCACAAATATAATGTTGAGCAAAAGAAGCCACATACCAAAAAAGGTCTATAATTTATCTATAATTCCAAAATAACAAAATTTACCTATAGTGACAGAAGTGAGGATAGTAGTTATCTCTGAGGCAGGGTTGGTAATGATGAGGCGGGGCATTAGAGTGCTGGGAGCTGACATATTCTGTATTCTTGATCCTGGGTAGCGGTTACACAGATGCAGGTATCTATAAAGGTGCATTGATCTGTACACATAAGATGGACATATTATATGAGGTTTTACTTTAATAAAATTGTGGAAGAATATTGGGATCTAGTAAAATTCCATATGCATTTGCCCTCACTGGAGTCAATAACAGCGTCTGGCACACAGGTGAATACAATGAAGAAAGGGAAACAAGATTTTAAATGTGCATTCATATTTTTAAGTAAAAAGGGGAAAAATAAAATCAGTGTTTTAAAATTTCTATTGCAGATAAGAGAGGTACAGGTGTTATATTTTTTAAAATCATGAGGTCATTCTCAGTTCCTTAATATTTGCTGTGAAAAGTAATAGCAAAACAGAAGCATTTACTAAAGTAGATAGTCTCAGATTTACTATGGATCAACTTACCATTTTGGAAGCTGTACTTCGAGTACCCATAAGCCGTTATGTTTTTCACTTTTCATACAGTGTTCAATACATTACATGAGATTGTCAACATTTTAGTATAACATAGGCTTTGTGTTAGATGATTTTGTCCAACTGTACACCAATGTAAGTGTTCTGAGCATGTTTAAGGTGGACTGAGCTAGGATATTTGGTACATTAGGTATATTCAATGCATTTTTTATTTAATATTTACACAATATTCCCACCTTACGATACGTTTATCGGAAGGTAATCCCATCGTAAGTCAAAGAACAGATGTTAAAATATAAAATAAAGAATACGGTTGGCACAAAGGAGTCTTCCCAGGAAATTGTAAACTGTCTGACCTGAACAGAAGCATTGGAAAGAGTTTCCACATAATTATATGAACAACCTCATGGCCAAAATTTGATATTCACAGGGATAATTTTTGAGTCTTTTATTAAAAGATTCTTGAAATTTTTTCACTTCCTAAATACTTTTGATTCCTAAAAATCATTTCTCCCCCTCACACAGACTCCCATCTGTTTCAAGACCGAATAAATATGTCAGCACAGCAGTTCGTTTTCAGAATTTGGTGAACATTACAAAATTAGTTTCAACGCATATGGCAGATATTTAGCAAATGTTTGGGGGTTTTTCCCTCCAAAAACAATTATATGCCAACAAGGAAACTAGAAATTTTCAAACTGCTCCAGTATAATGTTCTTCCTATTTGACAGAATGGAAATCCTGATTTTAGCCATTAGACAAGTATGTTCCTCACCAAAACCACCAAATAATTTTGTTTTAATATGGATGTGCTGAATAATTTTAAGGAAAGTCATTTTCATTTTCATTTTTATTTTTTTGAGACGGGCTCTCGCTTTGTCACCCAGGCTAGAGTGTAGTGGCACAATCTTGGCTCACTGCATCCTCGACTTCCCGGGCTCAAGCGATCATCCTACCTCAGCCTCCTGAGTAACTGGGACTACAGGTGCGCATATCACCATGCTCAGCTAATTTTTGTATTTTTAGTAGAGATGGGGTTTTCCCATGTTCCCCAGGATGGTCTTGAACTCCTGGACTCAAGTGATCTGCCCACCATGGCCTCCCAAAGGGCTGGGATTACAAGCAGGAAAGTCATTTTTAAATGAAGGTATTTTGACAACTGTTTATTTAAAGGGAAGAAGAAAATGGAACTATCAGGTGATCTTGCATTAGAACCTTAACATCCCGCTGGTAAAGAGGGAATGCTGTGATGTCCGCCTCTAACGAGCAAAACTGGGCAAGCCAAAACAGTGGCGGGGAGAGGAGGTTTTGTGGGAATGATCAGTTGTGAATTCACAGCAGTTTGCTTTGTTATCATGTTTAATAATTTACATGTTACGGCTGTTTCTTCATATGTTCCCAATGTTCTATACTTTTTATTGAAAATAATTCAGTATGGGCAGAATTACCTGATTAAAATCACAGTTTGCAGGGTGGGGAGGAAGCAGTCTGTGAAGCTGGACTCACATCGTCTCTTGCAGATGAGGAAATGAAAAGTCAAGACAAGAAGTGATTCTGTTAAGATTACACAATTTGGGGCAAAATGACAGCCAGAGTAATTTCTCTCCCAGGTGCAAAGCTTTCCCCCCTAATCAAACCTCCCTCTAAAATCAGATTTACACACTTTTATACTTGTTTGGGAGAAATACAGATTTTCAGTGCGCCCAATAGGCTCACGTTCAGAGATGCCAGTGTCATCAGAGAAAGAAGGAAGATAACATTCTTGGTATTTGCTGGGCTTCGAGTCTACTTGTGGGCTCCATGGGTCATGATTCATGGAAAACTGAACTTAGAGATCCAGGAATAAGACAAATGCTGGCTGCAGGCTTTAGTGGTACTGACAGCTGAGAGCTGCCTAGAAGAAAAAGCCAACAGCACAAAGTTCTAGATACATAAGTGAGTGCTTATAAACAGCATCTGCACTTCTAATTTTTAATTTTTGTGTGTGTATGTGAATGTTTAACATGAAAGAATTTTCTTAAGTTCAAGGGTACATGTGCAGGTTTACTATACAGGTAAACTACTCATGTCATGGGAGTTTGTTGTACAGATTATTTCAGCACCCAGATATTAAGCCTAGTACCTACCAGTTATTTTTCCTGATCCTCTCCCTCCTTCTACCCTCCACCGTCCAAAAGGCCCCAGTGTGTGTTGTTCCCCTCTGTGTGTCCACGTGTTCTCATCTTTTAGCTCCCACTTATAAGCGAGAACATGCAGTATTTGGTTTCCTGTTTCTGTGTTAGTTTGTTAAGTATACTGGCCTCCAGCTCCATCCGTGTTCCTGCAAAGAACGTGGTCTTGTTCTTCTTATGGCACCATAGCATTCCATTGTGTATATGTACCACATTTTCTTTATTCAATCTGTCATTGATGGGCATTTAGGCTGATTCCATGTCTTTGCTATTGTGAATAGTGCTGCAATGAATATACACATGCCTGTGTCTTTATGATAGAACGTTTTCTATTCCTTTGGGTATATATGCAGTAGTGGGATTGTAAATGGTAGTTCTGTTTTTAGGTTTTTCAGGAATCACCACACTGCTTTCCATGATGGTTGAACTAATTTACACTCCCACCGACAATGTATAAGGCTTCTTTTTTCTCCACAACCTCACCAGCATCTATTGTTTTTTTAATTTTAGTAATAGCCATTCTGATTGTTGTGAGATGGTATCTCATTGTCGTTTTAATTTGCATTTCTCTAATGATCAATGATGTTGAGCTTTTTTCATATGATTTGCCACATGTATACCTTCTTTTGAAAAGTGTCTGTTCATGTCTTTTGCCCACTTTTTAACGGAGTTGTGTTTTTCTTGTAAATTTAAGTTACTTATAGACGTTGGATATTAGACCTTTGTCATGTGCACAGTTTGCAAAAACTTCTCCCATTATGTAGGTTGTCTGTTTACTTTGTGGATCATTTCTTTTGCTGTGCAGAAGCTCTTTAGTTTATTTAGATCCCATTTGTCAATGATTGCTTTTGTTGCAATTGCTTTTGGCATCTTCGTCATGAAATCTGCCTGTTCCTGTGTCTCCAGAATGGTATTGCCTAGGTTGTCTTCCAGGTTTTTTATAGTTTTGGGTTTTAAAGTCTTTCATCCATCTTGTGTTAATTTTCATATATGGTGTAAGCAAGGGGTCCAGTTTCAATCTTGTGCATGTGACTGGCCAGTTATGTCAGCACCATTTATTGAATAGGGAGTCATTTCCCATTGCTTGTTTTTGTCAGCTTCATCAAAGATCAGATAGTTGTAGGTGTGTGGCCTTATTTTGGGGCTCTCTATTGTGTTCCATGGTCTGTGTGTCTGTTTTTGTACTAGTACCATGCTGTTTTGGTTACTGTGGTATAGTTTGAAGCTAGCGTGATGCCTCCAGTTTTGTTCTTTTTGCTTAGGATTGCGTTGGCTATCGGGACTCCTTTTTGGTTCCACATGAATTTTAAAATAGTTTTTTCTATTTCTGTGAAGTATGTCATTGCTAGTTTGATGGGAATATCATTGAATCTATCAATTGCTTTGGGCAGTATGGCCATTTTCATGATATTGAGTCTTCCTATCCATGCACACGGAATGTTTTTCCATTTGTTTGTGTCATCTCTGATTTCTTTGAGCACTGTTTTGTACTTCTCTTTGTAGAGATCTTTCACCTTCCTGGTTAGCTGTATTCCTAGGTATTCTTTTTGTGGCAATTGTGAACGGGATTGCATTTCTGATTTGGTTCTTGGCTTCACTATTGTTGGTGTACAAGAATGCTGGTCATTTTTGTACATTGATTTTGTAGGCTGAGACTTTGCTGAAGTTGTTTATCAGTTTAAGGGGCTTTTGGGTAGAGACTGTAGAGTTTTCAAGGTATAGGATTATGTCATCTGCAAACAGGGATAGTTTAACTTCCTCTCTTCCTATTCGGATGTGCTTTATTTTTTTTCTCTTGCCTGATTGCCCTGGTCAGGACATCCAATACTATGTAAAGTAGGAGTGGTGAGAGATGGCATCCTTATCTTATGCCAGTTTTCAACGGGAATGCTTCCAGCTTTTGCCCATTCAGTATGATGTTGGCTGTGGGTTTGTCATAGATGGCTTCTATTTTGAGGTATGTTCCTTCAATACCTAGTTGATTGAAAGTTTTTAACATAGTGTTGAATTTTACTGAAAGCCTTTTCTTAATCTGTTGAAATAATCATGTGGTTTTTGTCTTTAGATCCATTTATGTGGTGAGTCACATTCATTGATTTGCATATGTTGAACCAACCTTGCATCCCAGGGATAAAGCCTACTTGATCATGGTGGATTAGCTTTTTGATGTGTTGCTCGATTCAGTTTGCCAATATTCTGTTGAGGATTTTTGCATCAATGTTCATCAGGGATATTAGTCTGAAGCTTTCTTTTTTTATGTGTGTCTCTGCCACGTTTTGGTATCAGGATGATGCTGGCCTCATAGAATGAGTTGGGAGGAGTTTGGAACACTTTCAGTAGGAATGGTACCAGCTCTTCTTTGTATACCTGGCAGAATTTGGCTGTGAGTCTTTCTGATCTTGAGATTCTTTGGTTGGTATGCTATTTATTAATGCCTAAATTTTGAAGCTCATTAATAGTCTGTTCAGGGATTCAATTTCTTTGTGGCTTAGTCTTGGGAGGGTGTGTGTGTCCAGGGATTTATCTATTTCTTCCGGATGTTCTAGTTTATGAGCACCTGCACTTTTAAAATTATGCTGGGAACATAGGCTTCCATCACTTTTCCATCTTTCACTAGCATCCTACATGTTTAGTCGTCATCAGTTCAACACACTTTATGATTTTCTGCCAAGATTGACAAATACTTTGCTGTGCTATTATCTTGATAATGGTAGATTATTCTTTCACATAGTGAACGTTTCAACATAAAAAAATTCAAAAGGATTACTTTGTCTTATTAATTTGGAATGGAACATAAACTATGAGTATCAGTAATTTAAACCGTGGCAATAATGAAGTAAGTACCCAGAAATTGATAGGTCGGTCCACTTCTAAATCAGCTGCTCCCAATTGAAAACAAGAAATGTTTATCCCACGTAGCTCTTTTCATAAAAACATCTCGGCAAGTTATCTCATAATTTTTTTTTTTTTGAGACAAAGTCTCGCTCTGTCGCCCAGGCTGGAGTTCAGTGGCACGATCTCAGTTCATTGCAACCTCAGCCTCCCAGATTCAAGCTATTCTTATACCTCAGCCTCCTGAATAGCTAGGATTACAGGCACGCACCATCACACCCAGCTAATTTTTGTATGTTTTAGCCAATAAAGGCTTACAGCTTACATTTGCGATGAAGTTATTTGTAGCATTGTTTGCAATAGTGAAAGAGGGATGAGTCTAATTGTCCAAAATGAGGGAATCAGTTAACTATGCTTTTGTGCATCTGTACAATAAAAAGTGATGCAGCTTTTAAAATGAATGAGGTAGATCCCAAAAAACTGATGTTGAAAAGTCTCCTAGGTTGTCAAGTGAAAAAGGAATGTACATAATATTCATGCTTTAGAAAAATAAGGGAAATACACACACATACACACACACACACATAAATAGGTATATATGTAGCTGAATGTGCAAATCTGCACCCAGTCATGGTTGCCTCTGGAGAGGGCAGCTGAAGGACAGACACACTTTTCACTGTATTTACCCATTTGTGCTGCCTGAATTTTACCATGTAAAATTCTTACATTTAAAAAAATTAAATAAAAACTTAAAAAGAAAGTAGGTAGATACTTAAAATGGGACCTCAACCTCTAAGGTTGTTAATTTCAGATAATACTGAAAAAGTACTGGCCATGCACGGTGAATCACGTCTGTAATTCCAGCACATTGGGAGGCCGAGGCAGATGGATCACCTGAGGCCAGGAGTTCAAGACCAGCCTGGCCAACATGGCGAAACCCTGTCTCTAGTAAAAATACAAAAATTAGTTGGGTGTGGTGGTGTGTGCCTGTAATCCCAGCTACTCTGGAGGCTGAGGCAGGAGAATCGCTTGAACCTGGGAGGCAGAGGTTGCAGTGAGCCAAGATTGCACCATTACATTCCAGCCTGGGTGACAGAGCAAGACCCTGTCCTGGCGGGGGGAGGGGAGGGAAAAGGACTATGCAGCATAAATTTTTCTTGAAGATTTTTGGTTTCATCTTGACACATAATCTGAGATCTAGACGCCTTGGTAGATGAGCACTGTATCTTTAACAAAATATTCTAGAAACAACAAGTCTTTCTTCCTTTTATAACTCAGAAGACGGTGGTGTGATCAAGAGAGTGGGGAGCCCTGCCCCGCCTACCTACTCACGGTCCCTTCCAGCCCTCTGCAGCAGCCTCCAGTGCTGCAGCTCCACTAATGGGACACGAAAGCATCGCCTAACATTTTATGGAACAAAAAGGATGGATCGCATCCTAGGAACCACACAGGACCTAACCCCCCATGGGACAATCTGCTCTTCCCAACCGTTGTCTCCTGGCAGCTCATATCCCATCTCCTCTTTTCTCCCATGAGGCCTGGCACTTTGCTGCCAACCTTAGCAACTCCTTTAGTGCCCACCACATCTGCTAACGCCCCCCTCCCCAGCCATGCGAAAGGAAGGTGTGAGCCCTGCAGTGACCATCTACTGCTGAGCTTTCCTGGGATCGTTTCAGCCCTCCAGGTAGCAGTCTGAGCAGGGCGGGGACTGCCCTGGCACACTAGTGGTTGCAAATGCAACCACATCTCACCCTCTGCTAAGACTCACATTTTCTTCCAGATTTTTACGTATTTGAAATCAGGATTATCCTACAACTTCTTTTGTACAGGTTGTGATTGTAATAGTGCTAGCATTGCCTATTGGTGACATAGGCACCTTCCAAACACAGCACTGAACCCTGCGCAGTGGGTGTCAGAGGCCAGGAGAAACATTCAGCCATCATTGTAACTCCTAGGAACCAAAGAGTTTAAGGTTTTGGGCAAACCAAATAGAGTTAGCACATTCCTAAAGCAGGTGTCAAAAGTAGGCGAGATTGGCGTAACTATAAAGCTGGTTTACAGTGCCAGTGACTTTTAGGTTTTATGAATTCTTTTAAGGAGTGCTCTGACATAAAACTCATACTGGCACAGAGAACAACACTGGGTGGAAAAACCAGAGACACCAACCACTGAGTCAAAAAGTGATTCAGAAAAGCAAAACCCGAAGTTTCAGGAAAACAAACAAACATACATTTCTAGATCCGTTTCTACAGATGCGCAAGTGATAACATCTGCATCTAGCAAAGTCTCAAAGAGCTCCTCAATGGGATACAAAGTAAAAAGTCCAAACAACAAGAAAGCGTTCTGTTTCTTTTTTCTTTTGTTTTTTTCAGAGATAGGGTCTGGCTCTGTTGCCCAGGGTGGAGTGCAATGCTCTGATCATAGTCACTTCAGCCTCTGCCTCCTGGGCTGAAGTTATCCTCCCACCTCAGCCTCCCAACTAGCTGGGACTACAGGCTCACACCATGACACCCAGCCAATTTTTGTAGAGACAGGGTCTCCCTGTGTTGCCCAGGCTGGTCTTGAACTCCTGGACTCAAGCGATCCTCCTCCCTCAGCCTCTCAAAGTGCTGGGATTACAG
Organism: Homo sapiens; assembly: GCF_000001405.40. NCBI lineage: Eukaryota > Metazoa > Chordata > Mammalia > Primates > Hominidae > Homo > Homo sapiens. The sequence goes on from NW_018654717.1 coordinate 1,975,981, forward strand.
GCATCAGCCACTGCACTTGGCCATTGTGTCTATTTAAATGCAAGTTTTCTTCCTTTCTTAGAACATAAAAATAATAGTGTGTATTACAAATAACAGCATATTTTAATAACATATTTTTAATGATATATTTTCTAGGTGCCTTGAATATTAAAAAATTGGGAAAGTACAACCTTGGAGGCAGCTACTTGTTCTGGTTCATTCTTTCATACTACAACTTAAATTACAAATTATATTTAAACTTCTTACAGCAATGTAGGTACAGAAGAATTGTACTTACAGTGTAAAGAAAGAACTGGGCAAAATAATTTTTAAATTTTTGACCTTTTAACAAAAGAGAAAAGCTTTTCTTAAGGACTTCAGACAAATGGATCAATAGACAAGGTATCACATATACTCCCAAAATAAGGCAGAGTTATCTCCCGAAACTATCCCCTTAGGGATGCTCACCTTATATTTGAAACATTACACTCTTTCAGGATATACTAAATGCTGTCAGTAACCTGAAAAGAATACAAGTTATTGTTCTGTGGAAACATTATTAGCCTCAAACAACCTTAAGCAATGCTAATATTGTGGCTGGTAGGATAAGTTGTAAAGGAGGCACATTAACAGTCACGGTCTCTAGGATTATAAAGCTACAGTTACAAGTATTTGGTGTCACTGGAAAGAAGCCTGTTAAAAATCGAAAGCAATGCTCTGTGGATTCTGAAAAGCAGCTGCCCTAGTGCTACCTACACACAGGCATACTTGTGGCTTGGGATAAATGTCCACCAACAGCATCATACATAGACCCCGAAACTGCTGCATCCCAAACAACTTAGAAAGAAAAAAGATCATCTGCTCTTAACCTATTAGGGGATGCCAAAGGGGGCACCAAGATCAAATACGAAGTCGGAGTGACATGCCTGAAATGCGAATGTGAAGAGGGAAAGCCCACATGCTGGTTAATAGATTAACAAATCTGAAACACCTGTAACTAATAGTACAGGTGTCTATTTTATCCTCTCATCTACAATCCTAAACTTTATATATGTAAGTTGGCTAAAAAAAAGTTTTCTGGGATCTTCACATTGGAAGGTAAGGGGTGGCCTGTTTAGCTACCTTATAGACAAACATACTAAAGCTATAAAAACAGTGCCATGAAATAATTTTTTTTAAAGTGACTACCCTAAAAAAAAATCATTAAAAAACAAGATTCCTTTCTCACCGGTGATTTTTGGAAGCAATTCACTGATTTAGAGGCAGTTATCATCCGGTTATGTGAGATCTAGGATTCATTCACTCACGGCTCTTGTATTAGAATGTTAAGATTCTCCAGCAAAAAATGAAGTTTATATTCTTCAAACCTTTTAGAAAAATAAAACTTTCAACTGATCCTGTTGCCTCAGCCTCCCAAAAGTGCTGGGATTACAAGTATGAGTCATTGCACCCAGCCACAAAAATAAAACTTTTCAACAAATGTAAACCATACTGAGGTCCATGAATATGTGCCAAGAGGAAGGTGTTGATGGTCGAGAATTTCATCACAAATTAATCCAACTCGTTCCGAAGATAAATTTGACCACATAAAATGAAGAGGCAAGTAGGTGTTTACGCCCTGTGACCCAGTAATTGTACTTCTAGGTTTCAGCAATTAAATAGAATGACATCATTATGATACTCCATTCAACGAGTTATGCAGCTATCTTTAAATGGCAAATGTTAAAACTACATGTAAGTTCTTTGTAACGCATAGAGGACTGGAGAATATTTTAAAACAGCTACCATGTGACATGGCAAAAATTGAAAGTGAGTCTTTTCCAAAACTTTTGACAATATTGTCTTAGCACTACTTTTATAGTAAAAGAAAAGAAAAAGGTTTCACCTTCCACTCCTAGATTGTATAAGCACAGGAGAAAATAAAAGGTATACACTAGTTTTTTTTTGTGTTGTTGTTTGAGATGGTCTCGCTCTGTGGCTCAGGCTGGAGTATGGTGGCGCAAGCATAGCTCATTGCAGCCTCAAACTCCTGGCTACAAGTGATCCCTCAGCTTCAGCCACGTGAGTAGCAGCTACAGGTGTGCATCACCACATCTGGCTTAAATTATTTTTGTAGAGATGAGAGTCTTGCTATGTTGTCCAGGCTGGTCTTGAACTCCTGGCTTTAAGCAATCCTCCTGCCTCAGCCTCCTAAAGTACTGATTACAGGTGTGAGCCACTGCACTGGGTCCCACACTACACTGCTAACATGTTATTGATTGGGTTTGGAGGGGAAGACAACTTTATTATATATCTTTTAAATTGTCTGAACTCTTAATAAACATTTTTTCAAAATGACAGAATTTAAAGCATTTTCTGAACACCCTTACCATAAAATACAATCACAAATTGGTGATTTGGCCTATGTGAATTAAAAAATACTAAATATCTCCCACCTACCATAGTAAGTGTCCAAAGCACTGCAGTAGCTTTCACTAATCCAGTCTGTTCCGGACTCCAGGCCATCTATCTTGCTGGCAGACTTCGGGATCGCTGTTTGTGTAGCAACACAAGGCACATCCCAGCAACGCCACACACAAACATGTGAGCAGAAAACTAATAACCACCGGTAGCCTGTGTAAAACATCAGAACAAAGCCAATCTTTGTATTCTTTCTTTTTTATTTATAAATAAACTATTTTTGTGGTTAAACCCACTTTTCCTTCAAATAGCTTTTTGGGTTATTTCCAAATTAATCATAAAAAACCCTTTCTCCCAACAGAACGGAAAGCATTTTACAGGAAAACATTGATGGGCTCCGGGATCCCAAGATGTGCACCAGATACTGAGTGTTCAGACAGAAGGGACAACTCTAATTCTAGTCTTGGAGTACAAAGATGTCAGTGAATAAGAATCATCCAAAGAAGCTGAAGCATTCATTGTTTTTTCACTCTTATTTGAGATCTCCTGGAGGTGTGTTTACAGATTGGGAAAGATTCAAGGAACCTGTTTGGAACAAACCCCTCCAAATGATCCGAATTAAAGGTCATTCTAGGAGCCTGGTAGAAATGCTGGAAGGTTAGGGTCTAGGAGACAAAGGTCACTCGAGTTGCTGCTTCTTATCTTATGAAAGGGAAGAATTGCTTGTTCCTTTAAGATAACTGAGAATAAATTAATCAAACTTAAGAACTGTTTTTTAAACTATAAACAGTAAGCAATCATTTTAAAACTCAATTATCTACCCAAATGTTCATAGCAGCATTATTCATAATAGCTTAAAAAGTGCAAAAAACCTAAATGTCCCTCAATGGATGAATGGATAGAGAAAATAAGAGGATTACTCATACAATGGAATATTACTTAGCAATAAAAAATGAAGTAGTGATACATGCTAAAACATGGATGAACCTTGAAAATGGACTGCTTAATTAAAGAAGCCACTAAAAGACAACCACATTCCACTTACATAAAATGCTCAGAACAGACAAACCCAGGGACAGAAGAAGTACATTAGTGGTTGCCGAGGGTGGGAAGGGCTTATATAATATGATTTCTTTGTGGGGTGATGAAATGGCCTAAAATTAGATTATAGTGATGGTTGCAAAACTTTTTAATACATTGAAAACCACAGAACTATAAATGAGTGAATTTTATGGTATGTAAACTATATCTCAAACTTTCAAAAAAAGAATTCATTACTAACTTTCTGATTTTAAAAAATAAAATCTTCCTGCCTCTCAAGAGCAGCCCAAAAGAAAAATAACAAAAAAATAAAATCTACAAACATAAACCTTATTAAGTGGAGGAAAAAGCTACAGTAATGTAACTGTTAAACAATTCAATTACCTAAAAGTTCTCCAGTTAATAGTCAAATAGATTTTAAATCCAGTTATGCCTTCAAAAAAATCCACGCTTTGACCTAACAGTTCAAAACTCCAAATGCATAACATTTTGTTATTAAGCATGCAACATAAATAAACGCCTTTTAATCCTTGATAGCTGTTATCAAATATATCCATGATTAATCTGTGGAACTGGAAGTTTCACTTCCTAGTGATTTTACATGCAGTACATTCCGAGGTCGCTGGAAAAAAGTTAACCTGTACGTGTCTATACAGTATTGCACCAGAAATATTTTTTTAAATGACCGGATTGAAAGCATTTTCTGAACACACTCATTCCCTTACCATAAAATACAATCAGAAATTGATTTGGCCTAACTTCAACTTAAAAAGTTAACCTGTATGTATCTATACGGTAATTGCATCAGAGGGTTTAGAGTAGCCCTTCTGAAAGCTCAACCCAGGAATATCTTAAAAAAAAAAGATGCAACAAGAAAGTGCTCTTTAGAAAACTGCATTGGTCTAAACTGGTCTGACTAGTGGGCCTCAGCTGGATTCAAATAACCAGTGGCACCTGGCACTTAATGAGTGAATCTAAAGGGATGTAGCCCAGAAACCTGTGTATTAGACAATCTCCCTAGATGCTGATGTTGCCAGGTCAGGGAATTATGTTCCTGGGAATTACATTTAGCTCACTAATAGGAGGGCAATCAAAATAAGAGCAGGGCTACCCTTCGCTGGTTACATCATCTTTGAATTCTTAATTTCCCACAGATCTAGCATCTTCCAGAAAAACCAGAAATTATAATTTTTGAAGCAGTGTCAAAATATCTTGAATGTGATAGACATGGGATGAATACACCAAACATGTTTTACTTTCGCTGGGATAGTAAAGAATACTTATAAATGAGGAGTACCTCTTTGAAAGTCCTTAAAATGTAATCTTTGGTCTTTAGTCAAGAGAATAATCGAGTCTTAAGAGGAATATTTAAATTGAATTTAATTAAACACAAATGTCACATACTCCCAGCTTCCCAGAAATAGTCACTTCATCCTAATTAAGGAAATGGAAACTAATGATGACTTAAGCCTTATTCTGTGGAATGTGTTTAGACAAGTTCAGGCAAACAGCAAAAACTGAAAAGTCCCACCACCATACCTACAACATTCTGAAAATGCTTAAATGTTAACTCCATTCTTTGTCTAGCAGTTCAATATGAGCTGCCAAAATTTAGTCCAATGAGTCAGTTCCAAATAATGTAGGCTCCTTGGAGTCTATAACCTTGGAGTTGTGACAGTTCTCCCTTGACAGTGGACCAGGACACAGGAGCTCCTCTTCCAGATTCTTTCAGTTGGCTTGGGCAACTCTGCTTTCAGAACCATGGAAGTTCAACATGGCAGTCACCAACTCTGGAAGATCAAAGTCGTGTTTCCACCCCCAGTCCTTCCGAGCATTGCTGTCATCAAAGTTCATCGGCCAACCATCCGCTAGGAAAAGATACGCAAGACTAGCTTAAGTTATTCAGGTTGTGGATTTGCAAAAAGGTCTTGACCATTGTATATAAAGGTCTACCGTACAAGGTACAAAACAGGAAATTCCTTCGAGTAAAGCAGAACCGCCATTATGCACAGTCACCCTCCTAGGGCCGAAGACTATTAACCCATCTTTCGTCAGGCACTGTGAATTTTCACACATTATCAAAATCTCACACAACTTCATAAGAAGTTTTATACTCAAAGAGGTGCTTCCATCCACAAATTGGCAAAGTTACAGTATTTGAAAACCTGGGGCTGTTTTCATACTACCTCTGTTGCTTCTATTTTTCCTTGCTTTATGTTTAAACTGTAAAAATGATGAAAGGCTAACAAGCTGTTTATTTGGAATGGAATGATTTCACCCACTTTAGATATCATTCCCCAAAATCAAAGCATCTGCTAGCTTGGGCTCAACAATTTCTTGGGCTAGGCTCCTTCTCCAAAAGGTGTCTGGACCCTTGGGAAGGATCTATGCTCTCTTCAACCTTCCAAGGTTTACATTCTCCAGGGACTCACAGTAAAGGCCTTTGCCACCGGGTACGAACCTATGGCCTGGCGAACGGCATCCACGTTGTATGTGATCTGGAATTCCGGCACGTGCTTGAGGACCTCCTGGGCCAGCTCCTCGGGTGTGAAGCTCATGGCGCTGACATTGTAGGTCCTCATGGAAAGGGACTCAGCTGGGGCCTCCATGACCTCCAGGGTGGCTCTGAGGCAGTCGTCAATGTACATCATGGGCAGTCTCGTGCAGGCTTCCAGGTTGCACTCGAATTTGCCATGCTTTGTGGCATCATGGAAAATCTGGACTGCATAGTCTGAAAGGGAATCCCGTATGTAGGTTATAACAAAACAATGAATGAGCCTCTTGGATCAAGGCAGCAGTTCTCAAATGTTCTAGTCTCAGAGTCTTTTTATAACAGATTCTTAAAAATTAAGAAGTCCAGTCAAGCTCAGTAACTCAGGCCTGTAGTCCTAGCACTTTGGGAGGCCGAGGCAGGCAGATCACCTGAGATCAGGAGTTCAAGACCAGCCTGTCCAACACAGTGAAACCCCAGCTCTACTAAAAATACAAAAATTAGCCAGGCGTGATGGCACACATCTGTAATCCCAGCTACTTGGGAGGCTGAAGCATGAGAATCGCTCAAACCCAGGAGAGATGGAGACTGCAGTGAGCTGAGATCACGCCACCGCACTCCAGCCTGGGTGACAGAGCAAGACTCCATCTCAAAAAAAAGAATTGAGAACTCCCAAAGAGATCTGACTAATGTGGGTTATATCAATATTTACTGAAACAGAGTTAACTGAGAATTGTTTAGAATATTACCTTTTTAAACGACAATAAGCCTATCACATATTAATATGTATAACATTTTATAGGAAAAAGGGTATATTTTCTAAACAAACAAAATTTACTGAGAAGGATGGTCTGCTGTACATTCTAAAAATCTCTTTAGGGTCTGGCTTGATAGGGGTCCGCTGGAGCCCCCATCTGCTTCTGTATCCAGTCCGTTCTTATCTCACACGCCACACCACCTCTGGAAAACTCTACAATGCATTTGTGAAAGTAGAGTGAAAAAGGCCAGTAACGTCTCCATATTGATAAGATTTTTGACCCCCAAGACCCCTTGAAAGTGCTGGAGGATGACCGGAGCTCCCCAGATCACACCTGGAGAAGCACCATATTAAAAAGCAGAAGCTTTTTAAGGCCTGCTTCCAAATCCCTCTGATGCGGTCAAGTACCTTCCATATTCATTCTCAGGACCACAGATGTGGGAAGGATACCTGATGTGGGACTTATGAAACAGAATGAGTGTTTGAGTCCAAAATAATAATCATACTTATGTTCCTTTCACATACACAATGCCTAGAGTCTATTTTAATAGGGCTCTCTCTGCGTGTTAAGAAACGAGAGGCTGCTGCTTGCTGGGGGTCTTCCTACACTGTGAGTCACAGATTTGTTGTTGAATATTACGTTTTATTCTGCCACTGTGGGTGGCCAATCCCGAGCTGAACTGACAACGCTGGCATGTGCTACCCTTAGTGAGTGTAAGCCAATTGGGTTCACTGTGCTTTTAAAATGCATATCGGGAGATATTACAGAAAAACTCTGGTCAGCATACAGCTAAAAAGATAGCAAATTCATTTACTACGAAGACAACTCCACCTAGCAATAAGTCAGTCTATTTTTTTTTTTTTTGGTGGGTGTTTTTTTGTTGTTGTTTTTTATTTTTGAGACAGGGTCTCACTCTGTCACTCACCCAGGCTGGAGTGCAGTGGCACGATCTCAGCTCACTGCAACCCTGGCCTTCCGGGCTCAAGAGGCCCTCCTGCCTCAGACTCCCCAGTAGCTGGGACTACAGGTGTGGGCCATCATGCCTGGGTAATTTTTGTTTATTTTTCATAGAGACAAGGTCCCACTGTGTTGTCCAGGCTGGTCTCTGGCTGGAGTGATCCTCCTGCCTCAGCCTCCCAAAGTGCTGGAGTTACAGGCATGAGCCTCCGCACCTGGCTGGAAAGCCTATCTAACATATAAGAGACATAAGAAATAGAAAACACTTAACCAGTTGTTCCTCCTCCAGGCTGGGAGTCAGCTGAAATGATTCCAGGATATCTCAGGCATCAGAAATCTAACCCATACCGGTAATGATAATACCATGAAAAAGAGAAAACGTATTCAAACACAAATATTTTAAATCAGATAGATGCAAAAAAAACAAAAACAAAAAAAACCAAAAAACACCCTGCCTTTTTCTGAAATCTCATTCCATGCAGTTATATTTAAATACTCCTAAAGAAAATAAAGACTCCTAAGTTTTTATCTTTTAAAAGAAATCAACTTTTAGGTGGTACATCAATGCTGTAAATGACACATTAGTCTACAGTAGGCATTTCCAGCCACTCTTTGGAAAGGCGCCACTGATCATCATTCTGAACGATTCAGCCTGAGTGCATTCCCACAAGCAGCACGGGGAAAAGCAGAGGAGAGAACAGTGGATGAGAGGGCCATGGCTATGACAGAACTGGAGGAGCAGGCAGCAACTCGAATCTACTAGAGTTATAAAGATAAAGAGTATTTTGCAGTAGTTCACACCTATAATCCCAGCACTTTGGGATGCTGAAGTGGGTGGATCACTTGAGGTCAGAAGCTTGAGACCAGCCTGGCCAACAAGGCAAAACACTGCCTCTACTAAAAATATAAAATTTAGCTGGGTGTGGTGGCACGTGCCTATAATCCCAGCTACTTCGGAGGCTGAGGCATGAGGATCCCTTGAACCCAGGAGGCGGAGGCTGCTATGAGCTGAGATCACGCCACCACACTCCAGCCTGGGTGACAGAGCAAGATTCTGTCTCATAAAACAAACAAACAAACAAAACAAACCCAAGATGTTTGAGGTTTTAGAGTTACTACCAATGGCTACCAATACTAGGAGCCAGAAAGAATGGTGGAGTACAAGACAAGCAGCAAATGAAGAGATCGGGGCTGGGCACGGGGCACCCAGGAAGTGCTGAGTGTTCCCATATGGCTGAGGAGGTTTCAGGAGCTGGAGACACCTGCTACATGGCAAACCCAGTGAGTTAAGTAAGCGACTCTGGGGCTGGGATCCAAGAAGAGGTAAAGTTCCTCCAGGGATGAATCACCAGGCCTTGGAGGCAAAACGAATGAGAAAGCAAACAGCAAATCGTGACAGCCAGGGCACATTCAGCAATCCAGCTGAGTGATGCTTACTTCTCCCATGAGCTCCGCGTGGACCTTGGACACCCCATAGATGGTCCTGGGTCTCTGAATACAGAGATCGGGGGTTGGGTTCCGGGGAGAGGTGGGTCCAAAAGCCCCAATCGTGCTAGGCACAAACAATTGCAGATTGTGTTCCGCAGCGACATCCAGGATGTTATGCAGGCCTGAAATGAACAGACACTATCAGAATCTGAAAACATCTCTTCTTAAAGAACTAGAAAAACTGGCAAATAAATCACATCCAGCCAGAGCCAGATGCTTACCAGTTATATTCACTGCTCTCGCCAGGGAAACATTTGCTTCTCCAAAGGCGCTGAGCAAAGCGCTGTAATGAAACAGCCAGGTGATGCGGTTGTTTACCACGATCTCCCGAAGATTCTTGTAATCCAAGATATCAGAATAAATGAATGGACCTGCAAGGAACATAAATTGAAACCACGAACGTGAAAAGGGTTGTGAACTAAATGGACCTTTCCCCTTTCCCCCGTTGACTTGTGAATTTCACTGGTAGCCACGCAATAACTAAGACAGCTGGGCACTAGGCAGCATTTTTCTTACGGAAGAATCACAAGTCACAACCACCCCGCGCCAGGTAATGACAGCAAATGCTCCTATAGGACCTGCCTGGGCCAGACCCTGTCCTAAGGACATAAGTCCATTTCTTTCCCACACAGCCTTGGAGGTAAACACATTTTACTGATAAGGAAACAGGCACCGAGAGGTTAAGCAACTTGCCAGGATCAGAGAACAAGTGGAGGAAATGGGGCTGCAGCTAGGCATCGGGCTCCAGAGTGGGTGCTGTTCCTCCCAGCCCTGTATACACAGAGTGGCTTCACTCTGCTTCCAAGGTGCACATTTGAAAAGGAATAGAGAAACGGACTTATTCACCACCACCACCACCTTGGTATAGAAAACCCACAAACCATGAGTTTATCATACTTAATTACACAGAGGTAAAGTTGATCTTGCTCTGTGCCAATTTTCCCCACTTACAGCAAACTGTCACTCTTCCCCATGGTGAGCAGCAAAAGGCTGATGCTGAACCAGGAAGGACTGGGGGCATTACAAAACCTTATTTTTGGGGCAGCGGGGACAGAGTCTTGCTCTGTCGCTCAGGCTGGAGTGCAGTGATGCAATCATGGCTCACTGCAGCCTCCATCTAGTGGGCTCAAGTGGTCCTCCCAAGTAGCTAGGACTACAGGCACGTGCCACCATGCCCAGCTCATTTTTAATTTCTTGTGGAGACAGGGTCTCACTATATTGCCCAGGCTAGTCTTGAACTCCCAGACTCAAGTGATCCTCCCACCTCAGCCTCCCAAATTGCTGGGATTACAGGTGTGAGCCACCATGCCTAGACATAAAAACATTTTTGAAGCAGTAAAATCCTGATTAGAAGAGCTTGAGAGGTGTGTGTGTGTGTCTGTGTGGATGTGTGTGTATGTGTATGTGCGTGTGTGTGCGTGTATGTGTATGTGTGTGTGCGTGTATGTGTGTGCATGTGTGTATGTGTGTGTATGTGTGTCTGTGTGTGTGCGTGTGTGGGTATGTGTGTGCGTGTGTCTGTGTATGTGTGTATGTGCATGTGTGTATGTGTGTATGTGCGTGTATGTGTGTATGTGCGTGTATGTGTGTGTGAGTGTCTATGTGTGTGTGTGTGTATGTGTCTTTTCGTTTCTATTCTTGATTTTTGTTTGTATTCTCTCCAAGTCAATAAGTTAACTTAAAACACAAAAAGACAGGAAACAAAGTTTTCATTTCCAATAACATCAAAATATATTATTCCAAAAACTTCAAGGTCAAAAGAATTCTTCTGTTCTTTTATCACTTGAACAAGCAGCAGCATTAAAAATATATATTTTTTTATTATACTTTAAGTTTTAGGGTACATGTGTAAAATGTGCAGGTTTGTTACATATGTATACATGTGCCATGCTGGTGTGCTGCACCCATTAACTAGTCATTTAACATTAGGTGTGTCTCCTAATGCTATCCCTCCCCCCTCCCCCACCCCACAACAGGCCCCAGTGTGTGATGTTCCCCTTCCTGTGTCCATGTGTTCTCAATGTTCAATTCCCACCTATGAGTGAGAACATGCGGTGTTTGGTTTTTCGTCCTTGCGATACTTTGCTCAGAATGATGGTTTCCAGCTTCATCCATGTCCCTACAAAGGACATGAACTCACCATTTTTTATGGCTGCATAGTATTTCATGGTGTATATGTGCCAAATTTTCTTAATCCAGTCTATCATTGTTGGACATTTGGGTTGGTTCCAAGTCTTTGCTATTGTGAATAGTGCCGCAATAAACATACGTGTGCATGTGTCTTTATAGCAGCATGATTTATAATCCTTTGGGTAAAATACGTATTTTTAAGTGAAATACCAGTGCCTCAATAACTTCTCTTTGAGTCATAAATTCAGCTATGAGCTGCTGCACGCACCAATTTCACGAGCCACCTCTTTGTGCCTTGAAAATTAGAGATAAAAATAAAAGCAAGACCTATTGATCTCTTACCACTGTGAAAGACATGATCGGGGGGTTTCCTTATGTCAGACAAAATCACACTGTCCTTTCCAAATCGTTTCCTAAAGGGAAAATTAACCCACACAAGTTGGCAACATCTAGAATGCAATGAGTCCTGTGAGAAGTCTTTTAAAATAAGAACTGTAATTTTCTGCCAGCCTCCAAATCTCTACTTCCTCTTCATCCTCAATTCCCACACCTTCAATTCTTATCTCTCTCACACTCAGGCCTCTATTTCCCTGCCCACGACTCTCTCTTCTGTTTCTCCTCTCACCTGACTGTTAACCCTATGCTTGTCACCGGTTTCTTCCCATTACCCCCCAGAGTTTTTACCTCTTCCTCATCATTCTTCTTATCTTCTCTCCCCTCTTCTTATTCTCTTACCCCATTCTCTCCAAATCCCACACTCTTCCCTTCCAGTTTGCACCTGTACTTCCCTTGGTTCTCAAACAACTAAAAGTCAAAGTGATTCACTGGGAGATGTGTGTCTCACTTTGCCTAAGTTAGGAAACAGAAAGAGAGCAAAGGACCAGTCTGGAGATGTTAAGTCAAGGGCCTACGACAAGTCTGGGATATTCAGAGGCAAAATAAAATGTATTTTAGGCTGGGCACAGTAGCTCACATCTGTAATCCCAGCACTTTGGAAAGGTGAGGTGGGCAGATCACTTGAGGCGGGCAGATCACTTGAGGCCAGGAGTTAGAAGACCAGCCTGGGCAACATAGCGAGAGCCCATCTCTACCAAAAATAAAAAAAATTAGCCAGGCGTGGTGGTATGTGCCTGTAGTCCCAGCTACTCGGGAGGCTGAGGCAGGAGAATCACTTGAACCCAGGAGGTGGAGGTTATAGTGAGCCGGGATTGCACCACTGCACTACAGCCTGGGTGACAGACTGAGGCTCCAACTCAAAAAAAAAAAATCTGTATCTATATCTATATCTCTATATATCTATATCTATAGCTATATATAGCAGTTATTTAGATATATCTTAACAATGGTAAGGAGCAAGAGGAGAGAGAAAAGAAGTTTAAAAGGCATCCCAATGAGCTCCATATACTTAACAACTCAGATTTTAAATTTCAAGTTTTTAGGGCTCTTACCTCAAAAGATTAGCAAGCCCCACTCCCAGCTGGCCAAGAGCCCCTAGATGAAGAAGAAAAAAAAGTGAAGGTTTAATGCAAATCTAAACAGTTCAATTATTCCCAGAATGTAATAACTGAGTGAGACTAGTTTTCAGTCTTAGCTAACTACGTAAGTCCTAGGTTGCACTGATATAACTGCTGCTTACTTCCAATCTTCCCAGGAACGTGGTGCAGCGCTTAGAAATGCAATGATCTCCCCCATGCTAGGACAGAGACCAATACAGGTAACATTCGTTTCAGAGACAACACTTACCAGCATGGAGTGGTTCCGAGAAAGAGGAGAAGCAAGGGCATTAGAAGAGAAAAATCTCATGAAAGCCAGACACAGGTCTGGAATTTCTTGGGGCAGGAACTCAATCTTGGCCTTCATTATTTTCATGAACTTTGAAGCTTATCTGCTATGGGTGACAAAATCATTCAAAACCAGTATGAACAGATTCATATCCACCTCTGGTGACATGAGGCAGAATCCCATCCTCCATTAGAAGTGGACTGGGATATGAAAGGGAAAAGAGGCAGGGAGAAACCAAGAAGTCATTTGAAAAAGGGGCAGACAACTGAATCAACAAGGCACCACTGAGAAAGTTAAAGTGAATAGTGCAGCTTCTAGTTTGAAGAATTAAACATGCCACTGATAGAAACGGGAGGCCAGTGGGCTAGGAGCACATTTGGGTAAGGACAACAGTCCATTTCATTTGAGAGAAACTGATGAGGCAGGAAGATATAAAAGTGGGACTTCCTGTAACCATTTGTTAACTTGGGAATAAAACCAGGACACCCTGAAAGATGCATCATTAGGGGAGGTGAGAGGGAATAAAACAAACACTCGGACAACACGATGGGTGAATCGGAGGAAAGGCAGAGAGGGACATCTACTAAGCTTGAAACTTATTTCAGCACCAGAAGTGGACAAGGCAGTCAAAGAGTACACACACACACAGACACACGAAAATGAGAAGGATAATGCTGTAAAACCAAGGGAAGAAAGCCTGGCAAGAAAGAGAAAGAAGTAAAACATGTCCATCAAACTGGAGGTAGGTTTGGGCTGGCTGGAAGTGACAGAGTAAAGTCTGGAGTGAGAAGGATACAAAATCAGGGGCTGAACATATTTGAGGTGAGGAGGTTCAGGGAGCGAGTCACTGGCAATGATGACCTCAATGGCAACAATGAGCTCAAGGGCCATGATGGGCTCGAGGACAACAATGAACACTGCAGCAACAAGTCCCTTGACCAGACGCTAACTTACCTTCTCTATTTCCAACATGCAAATGTGCAATAACAGTTTGGGATTAATGACTCTGAGTTTAGGTTCAGGACTCTGGCCAAGGAACAGCGTGCCTAACACCAGAATCAATGTTCTAGCCCCAGCACCCTCCTGTCCACTAGCCTTCACTCCCCAGACTGATCCTAATATGGAAGGAAACCAAGTTCCAGAGCAGCTATTTGGCCCCCAGTTTCCTAGATTCCTTCGAACAACAACAAAAATTACGGCAGGCAAAACCAAGTGCTGGCAACAGTGATGAAATAAGGATTTGGATTTGCAAAATTCTAAGAAACAAACAAAAAAGCCAATAGTGAAAAAGACAGTGTCTGATCAATAAGATCAGCTGCTCTAATTTAAAACTTTTGTATTATAAAATACCTCATTCTGAAATCCTTTTCATAGTATAGAGAATAGATCCAGATTCTGTCATCTGGCCAAGCCTGTTTTTGCTGCATTATCGGCTACAGAGACAGGCAGTATGGTTCAGATAGCATATTACACATTCCAAAAGCAAAGGCACAGACACATAGCACAGGAAAGAATCAAGCCATGCAAATAGAAAAAAGAAAAGAAAAACTAACCTGTAATTAAGACTCGTGGATGGTCTGTGTCAGAGAAAGACGCAGAGTGGAAGTTAGCATCTGCTGGAATTTGCCGAGGGGAGATGCCCAGAAAGCGGACCGGCAGGACAGGCGTCCAACAGCCACAGGCTGGGCTCTGCCCCGCTCGCCTCAGCATCCTAATGAACAGCATTTTCTTTTCAAATACCTTGTGAGAAAAGAGCAGAGTTAAAGATGTGAACTTTTATCCCTCCAGCTCTTCAAAACAAACTCTTCAGCTAAAATGAACGCTAAGATTGTCAGCGAATGAGCAAAGCTATGCTTTTATTTTATTTTATTTTTTTAAAGCTATGCTTTTAGATTCAGGAATCGAACTAAAGAGACTGCTGAGTTCGCCGATAGGAAGCCAGTCAAGGGCCTCCTGTGAGCCAGGCCCTGTGATAAAGGGATAAAGTGTTGCTCACACAGAGTCCAGCCAAACAAAGGCCAAACTGAGATTCAGAACTGACACCGCACAACGCTGACACCAGCTGGGATCTAATGCAAAAGAGGCGGTAACTGCACAGAGAACGCGCATATCACAGAGACAAAGTCGGTGGATCCTAGCAAAGGCTTTAAGTCTTGACTGCAACTGTTATCAACTTGTCCACACAACGTCTGAGGATACAAATGGGTCCCAGATTAAATACAAAGTGCCCTGTAAATCTTGTGTTAACACTCACGTTATGATGAACCAGCCTAGAAAAGCAGAGGGTTAAGATAAAAGGATAAAAAGTCCCGCAGCAATATTTAGTAAGCTGTGAAGGATTTTTGTTTTTCCATCATCTCTGTAGAGAGGGTCACGTAGAAAAGTCATTTTCTTATTGTTTCAAAGATCACATAATTTAATTTAGTCTACCTCCTCCTCCTCATCAGCTTCAATAGTACCAGCTGACCATGAAATCAGCCCTGGCCTTAGAGGTCAAGATGGTCCAGTCACATATGGCTTCAGACTGCCATGTTCTTCAACGGGTCCCCAGCACCCAGGCAGGCATGTCTTGAGAGTAAACCAGAGCTGCCCAGCTTGCTTTGCTGGTTCTAACAGCAACCCCCCCACCCTCCCTACAGGCAGGCCTACCACATACTCACACTGACCTGTGGCCTCTACTCACTCGCCCCCTGGAAGAGGAAGTCTCTTCCAACAGAAAAGGCAGGTGAGCTTCAAAGCCAATTCAGGTGTCCAGTCCCCTCAACCATCTTCTATTCTGCATTATAAAGGGAAAAAAAGTAAACAAACCACAGTTAGAGACATTTCCTGTAAGATATGAACTTACAGGAAGGTACTCAGTGCCTCAAGTAGATTTAAGACAGTGATTCCAAGTTAAATGCCGGAAGTAGCAGAAGCTTTCTTGCAATCCCTAATCATACCAAAACCCAAATTACAGAAAACAAAAGGAAAATAGTGTCTTTTCAAAACATACGCCTTTTCATACCTTTCTGGGTCATGAGGGTTTTGCTCTTTACTACTCCAAGACAAGACAGGTGGAACCTGCCTGGTGGCTTCTGTGGGGTTAGTGACTGGACCCACCAGGTGCCCAGCATCTATAAGACACCTAAGGCCCTTCACCCCAGCTAATGTTCTCAAATAAGCGAGTAGAAGAGAACCTTCTCACCATGGCACATCTCTGCTTTTACTGCACAGGCCCAAAGTGATGAGGCAGGTGTCCAGGATGGGCCACATTACGGGAAAGGCCTGAGCTTTTCCTCAAGCAACCCTTACAGGAACACTAACTGTAGCCACTGCTGGCACCTGAAACCAGGTAAGCACTTGGATTCTTTTTCTTTTTTTTTTGAGACGGAGTCTCGCTCTGTCGCCCAGGCTGGAGTACAGTAGCGCGATCTCGGCTCACTGCAAACTCTGCCTCCCGGGTTCACGCCATTCTCCTGCCTCAGCCTCCCAAGTAGCTGGAACTACAGGCACCCGCCACCACGCCCAGCTAATTTTGTTTTTTTTATTTTTTTTAGTAGAGACAGGGTTTTACCATGTTAGCCAGGATGGTCTCAATCTCCTGACCTCGTGATCCACCCACCTCGGCCTCCCAAAGTGCTGGGATTACAGGTGTGAGCCACCGCGCCCAGCCAACAACTTGGATTCTTACAGTCACTTATTTCAGCAAGTGCAAAGGGATATTGAGGAAGCCCAGAGACAACATTTCCCAGAACATTCGAGACTGAAAGACAATTCCAATTCCCGAAAGCAAAATAATGAATGGTCACAGTTAAAAAGGCTTTTGTTTTTTTTTTTTAATTTAAAAATTGAAAAGACTGGAACTGCGGGGGAAAGGAAACCCTAAAGATATAAAACAGGTACAAATGTATTCATCTCTTTCTCCACAAAGGGAAAGCATGAAGGAGGCACCCAACAAATTGTTAATTGAATGTGAAGTTTTAGTTCAACAACACGGACAGTTCGTAATGGAGTTGGTTCTTCTTATTCCACTATTATAAGTACCTAATATTTTTTGCTGTTTATATGCCAAAAGCTGGTGAGTGCTTCACAGCACTACCGCAAGCACCACTCCCCTAGAAAACCTACTTCTTAACCACCGCGCAGCAATACTGCCTCTATTACAGAATCGCTTTAACAATACATAGGTATTAAAAACAAAAATAAATTTAAAAACCCTCCAACCATCTACAGCATGTAGCTTTTCCTCTTACTCCTGCCAAGTTAAACTTAATACTCTTCAGGCAGAAGTTCTCTAACTTTTTGATCTTAAAACTCCTTTATACTCTTAAAAATGGAGAACTCCAAAAAGCTACTGTTAATGTTGGTTATATCTATTAATATTTAGTGTTAGAAAACAAATAAATGTTTAACACCTTTATTAATTCATTTAAAACCGATAAACATGTTAACATAAACATCATTATGAAAATAACTATATTTTCGGGAGGCTGAGGCAGAAGAATTGCTTGAACCGGAGATGTGGAGGTTGCAGTGAGCCGAGATGGTGAAACTGCACTCCACTCCAGCCTGGGAGACAGAGCAAGACTACATCTCAAAAACAAACAAACAAACAAACAAACAGTTTTCCAATACAAAAAATATTCAGTGGAAGGAGTGCCATTATTTTAAACTTTATACTTCTCTTTGATAAAATAAAAAAACTGGATTTTCATATCTGCTTCTGTAACTTGTTGCTCTAATTGAAAAAAAATCCAAACAGCAGTGAAAACAGGAAATGGTATTTTATTCATTTTTTCAAATAACTCTGGATGTTTATCTTTGCTACCACTCCAAAACTGAATGCATCAGTCTTCTTAAAGGTTAGTTGTGATGCAGAATCTGAAACCTTATCAATGAACTTTTTGTACTTTTCTACATTAAAACTTACTTTAATGCTTTAAAGCAATGGTCTCCAACCTTTTTAGCACCAGGGACCAGTTTTGCGGAAGACAATTTTCCGTGGACTGGGAGGAAAGGGGGTGGTTTCGGGATGATTCAAGCACATTCCATTTATTGTGTACTTTATTTCTATTATTATTGCATTGTAATATAAAATAATTATTGGTTCAGCAACTTATGCACATTGTCCAAATATTAACACACTTCACTATATAATATTAAAAAGTCCTACTAGGTAATATCACCACTGGTCTCATCAGAAAATTCCTAAGTATGGGGAAGCTGTCAAGCTCATGGTGGTAAATAGAAATTAATTGGCAACAAACACTGTTAGTTGTTTCCTTGAAGTGACAGGCTCACTTCGTTCATGTTTTAGAATATGTCTGGCAATGATCCAAGTATGAATACTCATTGTTTGTCAGTCTGTCAAGCAAAAATGGTTTTCTATTAAGAAAAGTGGCCAGTTCAGCTCACAATTCAATCACACACTGCTTTACCTGAAGACAACCATCACACTTTGAAATATGTCACAGAATGCTTTATGGGCACTTTCCTACACTATACAGCATATCAAAGAGATGCATACTCAGAAGTCAAGATTTAATCCAGACAGTCATTTTTACTGTTTCATCGGGACATTCTTAAGTCAGGCTGGCAATTTTCTCTTATTTTTTATTGAAAGCACAGGGCAGTAAAGAATACAGTGACGACTAGAACAGCCTGGTACCATCTGCCTTGATTTGCACAAAGGCACCAGGAGTTTTACCCAGCATTGCTCTGGCACCATCAATGCAAATTCAATGCACTTGTTCCAGAATGAACCACTAAATTCAAAAAAGTTATTCAACACTTTGAATATCTCAGCACTACTCATGTTTGCTACCAAGCATTCACTAAAAAGATACTCTCTATTGTAAAGATAAAGGATTGTATATTGTATTACATATTACAATAAAAAGATTATCTAAAAAGGTATTGATTGGTTTGGTGCTGATACCAGAAGAATACAAGCAAAATGGCACCTCTAGTCTTTCTTCCATTTGTAAGGCAGAAATACACTTCTACAGTCAATATACTAACTGGGTCTTCACGTTTCAGCTAAATCTTTAATTTGGCAGATTACTGTATCATTGGAAAGTTGAAGTGCTATGAGCTCTTTCAATGCTTTTTCATCTAAACAAGCCTTTATCGTGTGTTTCTGCGACCAACGCAACTTGATAATTTACCCTGCTTTATGCTTCAACTTTGTCGGTTTCAGTTTGAAAAGCTATGACAAAAATTTCTGGCTTTTAAAAAGCTCATTACATCCACACTTAAACGATTCAATTCATTTTTCTTTAGAGGACTCTGAATGGTTGGTCTCAAAATCATGCTACTGGCACCATAATACCATTGAAAATGGTTCTCTGGCATAAGATTCATAAGACCAATTACTAACAGCTATAAAGCTGAGGAAAGCTTTCACCTTGCCTTAGTTTTGCCCATTTCTCTGGAGTAAATTCCTCCCTTTCATGATTCAGAAACTCTGACATATTCATTTCATTTTTTCAGCGTTTTAGGCATAGGTAGTGCACCTGGGAGCTGAAAAAAATCAACTTTTCTAATATCCCCCTGTTAAGCCAATAATCTATCCTTAAATACAAAAATACACAAATATCCTTTTATTTTAGAATAAAATATTACATTCAAAAATAATTTTATACCATTTGAAATTTTAGAAAGGCTTTCCAATCAAGACTACAGAGTGTACTTTTTGTTGTGTTTTCATATAGGCACAGAAAACTCTGGGACTTCAAATTAATAACTTATTAAAAGAAAATGAGGTCACAGATATAACAGGTCTAAGTGAAGACAGCCAGTGAGTGCACAGTAGAAATACTAAGTGCAAATTGAGTTCATCTCTGAAAATGCAGATACTTTTATCCTAACCCTAACACCTTAGAAGACTGAGAAACAGAAGAATACACAAGCACAAATCCCATTAGTCATGACAGGCAAAGCTCTTTGCAAGTCATGTAATCTCTGGGCAACTCACTGCACACTTGTGAGAGAAAGAATGAAAAAGGTAAATAACACCTTAGTATTCTTTTCAAAAATAGTTTTGTCCTCATGGACCCTACAAAAGGTTTCAGGGATCCTCCACAGTTCCCCAGATTACAATTGGAGAGCAGTTGTTCTGAAGTAAAACTTTCTTTGCCAAGCTACATACTAAATTTACATAGAGAAAGCCATCAAAGATGATTTTCAGTCCCTCCTACCTAAAGACCAAATGATAGCCCATACTTTCTTTCCCAAGCACCTTGTTTACTTTCATTGCAAGGGACAAACAGGAAAAGGTTAACATAGTCTTCTCCACAAATAATGAAGCACTTTCCCAACCTGGGCCTCTCTGGGTTGGTCATGGAAGGTCATGACTTCTTCCATGCCCCTGCATATCCACTTATCTGCATTAACAGCAGCAGCAGTCACACAGCAGCGCCATCTGGAAATGAGGGGGCGATACAGATACTGACTCATGGCTCAGCTGGCTTGAGTGATTGCTTCCACATGGGTGGGTGGTGAAGGTGTCAAGAATATGAAGGTCTCTAATTTGGGCGCTGCAAGAATGGGCTTTCTAGAGAAGCAGCAGGTCAGGTGAGAAGACAAGTGAGTTTGGTTGTGGACCTGCTGGGTTTAGGTGCCTCTCCCGGGAAGTTGTGAAGCGTGTTCGTACTCACTCAACGCTGTGTCTAAGAGGCAGACAGTAAGGGGAAACCATCAGAGGTTTACATCTCAAAAAATCAAATGATCCTGTTCTCAGGGGAAAAAAGTTACTTCAGTTTATTGGGGTGTGGCGGTGGGGGGTGGGGAGGGGACTTAATTCAACTATGATTGCTCTAAAAATAGATAATTTTTTAGATATTAAGGAAACTTCCACCCATAATACCGAAGGCGACTAGATACGCAACATCAGTTTTCCTCAATGTTCTTGCTGTCATGAGATCTCCTAACATTTCTGGCTGTAATTACTCTTAGGGATGGAGATAGTAAAAGATGTATTAAGTAATGTCTTTAACAATTAAGCGGGAAACTAAGATATCCAGCCTCCAATAGATGAACGGGTAAAGAAAATAGGGTCTACAAATACAATGGAAGTTTTTCAGCCTTAAAAAAGAAGGTGATTCTGACACTTGGCTACAACATGAGTGAAGCTCAAAGTCATTAGGCTAAGTGAAATAAACCAGTCACCAAAGGACAAACACTGTATGCCTCCACTGACGTGCATTATTTAAAGCACTCAAAAATTCACAGAAACATAAAGCAGAAAGGTGACTGGCTGCCAAGGGCTGGGGTAGAGGCAGAGAAATTAGTGTTTAATTAGCGCAGAGTTTCAGTTTGATGAACAAGCGCTGGAGATTGACTGCACAACAGCGTGAATATACTTAACGCTACTGAACAGTATGCTTAGAACTGTTTAGGATGGTAAATCTAATGTTACGTGATAGGAATCACAACTACAACCTACAATAGAGAAAAAGTTTTACAGTGTTCAGCACCAAGAAGTGACCTGCATGCATATATGTATATATGTATCTGAAGAGTGAGAAAACTCGCCTAACATAGATCAATATTGCCCCCAGAGACCCAGCAAACTCCAACCCCCCCAGCCCTTGTCCTCTCTCCGCCTCCACTTGCAAACGTGCTTAAACCTATTACTCTCCCACTGCCCGCTCCTTCCTTCCAGCCTCAGGGGTCTGCAGGAGCATGTACGCTGCTGGTACCTTCATGCCTAGCCCCTCACAACGGGCCTTCCCTGCTCTGGACTGGGTGATAATTGCCCAGTTTACAACTTCCTGGCGCCAATGCCCCCTGCCCCCTCCCCACTTCTAACTTAATACTTATATGTCCATGCCCACCTTCATTTTCACTGCGTTCCCCCACTCCAATCTTATTCTGCTTTAAGGAGCAAGAAGGTTTACCAGACGCATTTTCAAGGCAGTCTGGGCTTTAAAACCTCTGACTCATTACATCATCATCATCACCAATGCATCCTCTTAATAGTAATGATCCAAGGAAAAATCAGGCGCCTGGTAACTACGGAGCGTTGGTGAAGCATCTGCTTTCCTGAACTCTTCTTAAACCCTCACAGCAACCCTGAAGCTGGGACCTTTTCCCCATTGTTCAGAATCCACTGACCCGCCCAAGGTGAGGCAGTTACTAACTACCAAGTGAGGTAGGTCCACCGTGTCCCATACCCTCTACTTCCACCACCCCGACTCTTCCCACTTAAGAGATGAGATCAGATGCCTAAGAAGAGACAAAGAGGAAGAAACACCCCCAGGGCCACGCAGGGGGCACCTTTCCTGGCAGCCTGCACCCCTCCCCAGGGGGAGAGCACGGACCAGCCAGGGGGTCGCGGCCCGCGGCCCGCCTAGCTGTGTGCGCCTGGCTTCTTGCCTCGCCAAATCTCAAGTTTCCGCGTCCTCAGAAAGGGGGCAATCACCATGCCATCCTAATAGACTGTTGAGAGCGTTTAATAAAAGCAGTCAATCTATGAAAAGCACTGTGCAAACTGCGCGGTCAGTGTAAAGGCTCAATCCACATTCGCTTTCTCTCTCTCTCTTTTTTTTTTTTTAAACTCTCTGGGCTGGTAAAGTCTGAACTTTACGTGGGGATGATCTGAAAGCTAGAAAGGATCGAGAAAAATCCCAAAGCTCTAAGCCTGAGCTAGGGAGGGTCTCAGAGGGAGGTCTGACTGCAGACCGGGAGTCTTCTCCTCCCGTGCGCCGCTGCCCGGGACGAGAAACCCGTGGGGCATCCAGGACTAGGACACGAGGTCTCAGCCTGGGCAGGTGGACAAGCTGTGGGGTCCCACCCTCCGCAGGCGATGGCTTCCCAAAGTCTGTACAAACCGGTTTCGCCGGGCCGGCCATGCCCGCCCCTCTTCTCGGCGTGGGAAGCCCTTTCAAAAGTGGAGGGGAGCGAGTGTCGCGCCCTGCCAACCCCGACTGCGCCTGGGCCCTCCCCGCGCCGGGCTCCGGAGCCGCCCCTCCTGACTCTGCGACCACGGCCGGGGACCCTGCGCGCGCCCGGGAATGCAGAGTCTCCAGCGCCGCGCAGGGCTCGCCCCGACCTCGGCCGGCCCTGGGCAACCCGCTCCGCGGCCAGTCCCCACTCCAAGATGTGGCTCGGCTCCCACCTCCGCGGGGGGGAAATGTCGGGCGACCCCCACACTGACCTTCCTGCGCACCCAGCGCAAACTACGAACCCAGAGTTGGAGCTGCCCGCAGACCCCGCGCAGCCAGACCCCGCGCCTTTATCCCGCCCCGCCCCGCCCCGCCCGGCGCACCAATCCCCGGCCGAGGAGGGGCCGCGTGGCGCCGCGGGGGGCGGGCCGCGCACGCCCCCCGCAGGGAGGACTCAGGGACAGTCAGGGCCCCGGGAGAGTCCGCGCGCATCGCCCGGCTCCGCGGCGCCAGCCATGGCGTCCGTGCGTGGCCCCGCCAGGGATGGGGCGACGCGGTCAGAGCCGCACGCGACCGAAATCCGCACTCTGGAGCCGCAGAGCGCGCGGTCTTGCTGTTTAGCGGCTCCCTGGCAAGTGACGTGGGGAAGAAACGCAGGGCGCAGGAGAGACAGCTGGAAAGGTTTGCGGTGTAGCTGGCCCAGGATTGAGGGTCTGGAGGTCGGGTGTTGGAAGACCTTGAGCGAGGCACTTCTTGGCCTCCCCAGCTGGGAGGCATCGCTGAAAAATTAGGTGACCCCCAAGACGGTAGACCAGCAGAGTCAGCGTCACCTGGGCGCCGGTTGGAAATGCAGATTGGCAGGTCCCACCCCCAACCCCTCCCGACTTGCTGAGTCAGCATCTCTGGGGGTGGGGCTCGCGCGCCCCCAGCGGGACGCCGGTGCGCGCAGTAGCTTAAGAAGCTGGGTCCAAGGCGCTGGTTCTCAAACTCCGCTGCATATTGCAATCACCTGGGAGCTTTTTAACCTCCAAACGCCCAGGCTGCCCCCGGACCAAATGACAGAATCTCCGGGGCTGGGGGGGACGGGGATAGAGAAGCCCAGACCTAAGTATTTTTTTAAGCTCTTAAAGCGATTCCAGTGTGCTGTGAAGGTTGGACCCACGGTGTGGTCTCTGGACAAAGCAGCCCCCACTCCAGACCTACCGAACCAGGGAATCTGCATTTTAACAGGATCCCCAAGTGACTTGCAGGCGCCTTCGGTTTGGGAGAAACAACTCTAAGGTGTCTTCTGACATTAACAATCTGTGATTTTGTGAAATCTGTCTCGTTTTGTTTAGCGGGCTAGCCAGGCCCCGTTTTCTTCAGCTTCTCCCTTGACTTGATCCCTGAAGATGGCTCTGCCTCTGGCGCCCTTGAAATATGTCGACTAGGTCATGATCACCGTGCATTCTGCTCAGCGTAGTCTCCCCGCCTGAAGTGTTATTAATGCAGTCTAAAATGACTACGGTTCTGCGGTCTACCGAACTGCCCACGGAGGTAGGGGTTTCAGACTTTTGGCATCTCAAGAGACTTGAGATTACCGAGACCACGATACCCCCAGAGACGTGACGAGATGGGATCAAGGCCACGGGGGACCAGAATGCTGACCCAGGCAACCTGTCCCTGCCTCGCTGCCCTTTGTAATACTCCTTATCATATCATGAGGAGCTATTTTCCGTTCTCCACAAACTTGGTGGTGGATGGAAGAGGATATCAAGCTCACCTTGAGTGGGATTGAGGTAGGAGGCGGGGCTCAGACACCAGACCAGATTGAGGACAAACTAAAGCAAGGTCAGGGCCAAAGCAGCTTTCCAACAGATAGGACCACCAGGGTGCCACGTCAGTTTACCGTTGCCATGTCAATACCAGGGAGTTACCGCCCCTTTCCGTGGCAGTAACCCAATAATTACCACCCCTTCCCTAGAAATTTCTGCATAAACCGCCCCTTAATCTGTATGCAATTAAAAGTGTGTGTGTGTGAGTGTGTGTGTGTGTGTGTGTGTGTGTATGTGTGTGTGTGTGTATATATATATATATATATATATATATATATATATATATATATATATATATAAAACTGCAAAACTGCCCTGAGCTGCTCCTCTCTGCCTATGGGGGAGCCCTGCTCTGCAGGAGCAGTCACGGAGCTGTAACCCTGCCTCTTCAATAAAGCTGTTTTCTTCTACCTCTGGCTTGCCCTTGAATTCTTTCCTGGGCAAAGCCAAGAACCCTCCTGGTGGAAGCTCCACTTTGGGGCTCACCTGCCCTGCATCAGGATTACAGGTGGGAGCGTTGCGGAGTAGAGCGATCCGCTGACACTGCCTCTGGTCTGCATTGGGGAATGGCGGCCGGTCGGGCGGGGTCACAGACCATAGCTTCAAGCTTTGTTCTTGGGGATTCCAGGGACTGAAAAGTGGGTGCTTTCTGGCTACCTAGCATCCACTTCCTCTCTTCCCCATGCAAAGAGGCTGAAGTGAATGGCGTCAGTCCTCGCCCTCCTCAGTCAAGGGGCAGACACTATCTGAGATTTAAATCCTGTCCCCACTAGCAGAGGCCCTCTGAGGCCAGTCCCGCCCAGGGACACTGCCAAGGGCTTCCTGGCTCTAGGACCGCCTTGGGTTTCTGCCCCTTCAGGCTGCTTCTCCAGTCCTCCCAGTGAGCCTGTGTCCTCCTCAGACCCTTTGGCTTCTGTCTGCAAAGTAAGTTTCTGTCCTAACTTAGGGAGTGATAATATTCAGAATTTCTCTCCATTTTCACGGTTGAGATTTTGGCGCTAAAATCACAAACCCAAATAAAAAAATAAATAAGAACAAATAGCCTCTAGTCTATATTCATATAAATAAATAACTGAATGAGTGACTAAATGGGGGGAAAGGGCAACTCTTTTTTTTCTTCGAGGCAAGATGTCACTCTGTCGCCCAGGCTGGAGGGCAGTGACATGATCTCAGCTCACTGCAGCCTGGCCGACAACTCTTTCTTGCAGAATTCCAATTAATACATATGGAAGGAATGAGAGACTTGGCAAATCACCACTGAAACACTACTGCAATCATTGCTGCAGGCAGGGTCCCCAGATGTGGCAAAATTAGCTGGGAAAGCCTAAGGAGAAGCAGGATATTTGCATAGTCTCAAAGCATCTCTCCCAAAATAGATGTTTATCAATAACAAAGGGAAAAATAGTAACTTTGCAGTGAACAAAACTGGCATCACCACCTTAACCACGTGACCCAGGTTTACCTCTCCAGAAACGTGTTGACAGAGGAGGCGCTGGGAAGAGCGCAGCACCCCGGAGGTTTTCCTGCCCAACAATGCACAATCTCATTATGAGAAAACATTAGACAACCCAAATGGAGGAACATTCCTACAAGGTAACTGACCAGTACCCTTCAGAAGTCTCAAGGTCACAAAAGACAGGAAGACTGAGGAACTGTCACAGATTAAGGAGACAATGACTCCTGTCACGTGAAATCCTGGATTAGATCTTGGGACAGAAAAAGAGCATCAGTGGAAAAACCAGTGAAACACGAATAAACTTTCTAGTTTAGTTCATAGTACAGTGCCCTTTTTACTTCCTTACAGATTACTTCTCCATTAGAGTTGTACTACAGTTATGTAAGAGGTTAATATAAGGGGGCACTGGGTGAAGGGTTCAAAGGAACTCTACTATTTTTGCAACCTTGTCTGTCTAAAATGATGTTGGCCAGGCATGGTGGCTCAAGCCTGTAATCCCAACACTGGGAGGCTGAGGCAAGTGGATCACTTGAGGTCAGGAGTTTGAGACCAGCCTGGCCAACATGGTGAAACCCTGTCTCTACTAAAAAAAAAAAAAAAAAAAATTAGTCAGGCTTAGTGCCACGTGCCTGCAATCCCAGCTACTTGGGAGGCTGAGGCATGAGAATCGCTTGAACCTGGGAGGCAGAGGTTGCAGTGAGCCAAGATCGCACCACTGCACTCCAGCCTAGGTGACAGAGCAATACTCCATCTCAAGAAAGAAAACAAACAAAAAAGATCTTAAAATAAAAACTTTAAAAAGTATCTTGATAAGAAAAAAAAAGTAAAATTTGTTACTTGGTAAAAATGACTAAAGAGCTTCCTGACAAATGTTCATATGTAAAATTTCACTTGGGAAAAATATACTTTGTAGAAATAATGACCACGAAAGTAGACTGACAATGGGAGAAACGGTTTAACGAAAGTCAACTGACAATGGGA
Source organism: Homo sapiens (assembly GCF_000001405.40). Lineage (NCBI taxonomy): Eukaryota > Metazoa > Chordata > Mammalia > Primates > Hominidae > Homo > Homo sapiens. The sequence goes on from NW_018654717.1 coordinate 2,003,124, forward strand.
GAAATGGTTTAAACCTGAAAGGAGCAAAATCACTGGATATTGAATCAAATCTTTGTTGCAAAATGTAATAGAAAGTAGTGAATTACAAATAAAATTCAGTAAAAGAAAAAGGGAAAGGAGGGAAAATGAAATCACTCAGAGAAAATCGATTACAGGCTTAAATTTCTAAATGAAAAGATTTTTTCTTCATATGCAATTAGAGAATGTGAATACATTTGTGACAATAAGTTCCTAAACAGGACATATCAAAACATTCTGTTTTAGTTTGTTTGCATAAGATACCTAGATGTATGGTTCAGGAAGAATGGACAAAATATGCAAATTCCATGCTTCATTTCAAGATCTCACAGTGCTTTAAAATATGAAGGGAGAGGCTTGTTTCTGTATAAGGTCTAATAGCATTGCCTGGACAGGGACTTATGCCCAGAATGACTAAAGAAATTAAGCCCCAGGGAACATACAAGTAAATTACATCATCAAGCCACAACTTCTGTCCTTAGTTATTTAATGAAAAAGTAAATAAATAAATAAAAGCACCAGGTCTCCCCTTCCAGTTGCAGGAGTAGAGGGTCTAGAACGATAATGTTCCATACAATAGTCACTAGCCACATAGGGCTATTAAATCCTTGCAACGTAGCTAGTTTGAACTGAAATGTGCTGTCAAACACCAGATTTTGAAGATATGGCGTTTAAAAATGTGACTATCCGTTAATGAATTTCATATTGTATGTTAAATGGAAAATATTTTTAGTAAGGTAAGTTAAATAAAACATATTACAATTCATTTCACCTGTTTTTTTTACTCTTGTGTGATTAATAGAAATTTTTAAATTATATATGTGGCTCATATTAGATTCCCAAAGAACAGCACTGACCTAGAAGTTCTGAGAGAAAGTTCTGTAGGCTATGGACACCCTCTTTCTCCGTTATTTGTAAAAGGCCAGCCTTGACCCTTCATTGGTCTAAGAATTACTTAGACCCTTGAAGATTGCCACCTTCCAGCAGAAGCAATGAAAGCAATGCTGGTAACATCTAAAATAAAAATCCAAGCCATGTCCTGTAATTCACAACCTCCTTCTAGAGAGAAATTACTATTTCTGAAACAAAACAAAACAAAACAAAAAACTCCTTCATGGACTCTTTGATTACGACTTGCTCTGATAAGCTAGTTACCTACTAACCTCCACCTCTTGGTTGACTGCTGATGGTTAGGAAGCTGGTGACGTTGAACCAGACTTTTTCTTTAAACATTTAGCCTAACAATTATTACCAAGTTCAGTAGTTATCAAACGGTGGCATGTAACAGAATCACCTGCAGAGCTTGTTAAAACACAGATTTCTGGTCCCTACGCCAGAGTTTTTTATTCAGTAGGGATAGGGTGGGGTCTGAGGGTGTATTTCTAGCGAGTTTCCAGATGATGCTCATGTTGCTGACCCAGGGACCATGCTCTGTGGACTGTTGCCCTAATAATTCACCTTTCCCATGAAATGTCCCTATCTAGAGTAAACCTTTGAATTGGCCTATTAGAGATCTTCTCCCAGTATACAAGATTGTAATTAAATGTTGGCACATAGCCATAAACAAATTATCTGACAAAACTTCTGTAACCCAAGTTTGTCTGGGCATGGCACGTGATAAGACATATGCCAGTCTTTGTGTCCTGCAGTTTCTGTCTCGTTGTCATTGTAATGGTTAATTTTCTATATCAACTTGACTGGGCCACAGGGTTTCCAGATATTTCTGGATGAGATTAGCATTTACAGTAGTGGACCGAATGAAGGAGAGTGCCCTCCCCAATGTGGGTGGGTCTTATCCAAGCCATTGAAGGCCTGACTAGAACAAAAGACAGGGTAAGAGAGAATTCACTGGCTCTGCCTGATGGTCATTGGGACGTTGGTCTTTTCCTGCCTTTAGACTTGGACTCAAACTGGAAATTAGACCATCGGCTCTCCTAATGCTCGGTCCTTCGGACTCATGCCGCAACACATCATCAGCTCTCCACGGTCTCCAACTTGTAAATCTTGAGACTTCTCAAACTTCATGACCACATGGCCCAATTCCTTATCCCTCTCTGGAGAAAGTAACACAGTCATTAAATGAATCTTAAAATTCTGACAGATAGGGAAGTCACCTTGATTTGAGCAAATCTCCAGAGTTAGCATTAGAAAACACTTTCTTGGCTAGGTGCAGTGACTCATGCCTGTAATCCCAGCACTTTGGGTATCCAAGGCAGGAAGATTGCTTGAGCCCAGGAGTTCAAGACCAGCCTGGACAACATGGCAAAACCCCATCTCTACAAAAAATGCAAATAAATAAATAAAAAGAAAGAGAAAAATAAGTCCAGGTGCCATGGCTCATGCCTGTAGCCTGTAACCTCAGCACTTTGGGAGGCCAAGGTGGGCGAATTACCTGAGGTCAGGAGTTCGAGACCAGCCTTACCAACATGGTCTCTGCTAAAAATACAAAAATTAGCCAGGCATGGTGGCTGGGACCTGTAATCCCAGCTACTCGGGAGGCTGAGGCAGGAGAATCACTTGAACCTGGGAGGCAGAGGTTGCAATGAGCCGAGATCACACTATTGCACTCCAGCCCAGGCAACGAGAGGGAAACTCCGCCCCTCCCCCACCCTGCAAAAAAAAAAAAAAAAAAAGGAAGAAAGAAAAATAAGCCAGGTGTGGTGGTGCACACCTGTGGTTCTAGCTACTTGGGAGGCTGAGGTGTGAGGATAAATTGAACCCAGGGAGGTTGAGGCTGCAGTGAGTCATGATCATGCCATTACACTCCAGCCTGGGTGACAAGACGGAAACTCCATCTCAAAAAAACAGGAAAGCAAAGCAAAGCAAAGCCAGGTGTGGTGGTGCACACCTGTGGTCCTAGCTACTTGGGAGGCTGAGGTGGGAGGATCAATTGAGCCCAGGGAGGTCGAGGCTGCAGTGAGCCATGATCATGCCACTGCACACCAGCCTGGGCAATAGAGGGAGACCCTGTCTCAATGATAATAATAATTTCTTGATGAGAAAACTTGATATATGCATGATATTTATTGAATATTTGTATTTATGAACAGACTCAAGACATCCACCAGGTCAAAATGGTAATACAATGTGCCCTTTACTTACACTTCACATCTTAGCCCTTGTTGGTACCCCATACCCAACAGAGATCCTTTCCCCTAAAAAAGAGGAAATCCCCCTCCAGCAGGCCCCTGGAGAAGCCTTCCCCACACCACGCAGCCAGGCAACCATTGCTTCTCAATGCAGGTAGAAGACTCAGCTACATGGATACCTCCAGCACCATGATGTCCAATGCATGAGTCACATGGCCCAAGGCAGCGAGCTGCTTGTATGGCAGCTAGAACTCACTGCAAAGCCTCCTCCTGATCTTTGAGGCCCATCTCAAAACTGGCGGCCTTTCTTTCTTTTTTTTTTTTTTTTGAGACGGAGTCTCGCTCTGTCGCCCAGGCTGGAGTGCAGTGGCGCGATCTCGGCTCACTGCAAGCTCCGCCTCCCGGGTTCACGCCATTCTCCTGCCTCAGCCTCCCAAGTAGCTGGGACTACAGGCGCCCGCCACTACGCCCAGCTAATTTTTTGTATTTTTAGTAGAGACGGGGTTTCACCGTTTTAGCCGGGATAGTCTCGATCTCCTGACCTCGTGATCCGCCCGCCTCGGCCTCCCAAAGTGCTGGGATTACAGGCGTGAGCCACCGCGCCCGGCCGCGGCCTTTCAAGTCACCTGATAAATGGATCCAGTGGTATTCTCATGAGTGAATCTGCTGTCTATGAAATAGAAGAGGCCTAACCAAGTGCTGTGCCTGTCTCATAGAGGTAGGAGGTGCAAGCTTGAATAAGTTAATGGCTTTATCTTGAAAAGGATGCCTCAGCATGCCCAGACCACCAGCCCTCCAAAAACTCCACCAATGTGGCAGGCCCCTGAATCTTTTCTAGGTCTATCTTCCATCCTCTGGAATTCATGAGTCTTACCGAGGCACCCAACGTACTCACCACTTCTGCTCCCCAGCTCTGACAAACGTGATTCACCAACATAGGGAGCAGCCTGACGTTCCAGAGCAGAGGTCAGCAAATTTTCTGTAAGGGAACAGATTGTAAATACTCTATTTTATTGTCACAGCTACTCACCTCTGCCATCATAGAGTGAAAGCGGCCATAGACATTACTGTACATAAGCAAAGGAGTGTGTCTGTTCGAATAAAACTTTATTTACAAAAACAGGCAGCGGGCCAGATTTGGCCTACAGATCTGGGTTTGCTCATCCCTGTTCTATAGAATAGCCAAATGATTAAGGACCCTTTGGACTGTATTGTGATAGAGAATGAATAATTATTAAAGGCCGGGGGCCATATCATGAATGTATACTGACTCTTCCAAGGGAATAGTTTCTGAAAAGAACAAATTTGCCAGATAAATAGTATACCAATTGTCAGAGGCTTTGTAGGTCTGTTCTAGTAAAGGTGCAACATCTGGGCCTAGCAGCTGTTTGATTGGAGCTACCACTTAATTAAGATTATAATAGATCACTATCAACCACCATGACCTAACTGGATTTGCAGGGGTCAGACTGATGAATTAAAAAGAAATGTTAAGGGGATTGACACCCCTGCATCCTTTAGTCCTGGAGAATGGTGCTAATCTCTGCCACTGTGACATGGCCTTGCACAGGGGGCACACAATGTCCTATAACCTGGACACTATATGACCCTACTCTAAAAGCAGTCATGGTGGCATCAGGAGTCCCATGGCATTATCAGTTCAGATGTTATATCTAACAGCCCTCAAAAGAGCTATGGACTCCCTTCTTCCCAGCACAAAATTATTCTGGTAAATGACCACGTGTCTCTTTGGAGAAGGATTGAAGGAAATTGCTACTGTCTAAAGTTGCCATGGTGCTGCAGAGTCACTCCTTAAAAGGAACTACCTGTCTTCAATCCACAGACTCTGGGTCTTAGAATATTTCAGATTTAGAAACTGAGCAAAAAATGTAATTTTTCATCGTGCCAGCTGACGTCAGCCTTCAACTCACCCATTCTTGATCATATTTTGTATAAGGCAAAGCAGTGACCTCCTTGGCTGCCAGTCTCATCCATAGGAATGCCGTGGTCTATTGGCCATTACCACAGATCGCTGTGGAAAAGGTTCCCCTGGTCACCATTCCAGCTTTGCTTCCCATTACAGGAATTATGTCTACCTTTCCACTGAAGATTAATTGTTGCCATCTGTCCTCTGCTATTCTGAAATTCTATCCTCACCATTGACACTATGGAGCCCGGTTCAATAGAGCCACTTCCCCTACAACGAACTCCAGCCTACAAAGGTCACCACCACTGAGCTTCCCAACAAGGCCAGTGCCACCTCACTAGCACATTTCTTATTGCTATTATGATGGGAAGACCTCTGGACACTCCGGAGAACAACAGAAGCTGGTCCATATAATGAATTCATGCAATCATACCCACCTCCACGTGCCTTTTGACTCATTCTTCAATACTCTGCCGAGGAAGTTCTGGCATCCCCACTTCATTTACTAAAGACCATCATTTTTCCAAGCATCAGCTCCAGATGTCCTTGCCAGGACGCTAAATTCTGAGTCATGGGACAGTGTCTCCAAATCATTGCTCCTCCTTTCCCAATCTTTTCCCCACAAGTCCGAATGCTCCCTCAAGATCCATTCCCAGACATGTTCTCCTTGGACATATTAGCCAAGTCCTGAAGCTGCTGTGAACAATTCCTTGGGGAACTACAGCAGGAACCATGTTGAGATTTGATTCTATTTATATTCATTGTCATAGAATCCTTGAGAGGTGGTGGCAGTAAATCCTAGGAGGACAGGTACTATCTTGTGAAGACTCAACCTCAAGAGTGACATCAAGAAGACAGCAGAGTAGGAAGTGACAGGAATCTGTCTCTCTACCTTTACCGGAGCACATGAATTCAGTCACTGGTACCTAGAATGCAATGAGAGATATGGCAAATGTGTTAAAAATTTATTTTCTCAAGGATCATGAGAAATAGTTTGCTTTTCCCTAGCAGGACCGAGTCTACTTTCACAGTTTTGCCCCAGGGCTATGTCAACACTACTGGCCTCTGCCATATATAGAATGCAGAAATCTCAATTGTTTTGACATTCTTAGACTATCACACCGGACCACTTCATTGAATACATGAAGCTGATTGGATCTGATGAACAGGAAGTGACAAGTACCTGAGATGTCTGAGGAAGACAAATGCAAGGCAGAGGGTAGAGGAAAAACCCCACAAAAATTCAGGGCCCTGCCAATTTGATGAAATTATTGGTGAGTGATGGTCTGGAGAACGTTAAGATATCCAAGGTGAAAGAGAAGTTGCTGCACCTTGTACCACCTATTACTAAAAACCAAGTGCAGTGATGCATCATGACCCTTTTTGGATTTTGGAGGCAACATATGTCACATTTGAGTATACTTCTTAGAGCTACTTAAGTTACTATAAAGTAACCCAACAGTCTGCTGGTTCTGAGTGGCTACGAGAGCAAGAGAAGCCTAGGCAACAAGTCTAGAATGCAGTGCAAGCTGCATTGCTACTCAGCGATCTAGTGATATTTGGTGTCTGTGGCAAGTAAGAATGCTGTATGTAGCCTCTGACAAGTCCCAGTAGATAACAGTCCAGAACTCTAAGATTTTGCAGCAAAACAACGCCCCCTTCTGCAGATTACCATTTTTTCTTTGAAAAACAGCTTCTGGCTTGCTATTAGACCATGAGTCATCAAGAACTCCGGCAACCTGAGGTACTCATTATGAACTGGGAGTTATCTGACTTTCCAAGCTAAACAGTTGGATGCATACAATAGCAATCCATCCCAAGTGGAAATGGTATAGTGGATGGTGCTTGAGCAAGTCCAGAATGCACTAGAATGTTGTATGTGCAGGTGATTCCGATCCCTTTCACACTTACTTCTGCTGCATTGCCTGCTCTCGTTTAGCTGGCATCACTGGCGTCCTGAAGATTTCCTTATGACCGGCACACAGAGGAAGAAAAATATTGGACCTGTCGAGCAGAAATATTCCAAATAACTTTAAGGGTATATTTGCTTACTTTCCTGGCATTGGAGATGGCCAAAAAAGTACTTATCTACATCAATTCATGGACAGTGAATAATGGTTTGGCTGGCTGCCCAGGAAATTGTAAAGAACAAGATTGGAAGATTAATGACAAGGAAGACTAAAGAAGTATTTTAAATACACCTTTCAGACTGGGCATAGAGTGTGAAGATTTTATATTTCGGTGTGAATGTTCACCAAAGGGAATCTAATACAGAGGAGGTTTTCAATAATCAGGTGGACACGTTGACACAGCCTATGGGTCATAGAGCCAAAGGATCAGTCAGCCTCTTTCTCCAGCCACCCCAGGTCCTGGTAAATGGAACCAAATACAAAGTAGTCATGTGGTAGGGATGGAGGCTATGCATAGACTCAGCAACATGGACTTCCTCTGGGCAAGACCAATCTGGCTACTGCCACTGCTGACTACCCAACCTATCAACACCAGAATCTAATGCTGAGCTCTTGATATGGCACTCTTTTCTGAGGGTTGGAAGCAGCCAGCCACCTGGTAGAAGGTTGATTACATTGTACCTCTTTTATCATGAAGGAGTGATTTGTCCTCACCAAAATGTATATATTCTGTATGCAGCTATGCATTCCTTGTCTGTAATACTTCTGCTACCTGAGGATAGAATGTTATTCACTACCATGTTATTTCTTGTGAGTTTAATTGTGTCCTCCCCCCAACTTCACGTGTTGAAGTCCTAACTCCCAGAACATAACCTTATTTGGAAATAGGGTTATTGCAGATGTAATTAGTTGAGATGAGGTCATTAGGGTGCGATATAATCCAGTAAGACTAGAAAATAAAAGGGGAAATTTGAACACAGAGACATGCACACAGGGAGTATGCCATGTATAGATGAAGGCAGAGATCAAGGTAATGCTACTACAGGCCAATTAATGCCACAGACTGCCAGCAAAGTACCAGAAGCTAGGCAAGAAATACGGTCTTGATTAACGTGGCTTTATAATAAATCTTGAAGTTGAGTATTGTCAGTCCTCAACTTTGTTCTTCTCCTTCAATATTGTGTTGGCTATTATGGGTTTTGCTTTTCATAAACTTCAGAAGAAGTTTGTCACTATCCACAAAATAACATTTTGATTGAGATTGCATGGAATCTAGATCAAGATGGGAAGCACTGATATCTTGACAATATTGATTCTTCCCATCCATGAACATAGAATATCTCTATATTTATTTAGTTCATCTCTGATTTCCTTCATCAGAACTTCGTAGCTTTCTTCATGTAGATTTTGTATATATTTTGTTAGATTTATATCTAAGTACTTAATTTTGGGGAGCTGCTAATGTAAATGATATTTTTAAATGTCAAATTTCATTTGTTCATTGCTGACAGATAGGAAAGCAATTGAATTTTGTAAATTAACCATGCACCCTGCAACCTTGCTATAACTGTTTATTAGTTCTAGGAGATTATGGTTGCTTATTTTAGACTTTCTACATAGAAAATCATATCATCTGTGAACAAAGAGTTCTGTTTCTTCCTTCCCAATCTGTATACTTTTTCTGTTTCTGTCTCATTGCATTAGTTATAATTTCCCATACAATGTTGAAAGGAGTCGTGAGAGTGCACATGCTTGTCTTGTTCCTGATATCAGCAGGCAAGCTTCTCAACATTAAGTATGTTAGCTGCAGAATTTTTTTAAGATGTTCTTTGTCAAATTGAGGAAGTTCCACTCTATTCCTAGTTTACTAAGAGTTTTAGCATAAAGTTTTGGATTTTGTGAAAAGCTTTTTCTGCATTTACTGATATGACCATGTGGTTTTTCTTCTTTAGTCTGTTGATGTTATGGATTACATTAACTGACTGGCTGAACTGAAGGCTGATTTAACATTTAACATTTAAATCAGCCTTGCATACATGGGACATCATTCTTTTTTCCATTCCGTCATTGTCTGCCTTCTGATTGAAAAGTGATTACATTTAATGTAATCACTGATAAGGACTTCTGCTGTTTTGTTACTTCTTTTCTGTATGTTTTGTTACTTTCTTGCCCCCCATTTTCCCCATAATGACTGTCTTTTGTGCTTAGTTTATTTATTTTTGGTAGTGATATCTTTTGATTCCCTTCTCATTTCTTCTTGTGTTTTCCATAGATATTTTCCTTGTGGTTACCATAAGCATTACACATAACAACCTAAAGTTTAAACAGTCTAATCTAAACTTATTCCAAGTTAACTTTAATAGTATAGAAAAACGTATGCCTATACAGCTCTGTCCCACGCCCTTTGTTATTGATGTCCCAAATCTTTATACATTGAGTGCTCAATAACATTTATTTTTATGCCTGTCTTTTGATTCCTTAGAAAATAAAAAGTGGAGTTACAAGCCAAAATTACATTAATACTGTTTTTTTATGTTTGCCATTGTATTTACTTTACCAGTGTCTTAGTCCATTTTTCTGCTACTATAACAGAATACTACAAACTGGATAATTTATATACAAGTTTATCTGGCTCAAGGCTCTGGAAGCTGGGAAGTCCAAGAGCATGGTGCCAGCATCTGGTGAGGGCCTTTGTGCTGCCTCATCCCATGGCAAAAGGTGGAAGGACAAGACAGTGTGTGAGACAGAAAAGGACCGGGGCTGAATTTCAGAATCTTTTTTATCAGGAACCCACTTCCATGATAACTAACTCACTCCCATGATAATGGCATTAATCCATATATGAGGGCAGAGCCCTTATGACCTAATCATCTCTTAAAGGTTCCACCTCTTAATACCATCACAATGGCAATTAAATTTCAACATGCATTTTAGAGGGGACATTCAAACCATAGCAACCAGAAATATTTATTTCTTCACTCAGGTTTGAGTTACTGTCTACCATCCTTTCATTTCACCTTCAAGGACTCCCTTTAGCATTTCTTGTATGGCAAATCTACTGGTAACAAGCTCCCTAACATAGATTTATAATTGCTTTTTTATGTTTTTGTCTTTTAATTCCTATGGAAAATAAAAACTGATGTTATAAACTAAAGTTATAATAATACTGGTTTTTATATTTGCCCTAGAATTTATCTGTCGTGGAGATACTTCTTTCTTCATATGGGTTCAAGTTACTGTCTAGTGTTCTTTCATCTCACTGAAGGACCCCCTTTAGCATTTCTTGTCAGGCATATCTCGCAGTAACAAGATCCCTAAGCTTTTTAAAAATCTAGGCATGTCTTAATTTCTCCCTTATTTTTTGAAGGACAGTTTTGCTGGATATATAATTCTCAGTTGACAGGTTATTTTCTTTCAACATTTAAACTATATCATCCCATTGTCTTCTGGCCTCCATTAATTCTAATTAAAAATTAGTTGATAATCTCATTTAGGATCCCTTGTAATGTGATGAGTTGATTCTCTTGCTACTTTCAAGATTCTTTGTGATTTTTGATAGTTTTCATATACTGTGTCTTGGTATGAATCTCTTTGAGTTTATGGTATTAGAGGTTGTTGTAGAGGCTTCTTGGATTTGTACACTTATGTCTTTCATCAAATCTGGGATGTTTTCAGCCCTCATTTTTAAAACACTTTTTTGCTTTTTTCTAGGACTCTCATAAACCATATGTTGGTCCACTTGATGGTATCCTACAAGTCTTGAAGTCTATTCACTATTTTTATTCTTTTTCTTTATGCTCCTCAGAGTGGATAATTTCAATAATCCTATCTTCAAATTTGCTGATCCTTTCTTCTGCCTGATCAAAAACTCTACGGAAGGCTGGGCGTGGTGGCTAATGCCTGCAATCCCAGCATTTTGGGAGGCCAAGGCGGGTGGATCACAAGGTCAGGAGTTTGAGACCAGCCTGGCCAACATAGTGAAACCTCATCTCTACTAAAAATACAAAAATTAGCTGCGTGTGGTGGCATGCACCTGTAATCTCAGCTACTTGGGAGGCTGATGTAGGAGAATTGCTTGAACCCAGAAGGCGGATGTTACAGTGAGCTGAGATCATGCCACTGCACTCCAGCCTGTGTGACAGAGCAAGATTCTGTCTCAGAAAAAAAAAAGCAAAAAACAAAAAACAAACAAACTCTATCGAACCCTTCTAGTGAATTTCTCATCTCAGTTGTCGCACGTTTCAGCTACAAAATTTCTACCTGGTTCCTTTCTATAATTTTTATATTTTTATTGATATTCTCATTTTGTTCAAACATCATTTCTCTGATTTCATTTAGTTGTCTTTTAACTCTTGTGCATATTTAAGACAATTGTTTAGTCTTTGTCTAGTAAGTCCAAAGTCTGGGATTCCTTAAGGATAGTTCAATTAATTTTATTCCTGTAAATAAGCCAGATTTCTCATTTGTTTGCATGCTTTGTGATATTTTTATTATAACTGAACATCTCAATATTATAATGTGCTATGGAAGTTAGACTTTCACTCTTTCCTAGGATTTATTATAATTATTTTTTTTCTTTTATTTTTTTTTTGTCTTCAGTCTTTGTCTTTATTTATCCCTGTCCCTCCCAACCCCCGGGCTCCCAAGTTCTATCTCACTCCTCCACCTTCCCTGTCCTCTCACAGCTGAGGTTCCGGGCTGTAATGATGGCAATGCTGCCCAGCACAACCCCTGCCCCCATGATGTCAGAAAGTGCCACAGTCTCATGGAGCATATAATACTGCAGTATAAGGGCCACAACCACCTCGGAATGCAGGACAGCGCACACCAGGGCAGGGTGGGCCTTGGTGACCGCATAGCCCACACATGTGAAGGAGACCAAGGCGAGGATCCCCTCTGCCCCCACACAACTCCAACTCAGGAGGTCACTGGGCAACACGGGGGTCTGCAGCACAAAGAGGCCTGGCACACAGCCCAGCAGCCCCACCAAGCCAGATAGGAAGGCCACTGTTGGGAGGCAGGAGGGAAAGTGCAGAGAACGATAGACCAGAAGCCCCAGGGACAGCGCCAGGCCTCCCAGGAAAGCCTGCACATAGCCCAGGGTGGTGTAGACACCTGTGGTCCCCTCCTGTAGTGTCCAGAGTCCAGGTCCCAGAATGATGATTAGTCCTAGGATGCTGCCCAACAGTCCACACCACTCGTAGCCACCGAGACCCTGGCTCTCAAGGCAGAGGGTGAGGACAGCGGAGCATACGGTGGAAGAACCTTTGCGAACAGTGGCAGCGTTGCCAGCGGGCACCACCTGAACTGCACTGTAGGCACATCCAATGCTGAGGACGTTGAGCAGGGCACAGAAGCAGGCCCAGCCTCGGATGTCAGGAGGTCCCAGAAGGGGGTCGCCACGCAGTTTAAGTAGCAGGGCAATAGGGAGGTGGAAGAGGCATCGACAGATGAGCAGCTCCAGCGAGGGCAGGTTGGAACCCTGGTAAGCCATACGAGAAAGGGGGCCCACGAAGCCAGCAGGCAGGCCCCCACCCAGCAGGGCCACCAGCAGGCCATTGGTGGCACCAGAGGGCTGGCAGCGCTGGTGCCAGCGGAGGCTGGGTGGAGCGGAGGGCGGCGATGGGTGTGTGGAGTCAGGCAGGTTGAAGTAGGGGTGACTGCCAGCCATCTTTCCTTGGACTTTCTCCTCTCCTCCTGGCTCAGGGAGCCTGGGCCCCTCAGAGCTCCAGCCATTGTGACCTCATTGGAGTGCGGGTGGGGTTCTTCCCTGGAACTCTCCTGAGGTGGTAGCACGCCTATTTTCCCGCTGAGTCCAACTCTGCTTCTTTTCTTTCTTTCTTTCTTTCTTTTTTTTTTTTTTAATTGATCATTCTTGGGTGTTTCTCGCAGAGGGGGATTTGGCAGGGTCATAGGACAATAGTGGAGGGAAGGTCAGCAGATAAACAAGTGAACAAAGGTCTCTGGTTTTCCTAGGCAGAGGACCCTGCGGCCTTCCGCAGTGTTTGTGTCCCTGGGTACTTGAGATTAGGGAGTGGTGATGACTCTTAACGAGCATGCTGTCTTCAAGTATCTGTTTAACAAAGCACATCTTGCACCGCCCTTAATCCATTTAACCCTGAGTGGACACAGCACATGCCCCAGAGAGCACAGGGCTGGGGTCAAGGTCACAGATCAACAGTATCCCAAGGCAGAAGAACCCCTCCCAGTACAGAACAAAATGAAGTCTCCCATGTCTACTTCTTTCTACACAGACACAGCAACAATCTGATTTCTCTATCTTTTCCCCACCTTTCCCCCTTTTCTATTCCACAAAACCGCCATCGTCATCATGGCCCGTTCTCAATGAGCTGTTGGGTACACCTCCCAGACGGGGTGGTGGCCGGGCAGAGGGGCTCCTCACTTCCCAGAAGGGGCAGCCGGGCAGAGGCGCCCCCCACCTCCCTCCCAGACGGGGCAGCTGGCCGGGTGGGGGCTGACCCCCCACCTCCCTCCCGGACAGGGCGGCTGGCCGGTGGGGGGCTGACCCTCCACCTCCCTCCCGGACGGGGCGGCTGGCCAGGCCGCGGCTGACCCCCCACCTCCCTCCCGGACGGGGCGGCTGGCCGGGCGGGGGCTGATCCCCGACCTCCCTCCCGGACGGGGCTGCTGGCCGGGCGGGGGCTGACCTCCCACCTCCCTCCCGGATGGGGCGGCTGCCAGGCGGAGACGCTCCTCACTTCCCAGACGGGGCGGCTGCCGGGCGGGGTGCTCCTCACTTCCCAGACGGGGCAGCTGCCAGGCGGAGGGGCTCCTCACTTCTCAGACAGGGCGGCCGGGCAGAGACGCTTCTCACCTCCCAGACGGGGTCGCAGCCGGGCAGAGGCGCTCCCCACATCTCAGATGATGGGCAGCTGGGCAGAGACGCTCCTCACTTCCTAGACGGGATGGCGGCCAGGAAGAGGCGCTCCTCACTTCCCAGACTGGGCAGCCGGGCAGAGGGGCTCCTCACATCCCAGACGATGGGTGGCCAGGCGGAGACGCTCCTCCCTTCCCAGACGGGGTGGCGGCCGGGCAGAGGCTGCAATCTCAGCACTTTGGGAGGCCAAGGCAGGCGGCTGGGAGGTGGAGGTTGTAGCGAGCCGAGATCACGCCACTGCACTCCAGCCTGGGCAACATTGAGCACTGAGTGAACCAGACTCCGTCTACAATCCCGGCACCTCAGGAGGCCGAGGCTGGCGGATCACTCGCGGTTAGGAGCTGGATACCAGCCCGGCCAACACAGCGAAACCCTGTCTCCACCAAAAAAATACGAAAACCAGTCAGGCGTGGCGGCGCGAGCCTGCAATGGCAGGCACTCGGCAGGCTGAGGCAGGAGAATCAGGCAGGGAGGTTGCAGTGAGCCGAGATGGCAGCAGTACAGTCCAGCTTTGGCTCGGCATCAGAGGGAGACCATGGAAAGAGAGGGAGAGGGAACTCCTGGGCTCAAGTGATCTTCCCACTCCAGCTTCTGAGTAGCAAGGACTGCAGATGAGCACCATCATGCCTGGCTAATTTTTTTATTTTTTGTAAAGACAGGATCTTGTTATGTTTCCCATGCTGGTCTCGAACTCCTGGCCCTATGTGATCCTCCTGCCTCAGCCTTCCAGTGATTAACACAGACATATACACCAATGGAACACAATAGAGTGCACAGAAATGAATATGCATATGGTCAAATAATCTTCAACAAAGATACCAAGACCACACAATGGGAAAAGGACAGTCTCTTCAACAAAGTGTTGGGAAAAACTGAATATCCATATGCAAATAATGAAATTGGGCCCTTACCTTACACGGTATACAAAAATTAATACAGAATGGATTAAGATCTAAATGTAAGATTTTAAACTATAAAACTCCTAAGACTGCTTTTTCCCTCCAACAGTGGTGCTGTTTCTGGATGGATCATATCAGAAGGCACATGATGTTGATATGTCCCATTACTAATGATGTTAACTTTTCCTGAAATAAGGTGATATCTACCAGTTCCTTTCACTATAAAGTTAGTATTTTCTCCTTTGTAACTAGTAACTATTTTGTGGAAGGCTATTTGGAGATTATATTCTGTTCTTCACAAATTTTCACCTGCTAGTTTTGCCATTCACTGTTAGGCATTGCCTAAGTCAATGATTACTGTAATAATATGCCAAATAGTGGCTTTTTAATTCCATTTTCTTTCTACATTTAATAGCTGGCATTCTACTCTAAGAAAGAGCTTTCCTTTTACCCTCAATGAGTCATGTGTTTATATTAATACATACTAAATCAATAATATGTAGAATACATATTCCTAATTCTTGGGAGATTCCTGTGAAGTATTTAGAAGACAGGGTCACAATGTCTGCAGCTAACTCGGATGTTTCAGCAAAATAACAGTGTAACAAACACACACACACACACACACACACACACGTGGTATTAAAGCAAATATGGAAAATTTTACCAATCATTCAATATAGGAACAATCTAGGGAGATCAGTGTACTATTTTGCAGCCTTTTTGCAGATCTCAATTTTTTCAAAATGTAAGGTAAAAAATATATAGATTTAATTGAAACACCATCCAAACCTTCACCAATATTTGAAAAAAAAATTCAAATAAGCCCACAGATTTAATTTATTAGCACTTAAATATATTCAGATTTTATTACCATCGTCTATAGAAATTTAACACTAGCCATCTGTGCAACTGTCCTCTGAGGCAGAGGAACACCATACGCAAATATTACACACTAAGAACAGTACCACATTCGACAAGACTCTTTCTTGATTCAGTAAACCAAGCTTGACAAACCGGCCAACCCAAGGTGAATGATTACAGTTATAGGGTACAGGGGAAATTATCACCTAGTGAATATTACAAACAATATTAAAATGTTACACAGACTTACAAAAGTTCTGCTTTTTTTTTTCCCTAAGACTGTATGTATATGTGTGTGTGCGTACACAGGTTCACAATATGGAAACCTGTACCTTACAGCACTCTTGAGGTTTCAGCAAAGCATACATTATAGACATATTTGCCATACAGTGCAATTTTATTGTATAAGCCATGAATAATAGTGCACTTAAATCCAAGAGTCACATTCAAATATTATCAAGAGAACAATCCAAATACCCGGCTATTGAAGAAATACACATTCTTTGTTTTTATAAACTAAGTTCTGCAACTACAACATTTTTTTGTGTAGATGGTATTAGATCAGTAAGGTTTTAAACAATGAGATTTAGGGTGCATTTTGTAGAATAATTCACCTCTCCAAAGATAACGTGCATTTTAAAAGTGAAGCAAATGTCTTGGCCAGACAAACACAGGCAGTGTTGTACAACTCAGTTTTATTACAAATCACAAATATAGTTAATCCTTAGACCTGCAGACGGTTAAAGAGAATGGCTCTAGAAGTCAGTAAACTCTCATCAGAATTACTTTGCAGGACAATGTAGTGTTTACAGTGAGCCTCATTATCTTCCACTAAATTGGGCACAAATTACTGTTCCACAGTGTAGTTCAAGAGCTGGAACATTAAGTTTCTTAAAAAGGATTTAGATAACAGGTTCAGGCATTTTAATATCCAGTCCTAGAATTTCAGAGGGTCTCTTCTGGGACTATTGGTTTAAAGGAAGATGCTGTGGACAGTGGATTATAAAGACCAAATGAAGGTAGAAGTAATTTTATTCAAGAAAATAAAGAAAACTGATACCATAAGAAAGTTATAGTATCAGTATATATTTTATCATCTGAGAATAAATGTAAATGGATAAATGAGTCTTTTTTTTTTTTTTTTTTTGAGATGGAGTCTTGCCCTTTCGCCCAGGCTGGAGTGCAGTGGTGCGATCTCGGCTCACTGCAAGCTCTGCCTCCCGGGTTCACACCATTCTCCTGCCTCAGCCTCCTGAGTAGCTGGGACTACAGGCGCCCGCCACCACACCTGGCTAATTTTTTGTATTTTTAGTAGACATGGGTTTTCACCGTGTTAGCCAGGATGGTCTCGATCTCCTGACCTCATGATCCGCCCGCCTTGGCCTCCCAAAGTGCTGGGATTACAGGCGTAAGCCACCATGCCCAGCCTATAATGTTTTTAAAGATGATGGGTAACATAAAAATACTATGTGGTAATAACTTAGAATACTAGGTCTGGAGGAGGAGAACAGGCCTAGCCCATGTGAAAGAATAAGCAGTAGCTAATCTATGTGGTCTTGAGGTATAGTATAAACCTGGAAAGTTCTCTGAACCTCTTCAGTTCTGAGGGTTGCCCAATTAAAACAACAACAACAACAACAACAACAACAAAACTTTATCAGATGTACTGAATGACTTCATTCTCTGATAAATTTCAAAGCTTCCAGAACAGAGGATCAACTATTGTAACTATTGCCCATTTCTGGTCCAGGAAATACCTTTCTGATAAAGAGTGCTCATAAAACGCTTGTGTTGTTTTCATTCATTCTATCTAGAAGTGGGCAAATACCAAAACCTTTATCCCAGATTAAGGTCGGATAATAAGTGAACCTGATGACCTACTTTAGAATGACAATTCAAACAGCTATCCCTGAAACCAGACAACTACACGAGTTATGCCTTGAAGCAGATCTTTCAAAGTGCAACGAAACATTACTCCTGTTTTTCACTTGAGGAGACTAAATTATGGTCATATCTTTTCCATGATACTGATTTTTTATTTAACATAAACCAAATACTGACTGAATCAAAGACTAAAACCCCACAAAATTTCATCCTTTAAAACAAAAAGCAATAAAATCCCACCCCTAAATCAGGCCTCAAAGTTCAAAGAAATGTTTAAAAATCCCCCATATGGGATCTGACATGAATGTCTATTATTGTCCCCCCCAAGTCTTCTCAAAAATCACTTTAAAATCTTGCTTTGAGACCCTAAGTTTTCTTGGAAATAAAATACATTTATAGATTGTTTTAAACCTACTGAATTTTACTATTTCTGCTTGCTTTCTTCCCATTTAATAAAATCAAAATAAAAAATTTTGACCAAATAAATATTTATTGAAAGGTCCTGCCACCAAAAAAGCTTCAGGTTTTTAAAAACATATAATCAAACAACAATGTTCTTCTGATTAAAAAAAAAAAAAGTACTTATTTAAATCTGAGGATCCTTATATGTTCAATAGAGGATTGTGGTGATCCTTTGTATTTTAAAAATATTATTTGTGGGGCCTACTTTACGTATCTCCTGTATAAAAACCAGCTTTCACTCCACATGAATAGAGAAGATGCTGAATACGCAGGAATCTGATTATCCCTCACGTGATTATTACCGGCCCCTCTGGGGCAATCTGCTTGCTCACTCATTCTGCCACCATTCTCTTCATTCAAGTGTTTAACAGCACATTTATCAAAGGCAGCTCTCCGATGCAATGTTTAACGAGTGTCTTCTCAGGAGTGTATCCGTGTCATTTATTCTTCTCATCCAGGTAAGCACGAACTTCACAGTACTACTAAAAATCTTCTTCAAATTATATTGATAATGGACTTATTTCTGACCGTTTTTGGATTTGGGAAAACTCTAATATTTGGATTACCAAATAACACTTCTGTAGATGCACTGATACCGAAGTTTATTTTTACAACCTGTAAACAGATCTGAAGTTTGAACAATCCCTAATTATAAATTAATACTAAAATGCAAACTTGCCAAAACAGTATAGATTGTTGTCTCAGTGAGACAGAGAAAACGAAATGCGAATACCGTGTTATGACTGTACTCTGGCTCGCACAGCAAATGTGCATCAGGAAGATGGGTCTACCTTGATGGTACATCATCCCTCCATGACCAGACCTAATACAAACTCCCTCACAAGTTTCCACCCATGGAAGCCCTATGGCCGATCAACAGAAGCAGTGGGAGTCACTTCTGGCTTTTTCTTTACTTAGACACAGGGTCTCGCTCTGTTGCTCAGGCTGGAGTGGACTGATGCGATCATAGCTCACTGCAGCCTCAACCTCCTAGGCTCAAGGGATCCTTCTGCCTCAGCTTTCCTAGTGGCTGGGACTATAGGCACACACCACCACACCAGGCTAATGGGAGTCACTTCTAAAGAAAACTCTCTAGATGGTTTTCCTTATATGCCTGTTAGCTGAGAAGAAAAGCCTCCTTCATATACAATCTTGAGACAAAAAGAGAAGAAAACAAAAAGCTCAGCTGTATTAACAGACATAGCAAGCAATTCTGAGGGAGCACAAAAAAGTGAGGCTGTTTCCTTTTTTTTTTTTTTTTTTTAACAAAACTAAGATGGACATTTCACACAACGCAGAGCTACGAGAACATCTCTTATGCTCCTTGCCATGGGATTTTAATGCCCCAAGGTTCATAACTACAGCAAAGAAAGTAAGTCAAAAATAAACTGAGCTTAAAGAAGGTGGCAGGCCAATTTTCCCAAAAAGACTGTGGACTGTGGGCTGCTGTGTAGCCTTTGCTACAAGGCTGAGGAAGCAGAAGAAAGATGAATTGGGCAATTGGTGATGAAAAGTATTTGCCATTTTCAAAGGCTTCTCAGTGTGGCCATAGATTTTGCTAGTCAATTTTTAAAAAATTATATTTTTAGCTCAACACACAGCTCTAAAGCAGGGTTCAGTGTAGTGTGTTCTCTACCGAAATGGTTATATACAGATGGTATGGAAATGGTTTTAAAGATTACTCATAAACTATCCTTTTAAAGAAAAACTAGACTCGGTCATATTTGTTAAAATGAGCAATGTCACCAAACAGAAATGTAGGTGGGAAATACTGAACCACAAACATTTGGAGTTGCAGGCATAGACTAGCAGAGCATGAATAGTCATCACTGTTTCTATAATACTGAAACACTCAAATCTGTTTCTGAGGTTTAAAACACAGAGCTATATTATATTCATAAACTTCCCCCTCCACTTAAGTTATATTTGCCTAACACATAATGGACAAATCAATAGAGCCAAAGCAAATTTGCAAAAGGCTCAGGTCAACATGAAAATTTTAACCTTAGTATTAGGAAACTCTTAGAATACTTACAAATTAAAAAAACACACAATAAAACACACATACACATATAAACCAGTGCAATAAGAACTTTAGACAAGGGCAGTGCATCTCTGGTTTAAGAAAACCTATTTGTAGCTTGATTATAATAAATTAACTCTATTCTAGATGATGGTTTAATTTTACAAGCAGCATTTGAAACACATTGTATATGTATGCTCAAAACCTGAAAACCAATTCACCAGTAACAATTCTCAATCAGTAACAAATTCCTACTTTAATTGTATATTGCACATACTTTTAGTGTCTACGTTAAAATAAATTTAACTCTTCTTAATGTAAATATCGGAGGACCATACCTGTTGCCCTTGTAGAAATAATTTACCTTGAATAACAGATTTTCCTTTCTTGACAAACAAGAATGAGAATAGATTTCAGCTTCGTTAGTCCAAAACTATTTTAAAGAAAATGGCTATTTTATGTGGCGAAGACACTGGAAATGGATTGTTAAACACAAAATCCTTGGTTTATCCATTGTTGCCATTTTGAAAAACATTTCTATGGTCAGAGTGTTTAAAAGTCTGACCCTTTTTTTAAACCACCAAATAGTCCCTAGAGAGATTAGCTGTCTCCTTGACTGCTCTAGAATGCTGTTTGGAGAGTGGACACAGAGAAAAAGCTTTGGATAAAATGGCATGAAACACAAATGGCATTAAATAGGTCATCTATTTCACGTAAAAATAAAATGACTAGCACCTCCTTCCGGCTCCCAAAGTGACAGGCCCTAACAGGCCACATGAAACATGGTTTATGATAGTAAGTTTCATTATTCATACAGTATTGAGAAATCCATTACATTAGGGGGGTCCCACATCTAAAGCCTTCACTTCAAGGCTACCGTGTAAAAGTGAACTGAAGGGCACAAGGAGAGAACGGCGGACACAGGCCCAAGAAGGTCCTTGCGAAGGGTGCGAGGAGACCTTTCAGGGACTCTCCTGCATCCCGTCCTCTGTTTCCAGTTCTGCCAACTGCCTTCGAAGGATATTGACTTTTGCTTGTAATTCTTTATTATATTCAATGATGTTAACCATTTCTTCATATGCTTCATCCAAATACTTAGAGGATCTATTCCAACGTAGGAAAATACCTATTGAATCCAGGAATGGAAAACAGAAGCAAGAAAGGTATATACAATGGATTAAAATTACATTTGTGGATAAGATGTAATTTATGTATTATACATTCTTTTTTCTTTTGTTGCCACAACTCACATCTGTATTTTATTATACTCTAAAATATACAGGAATCTTGAGGTACTGAAAAGGATGCAATTGAATACAATATTTGAGAAGTCACTACTTGTATGTACATGCTCATTGATTCTTCAGAAATATCCCACAAAATTATCAAATAGATCCAAATACCATTTTATGATATATTCAGGAAAACAAGATGATAATTTGCAATGTCATAAACTTTCCAATTTCACAATATAAATCACTTATTTTTATAATTATAGAATATTGCTCAGACATGTAAGATCCCTTAAATGTGTGAAGCCATTTTCACCTGAAAAGTGACAACTACAGTAAAAGCAGAACCACATATGTTGTTATTTGAAAGCCTGAACTGTAGCCCACGTGCTTACATGCCTCTCTCCCTGTTACTTGAGAGGCAATCTTTCAATTCTGCAGGCAATTTCTTCTTTCCCCAAATAATAATAATTATCCTTTTATTATGAACCAAAAGGAAATATTTTCTCCTCTCCATAGCCCTATGTTAACTGTATCACACCACAATAATGCCTTACAGTTACTCAAGTCAGGAGGCACGAAAATCTTCCAGGCTGCACCATGTCAGTGGATGGCAAGTTCACAAAGGTTTTATGATTCATTAAAACACTCTCTACAAACCAAACTGCCATGGGTCCTAATGAGCCCTTCTATGCAGCTCCCAACATCAGGCTGTATCAGAAAGGGAAAGCAGAACCACAGCGTAAAGCCTGACCCACCCATGTTGATTTTTCTAATTCAGGAATTTCTAAATATTAATGGTTAGCTGTGATGTAAATGTAAACAGCAGAGAGATATTTTAAGGCCGAAGAGCAGTCTTATTCAATATAGATGCCTACCATAGGATTTTACCTAATAGAGAGCTTCTTCTTCTCCCAGCTCTAGGTTGAGGAGCATGAAACACACACTGAAACTCCGGCATGGCAGGACTTAATCCACAGAACAAGGATTTCATCCCATCACTTATCTCTAAGCTCCACAAGGAGGTTTGGTACAAAGCAATTAAATCATCCTTCAGGCCACCCAGCTCCCAATGTGGGTTTTCTCCCAAACAGCTACGCTCATTTCAGTTATTAAATGTGACAGTGGCTTTAAGTACATTGTCCCAGAAGTCCTAAACAGGAAGAATACTGTAACCTCTCGTTTAAGAGATCATGAACCCTGTACTGACTGTGACGACAATCACGAAAGTAAGCAAAGAGAAGTTCTGAGCAGTCACCATCCCTTCACAAATCAAAGCACTAAAGCTCACACCCAGAACCTCAAGACCATCTAAGACCATTTCCCCACAATGCTAACTAGGGGACACTTCAATAGATAAGATTAGAAGCATGAACTGAGGTGGAAGGAAGCCACTAATGGCAGATAAGCCAAGAGGAACTAGATGTGACAGCTGACATCCAGAGAAGAGACAGAAACTGATTTGGTCTCAGACTCAGAAGCCAAAGCAATCTGAGACCCGTTTCCACAAAGGGCAAATAGTTTTCCACACGTGAACTGCCTTTGAGAGTATAACATACTAGAATACGGCGTAACAACTGGCATTAACGGTAATTCGGTTTAATTTAACAAACAGCTACCATTCTTGTATGTATACTTTATGCTATTAAACATAAACATGAATAAATGTGTGCTTATTATCTTCAAAATAACTTTAAAAATTAAATGGTATTTTAGAGGCTTTGTTTAATGAAACACTATATAGTTCAGATAGATTTTGGTTATTTTTATCTTTATTTTTATCTTTTTGAGAAAGTCTCGTTGTGTCACCCTGGCTAAAGTGCAGTAGCATCATCTCTGCTCACTGCAACCTTTGCCTCCCAGATTCAAGTGATTCTCCTGCCTCAGCCTCCTGAGTAGCTGGGGCTACAGACCCGCACCACCAAATTGGCCTGTTTAATTTTTGTATTTTCAGTAGAGATGGGGTTTCACCATGTTGGCCAGCCTGGTCTTGAACTTCTGACCTCAAGTGATCCACTCACCTGAGCCTCCCAATGTGCTGGGATTACAGGCGTGAGCCACCACACCTGGCCAGATTTTGGTTATGTTTTAATTAATAAGCTTCCATACTTAAGGGGATAAGCTTCAATAGTTGGAAAAATCAGTGCATATAAAAAATCTACTTTAGAATAGATTTAAAAATTAAGCATATAGTCCCATAAGAACAATGAAATATCTGTGTTACTGCACTGATGGTATTTTGTGCCCATTTATAGAAACTTACTGGAATGCCCAGCCATGTAACTCTTTAATACCATTTAATACAAGAACCTATCCTAATGACTGCTTCATTAAGGGACAGAAACTCTCCCTGATGAGCTTACAATTTATTCATGTCCCAACTACTTACCAACTCTCTTAGGCAAAGAGTAAGGTACTTTCTTATCTAGAAAAATATCCAACATAAACAGCAATGTAAAGAAACACTGTTAATTTCTCAATGGTAACTGAAAAAAAAAAAAAGTGTGGCTAGATAACTGATTTGAAAGAGAAAAACATGCCCACACTGAGAATGACAATTCACACAGGTCTGAGGGCCACGTCCAGCTCACCATCTTCATACATCACCAACAGCACACACTCACAGGCAGCCGCATGCACACCTGACCGTTAAGAAGTTTGCAAAGGATGCGTGGTTTACCTTCCCACAGTGGAAGACTCTGCGGAGCAACTGAAGGCCAGATGACAAGGTTGTTGGCTTCAAAGAGGGGATTGGTGAATTTACTCAGCTCACTGGGCTGATTAACCCAGGACCACAAAGACATCGTCTTCTGCTGTAGCTTCAACTTACATCTGATCAAGAAAGAACACTGCCATTAAAGTAATTAATTTATAACAACCATTATTGAGTGCTCCTCTTACGAGGACAATTTCTTCTCAGTATGAAAGAAGATAGAATACAAGACTTTTGGTAGAGAAACAAAGTGTTGAAAAATCAATAGATTTGTCAAAAAGCTCAATCGGCATTAGAACTCTCAACAACAACAAAACAAAGAGTATTTTACAGGCTTCCAAGAAGCTGGCAGGAGGATAAAAACAGAATCTGGTCACATCAGGTTTGGTGTTAAACCTTAACCCAGAGAACATTACTGTACACAAAAGTCCTTTGTTATATTTGGGATTCTATTTTAATTAAAAATAGCTAAGCATAAAAAAACTTTCTAACCTTTTTGTTTCTGAGAAGCCTATAATATAAACATAAAAATTATACACTTTTTGACATTTATGTCCTATTTATTTTTCTAGTTTCTTTAAGAAAGGGCTTGTTGTGCAGAAACAACCAGGATAGCTTACAAATATGAATGTCTGGAAAGACCCCCAGGGTCTTCATTATTTACATTGTTTGATAACCACTTTCTAATTGTTTTTTTTTTTAATTTTTTATTTTAATTTTTCCATAAGTTATTGGGGAACAGGTGGTATTTGGTTACATGAGTAAGTTCTGTAGTGGCGATTTGTGAGATTCTGGTGCACCCATCATCCGAGCAGTATACAATGAACCCTAATTGTAGTCTTTTATCCCTCGTCCCCCTTCTGTCCCTCCCCCAAGTCCCCAAAGTCCACTGTATCCTTCTTACGCCCATACTAATATTAAAAGTGGAGGTTGAGTCAAATCTCAAACAAAACTTAAAATTTTTTAGAGACTTAGCTTTTAGGGAAAATAACTTACATGTACATAAAATACAGATTGTCAAAGATGAAAAATCAATGTGAATCTTGACATAAATACATATTTAATCTATATCCACATACAATGAACAGGCTTCATAATAATTCTAAAACTCTGGAACACTCTTTATCATGTGAATAAACTGTTAGAGAAGGATAACAGTCGATCGGCATGTTTTAGAAAAAAATACATTTTAACACAGATTGAAAGACAGTCTGTGGTAAACCTTACATCAACCAAAAAGATAATACATTCAATTCTCATAAGACTCAGTTTAAGCTGAGATTTTATTATAAAATCAGTTTTGTCTCTGAAACCACATGATTATTTATGAGCTACGTGCAACTTACTGCATTCTTTTTGAGCTAGCAATAAAAATAATCCACATAATCATAGAGCCTATGTGGCATTGGACTTTAACTGCTGGGATAGCATGTCCCACGCTATGTTCCCAGGAACCAGGGATGACAAGGACAGGACATTATTGCATCCACTGCCTCCAGCCCTGTGCCCCCTGCCCATGGCCGGCCAACCACTGAACTTGCTCTGGCTGAGCCTGACACCACTTCAGAATCCTTCCCATCAGCATTGCTGGCAGCCTCTACCAACTGGGAAACAGAATGGGAATCTATTTTGATCCCTTCTTGAAAGCTAGTCCTGAGGATATTAACAGGTATAACACCAAAAAAAATTCATCATCAAACACATTTCTTAAATGCTGAATTAAACTTATATACATTGCTTTACTGAAGAGTGTCTTAAAGCCTTTAATGATTATGCGTTAATCATTAAATCCTCCCTTCTAAGTGGGGGAGTTAATCCTCCCCTCTAAGTGGGGAGGATATTATGTCATATTCACCAAACTTCCTTGGCTATAGAAATTGCCAATCCCTCCTGTCCCTCCCTGCCAGAGTACAGTCCAGGGCTAAGCAACACATGCTTCAGAAAATGGTGGCTGCCAGCAATGAGGCAAGGAAGGCTGCTGATTGTACCCTGAAGAGATTACCAGGCAACCTCCCTGAAAGATCATTCTGATGTGAATCTTGTAAATGAACCTATACACTTGATGGTGCCTGGGCTGTAAGGTGAGCTTGCCACTCTGGGCCTGAGGACAGTTTCTAGGTGTAACAAAGTCTGGAGCAGGAGGAGGAAGACCTGTAATTTAGGCCAGGGATCCCCAAACCCCAGGCCATGGACCAGTAAGGGTCCGTGGCCTGTTAGGAACTGGCCACACAGCAGGAGGTGAGTGGCAGATGAGCGCGTATTTCCACCTCCTGTCAGATCAGCATCAGATTCTCAGAGAAGCGCAAACCCTACTGTGAGCTGCGCATGTGGGGAATCTAGGGTGCGCCTTTATGAGAATTCTCCTTATGAGAATCTAATGCCTGATGATCTGACATGGAACAGTTTCACCCCAAAACCATCACCAATCCCGCTGCCACCCAATCCAAAGAAAAGTTGTTATCCACAAAACTGGTCCCTGGTGCCAAAATGGTTGGGGATCGCTGCTCTAGGCCACACTTTTGATGACCAACTGACTCTATGTCCTGGGAAAAGTCACGTAACTTCTCTGGATCTTACTTTCTTAATAAAATTAGAGGGAAGACCTGAATTATAAATTAAGGCTTTTTCCACATGTAAGATACTATGATCCTATGTTAAGAAATTAACATTTAAAATGGTTGCCCCTTAATTCACGTATGGACTAATTTTAACCTAACAGAACAAAGTCTAGGACATGCTCTCATAAAAGAATATACTTCAGGTCATTTAAATTATAATTAACTGTAGCCTCTACCTTTTTATAAATAATTTTAATATAGATCCAAATCGTCGTCTCCTAGGAGATTCTGGCTACTTAGGAAGTAGCCAAAACAACGGAAAAGGAAAGGTCCCCATGTGAGCAGTGTACTCACCTTTCACTTTCATTGTTGCCCAGAAATGTTCCAAACTGTGAGGCATAAGCATGCTCAAAGAGCATGATGAGGAAATTCTCATTAAACTCAAAAGAACAGGGAAACTGACGAAGGATCTGCCACACGCAGTCCAAGAAGAGAAGAAATACAGGAGCCTCCCACTTCTGCTTGGTGTTACAGTAGGCTGACTGTGCACAGCGCTGCTGGAATGGGTGACCAGCCTAGGGGGAAGATGGAGGCGTGACAGTCATATCCTGGTGAGATCACATGACAGAGCATTCTACCGACACCACTATACACAATTACAGTGACACTCCTAGTACCTGGAACATCATATAATTAGGGTAGCTGTTGTACAGATTAATGATTTCTTGGTATAAAATAAATAGCGGCAGCAACTAAGGAAAAAGACACACTTCCAAATCCTTAATGAGGCTGCGCGGCTAAGGTGTGACCACAGGAACTGCACTGCCCTTGGAATATCCCATGGAAGAATAATGAACTTAAGCAATAATAAACTTACAAAATAAACCTTTCTAGGTCTACAAAACCTGGAGCAAAGTCAAAGAACATAAGCTCTCAGTACAAAGAAGAATCATCACCTCTGTCTAACACTGTAGATTGTGCTGTACACTAAACAAGCCTCACCCTAAGTGGAGACAGATATGGAACTCTGATCACCTTTATAATGTCAGCTCTGATAGTAAATCTCTAATTATATACGAAAAGTTATTGTGTTGAAAGATCTTTATGAGTACTTTTCTACAGGAGATAAAGCTGTCATTAATTACCCTCTTCTCCCAAAATGAACAGCAAGAGTCTGCCATCTACTGACCAAAGTAAATTTAAGACTCATTTGACTGTCTTGTTCAGAACCCAAATGCTGACCTTAATACAAATCATACTCTGCTAGGAATTTCACAGATCTGCTTTGTCTCTGGGTCCTTCTACTACTGTATGTGACAAAGGTAATGACATAGAAATTTTACAGTGGTTCACAGAATTGTGATATCCATTAAAATAACATAAAAATCAGTCAGTCATACTCATTTGTTTGTCTACTATGCATCATGAGGAATATAGCTCAATAGACTTTCATCAAATATGGAGCATAAACTTAGTATGGTCTGACTTAAACAGAGGTAAGGTCAGTTGTCAGGCAGGGTGGACATGGTGTACGTAACAGCATTAGTGCATGATAAATGCGAATTGTAACCAGAGGAGCAAGATACTCTTTTTGCCAGAAAAATGTCTGCTTTCAAGATATGTAAGCATTTGTGTTCAAATACAATTATTTACCAGCTTACACAGTAGAAATATATTGAAAAGTAATCTCTGTGGAGGATATCAATCCCTGTTATGAGTGAGACTTTTATTTTGGCAGCCATCCAACATTACATGATTCAGTTTTATCTTTGAAGGAAGCTTCACAGGGTGGAGCAGCACGAGCAAAAGGCTTTGAAAGGGTTAAAGCGCTTTCCTTGCAACTACAGGCCCCACTCCCCCTTCCCCGACTGCTTATGTCTTTGATCCGTCAAGACCCAGCTTCTGGGAGATTGCACTATGCTTCCCATTCTTTGTATTTCTCCTGTATGTGATAAAGCACAGCCAACAGGAGTTTCCTAAGTGAAGGAAGTGTCAAGTGAGGAATACAGGCAAAGAGACATCCAGAAACAAGGAGAAGACAGATTAACTGTCCTGCAGTAAATTAAACACACAACTTAGAAATTTTAATCAATCGAAATTTCACACATTATGTCAGCTACCACACAAAGCAGGATCACAGCATCAATAAGCAGTTCCTCTGTGAATCAAACAGCTCTTCTCACCTGCAGCCACTCTCTTTCAATCAGGGCCTCAAAACCACGAATGGTCCTGCTTCTTGGCTCTAAGATGATCTGGGCCAAGGAGGTCACCTGGAGTGTGGAATCAGTTCCTTCTGTTCCGTGAATCAATATTGATGCTCCTTCCCTGATAGGAAAATCAGGGAAGAGTACAAATGGGAAATGTCCAACATGGTCAATGAACTCTGTTAATAACAAGCGTTTATTGAGCACAACATTTTAGTCTACTGAGTTCAGTTTATTTAGTGTATTGAGTACAACATTCTGCTCTGACTTGTAGAGTTCAGAATCTAAATCTAAATCTAAGGCATACGATAGATAAGATTCTCTTGGGAAAAAATACGACTATAATGAATCTCAAATTTCACATGGCAAGACCTCTTTAAGTTATAACAAATTTCACAGAACCTTTTAGCTGAATTTTTCTTTCCCTTTTCAAAACCAAAAAGCAGCTCTTAACACAGAAGGCATTTACCCTTTCTGCTTTAATCGTTGGTTAAAGCCTCTTCTCATCAAAACTATAGACATACACTAAAATTATTTTTCTGACTTTGACTCTACCTTTCCACCATCAGCTGACTATAAGGACACCTTCATAAACTGTAATTCAATCTGGAAAATGAGACCTAGACCACACTTTGAGAAACACGACAACAGGAAAAAAAACAAACATAAAAGTGTCAATCTAGAAAGTCAGTTGTAAAGATACCACTGCATCATGAGACTCAGAAGTGTCTGGGACCCCATTATTCTAAAGAGAATGAAAGAAAACACCAAAACTAAATTTACTACATCTTCTCCCCTCCCCTTCTTCTACCCTTTCTGTTGAAACAATGAAGGAAACTTTGGAAAAAATAAAAACCACCAACTTCACACAAAAGCTTCGGGTTTGGTTACTACTGTCAGTTTTTACCCATGTACATATACACTACATAGAGCTTTAATACGAGGCAATTTCCTCTATTCTCACTCTTATTCTACACTCGTATCCTTCCATGTTTGTAAGTCATCTTCAGAACTAGGATAATAACAGTTGCAGGCATAGCTCGTTCATGGATCTTCCCTTGGTTGCTCTTCACAGATACTGCATTTTCCACAAATGGGAGATTTGCAGCTATCCCACGTCAATTAAGTATGCTGGCACCCATTTTCCAACAGCATGTTTTACTTTGTGTCTCTGTCTCATTTTAGTAATGCTCACAATATTTCAAAATTTTTCATTATTATTACAACTGCTATGGTGATCTGTGATCAGTGATCTTTGATGTTACTTCTACAAGTTTTGGGGGCATCAGGAACCACGTCCATATAAGACAGTGAACTTAATCAACAAATGCTGTGTGTGTTCTCACTGCTCCACTAACCAGCTGTTCCTTTGACTCTCTCTTCAGGGAGACTCTCTATTCCAGGGATCACAACAATATTGACATTAGGCCAGCCAACTAATAACCCTACAATGGCCTGTAAGTGTTCAAATGAAAGGAAGAGTAGCATGTCTCATTTTAGATCAAAAGCTAGAAATGATTAAGCTTAGTGAGGAAGGCACGTCGAAAGCTGAGTCAGGCCAAAAGCTGGGCCTCCTGCACTAGTTAATCAAGTTGTGAATGCAAAGGAGAAGTTCCTGATGGAAATTAAAAGTGCTTCTCCAGCGAACACATAAATGATACAGTGACACAGCCTTACTGCTCACATGGACAAAGTTCGAGTGGTCTGGATAGAAGATCAAACCAGCTGCAATATTTCCTTAAGCCAAAGCCTAATCCAGAGGAAGGCCTTTACTCTCCTCCATTCTACAAAGTTCTATGAAGGCTGAGAGAAGTAAGGAAGCTGTAGAAGAAAAGTTGGAAACTAGCAGAGGCTGGTTCATGAGGTTTAAGGAAAGAAGCAAACTCTCTTGTCAGCGAAAAAATGCAGCTGGTGACTTTAAGCTGAAGCCAGTGATTATTTGCAATTCTGAAAATCCTAGGGGCCTTAAGGGTTACACTAAATCTACTCTGCCTGTGCTCTATAAATGGAACAATGAAGCCTGCATGACAGCATGTCTGTTTACAGCATAGTTTACTGAATAGTTTAAGTCCACTGTTGAGACCTACTGCTCAGAAGAAAAGACTCCTTTCAAAACATCACTGCACACTGACAATGCACCTGGTCACTTAAGAGCTCTGATGGAGAGGTACATGGAGATGAATGTTGTTTTTCTGCCTGCTAAAACAACATCTATTCTGCAGGCCATGGATCAAAGAGTAATTTCAGCTTTCAAGTTTTATTTTAAGGCCATAGCTACCCTAGCTAGTGATTCCTCTGATGGTTCTGGACAAAGTAAATGGAAAACTTTCTGTAAAGAATTCACCTTTCTAGATGCCATTAAAAATATCTGTGATTCATGAGAGGAGGTAAAAACATCAACATTAAAAAGATTTTGGAAGAAGTTGATTCCACATCTCATGGATACTTTGAGGGGCATAAGGCTTTACTGGAGAAGTCACTGCAGATGTTACAGAAATAGCAAAAGAACTAGAATTAGAAGTGGAACCTGAAGGTGGGGCATGGTGACTCATGCCTGTAACCCCAGCATCTATGGAGCCCAAGGCAGGAGGATTGCTTGAAGCCAGGAGTTTGAAGTTAAAATGAGCTATGGCTGTGCCACTGCACTCCAGCTTGGGTGACAGAGGGAAAGACCCCATCTCATAAAAAACAAAATGCTGGGTGCAGTGGGTCAGACCTGTAATCTCAGCACTTTGGGAGGCTGAGGCAGGAGGATTGTTTGAGCTCAGGAATTTGAGACCAGACCGGGCAATAAACAGAAACCACATCTCTGTTAAAAATTGAAAAAAAAAATTAGGTGACCGTGGTGGTGTGCACCTGTAGTACTGGCTATTTGGGAGGCTGAGGTGGGAGAATCATTTGAGCCCAGGAGTTCTAGGCTGCGGTGCGCCGTGATCCTGCCACTACACTCCAGCCTGGGTGACAGAGCAAGGCCCTGTCTCCTAAATAAATAAATAATTAGGAACCTGAAGATTTGACTGAATTGCTGCAATTTCATGATGAAACTTGAAGAAATAAGGAGTTGCTTCTTATGGATGAGCAAGAAAAGTAGTATCCTGAGATAGAATCTACTCCTGGTGAAGATGCTGTGAATATTGTTGAAATGACAAAAAAAAAAAAAAAGATTTAGAATACCACATCAACTTAGGTGATAAAGCAGTGGCAGTGTTTGAGAGAACTGACTCTAATTTTGCAAGTTCAACCGTGGGTAAAAATGCTATCAAACGGTATCACATGCTACAGAGAAATCTTTCATGAAAGGAAGAGTCAATTGATGCGGCAATCTTCATTGCTGTCTTGTCTAAGAAATTGCCACAGCCATTCAAAGCTTCAGTAACTACCACCCTGATCAGTCAGCAGCCATCAATGGGGAGGCAAGGCCCTCTACCAGGGCCAATAACCTCAAATACCAATAAAGTATTTTTAAATTCAGGTATGTATATTGTTTTTTTAGACATAATACTATTGCACAATTAACAGACTGCATTATAGTGTAAACATAACTTTATATGCACTAGAAAACCAAATATTAATAATGAATGTGACTCACTTTATTGCATGACTTGCTTTACTGTGGTTTTCTGGAACCAAACCTGCAACATCTCTAAGGTGTGCCTGTGTGTAATATCCTATTAAGTGATGAACTGCAATTTACTTAATCCTATAGTTGGACATTTAGGTTATGCCAATTTTTGTTACATTGTAGATGATGTACTTAGCTTTTTGTCTTCTGTTGAATTCTTTGGGGGTTCTTAATTTAAAAGTAACAGATTCCCTGAAGTCACTTATGGTTAGGCTAACCCCATTCTCAGGATAAAACCTAATGACTAGGCTGAAGGGGATGAGCATGTACTTTAAGGCTTCTGTGTATATTGCATATGTACCTTAATTATCTGTGGGATATTCTGAATTCAATTCATTTAAACTCTATTTTCATGTTTTCAGTAATTAATTATAAGGGCAAATTTGTATGGAGGTGAAAATAATAGGCCAATATATATCAGAAAAAGGGACTCAAACATGGCAAAATTAACCAAAACCCTGAACCTTCCCAAGAGTCTGGAAGTCTCTGCCTTTGAGGTGGCCAGCTCAAACTAAATGAAGGTGGAAATCATGAGAACTGTTCTGCATTCTGCACTGAGGGATGTCTTAATCTGTATCATCATGCTGTCACAGCTGCAAAATTGAGAAATGTGGTGATTAACTGTTTATTACAATTCCTGTTTCATAAAAAAAACAGAAGCCTCTGTACTCATAATGTAAGGAGAAATCTGGTAAACTTAGGTTAAAAAGAAAAAAACCCTCAGTATTAACAAAATCATTATGTATTTGTTATTTCTCTGCCACAGAACCTTGGTCTTTAATTCCCACAGTTTATTAGGTAAATGGGCTTCACCTAACGCCTAAAACAGAAAGAACAGGGATAGCCTGGCAATCTTGACCCCAAGGGACTCTACCTTGATGGCTCTGTTGCTAACTTACCACATGATTTCAGCAACCCATTCTATTATGAATTTCTCTATAACCATAACAAATTAGGTATATATTTCCCTAATTTGGAAGCATCAATAAAACAAGTTAAAGTCTCAAAGAAAAGTGCCATCTATCCATGTGGTGATAATACTTATATCTACCTACTGTTTCAGTGGAATCCCCTTCTTAGAAACGGCATTCTAAGCTTCTGCAAGAATTTGTGCCAATCCTTCTGCCTCTGTTCAAGTCTTCTGCCACAAGACTCAAGGATTAGCAACCTTTAACTGAGTGAATTAACTATATGAACTAAAATCACTTCATATACTCAACATCACTACCACTAGGTGTTCTCAACTTGAGATCCAGATGTAATCGCACATATCAAGTAGTATGAAATAAGATATCCCGGAGGTTAGAAAGGATCATTTTACTGTGTAACAAAATTACGTTTCCTTTCGCTGATATTTCAAAAGTAAGGAGGTAAGTTCGCTCCTCTAAGAAAAAATAAGAAAACTTCCTTTCATTCTATTTCACAGTTTAAGAAAAAAATTGGCAAATTCATGATTTAAGGGTGTACTAGAAAAAAAAAACGGGTCCATTAGTACTTAAAAATTTGTGTCATAGAAGACATGTATATTTACCTGGTTCATATTTATGAAACAAACATTATCTATTAAATGCCAGACTCTAGGCACACACCTCATCAATAATGGGATGGTGTTGACTAGCCTACACAGTAATTTACTGCAAACTTTCACATAATCTATAAACATATGTCTGGATAAACACAAAGTCTAGTTAGCAGCGCCATGTTTCGCTCAGGAACGCTGAAATGCACTTTACCTGTCGATGCACTGAGCCGCTAGGCAGGCAGTTGTCAGAATCTCTTTGATGTGAGTCAGCCAGTTAGAGGCCTCCAATTTACTGAGCCATCGGTCCATGTTATGTGTTTGGTCATTACAAGCTTCCACAAGTTTGATTAAGCTCTCCTGAAGAATGTGATACCTTTTAAAAGTAAGAAAGTAAAAAATAACAAACCCAGAAAATAGAAAGATAAAGAAACCAAACCAAAGATTCAGCCTCCAACATATCTAAGAGCAAAAGTAGTTCAAAATACTATAAAAATATTTACCCTGCTATAATTTGAGGATTAAAGGTTGAAAAACTAATATTTAAACATTGTTGCAAAGGCTTAAAATGCCTGCCATGGTAACGTATTCCTTACCTGAACAGATTAAACCCAGTTCACATACCTGGATTATCTGACTATAGGAGAGGCCAGAGCCCTGCGTTTCATGACAGGTCAGGAGACACAGCACCACTTACATTTGCAATCCTGTTCCCACCGATCTAACACTAGAGACCCAGTGCCATCAGCAGCCTTACCCAACCCAGCTTGGATCCCACTGTTTTCTAGCTACAGCTCCCATTCACCCACCTAGAGACACTTATAAATCACTCTTTTACAGTACAAACAAGAGACAATAGGTGGAGGAAACTGTGCGAAAATAGGTCGATATGGGGAGAAATTAAATCTCTAAAGTCTTTGACTTAGGAAAATATAAGTATATGTAGCAAATCTGTTCAGTGTAGCAACTGCTGATCTACCTGCAGAGGAGCTGGCCTTGTGGTGATGAGACCACAGGGTTGGCTTAGAGAAAGAATGCTAGTGAAAGGGACTCCTGCAGGCCTCCAAGAGCACAGCTTTCGCCTATCAAACACAAAGGCTGGCTGTTCAAAAAGAAAGATAAAACTAACAAACCTTTAGCTGAAGGTTCTTTCACTAAAAACAGAGAGAAAAACAATGCAAATGCATACAATCAGAAATAAAGATGAGATATTACAACTGATATCACAGAAATACAAGGGATCATAAGAGACTACTGTGAACAATTACACATTAACAAATTGACTGGATAATCTAGAAGAAATGGATAAATTCCTAGAAGCATACAACCTACCAAGACTGAGTCATGAAGAAAGAAAATATGAACAGACCAATAATGAGTAAGGAGATTAAAAAGACCTCCCATCAAAGAAAAGCCCTGGTCCTGATGGCCTCACGCAGTACCTGATTTTAAAATATGCTACAAAGCTAAAGTAATCAAAACAGCTTGGCACTGGCATAAAAACAGACACATTGACTAATGGAACAGAATAAAACCCAGAAATAAATCCATGCATTTATGGTAAATTGATGTTTGAAAAAGTTGCCGAGAACATACAATGGGGAAAGGAGCTTCTCCCATGAGTGGTGGTGGAAAAACTGGGTATGCACATGCAGAAGAAACTCAACCCTTACCTCACACCATACTCAAAAATCAACTCAAAGTAGATTAAAGACTTAAACATAAGGCCTGAAACTGTAAAAATCATTAGAGGAAAACATAAGGAAAAAGCTTCTTGACATTGGTCTGGGAAAAGTTATTTTGGATATGACCTCAAAAGCAGAGGCAACAAAAGCAAAAATAGACAAATGAGACTGAACAAACTAACAAGTTTTGCACAGCAAAACAATCAACAGAGTAAAGAGACAACCTATGGAATGGGAGAAAACATTTGTGAACACCACACTGGATAAGGGGTTAATATCCAAAATATGTAAGAAACTCAACTCAACAGCAAGAAAACACAAAACCTGATTAAAGAATGGGCAAGACCTGAACAGACATTTCTCAAAAGAAGACATATAAATGGCCAATAGGTATTTGAAAAAAAAAATGCTCTGCATCACTCATCAACAGAGAAATGAAATTCAAAACCACAATGAGATATCACCTCACCCCTGTTAGAATGGCTATTACTAAAAAGACAAGATTTAACAACTGTTGTTGAGAATATGGACAAAAGGGAACCCCTGTACAATGCTGGTGGGAATGTAAATTAGTATGGCCACTGTGGAAAACAGTATGGAGGCTCCTCAAAACATTAAAGATGAAACTGCAATAAGATCCAGTAATCCCACTTCTGGGTAAATATTTTGAATATCGGAAACGAAATCAGGATCTCAAAGAGGTATCTGCATTCCCACGTTCACTGCAGCACTATTCACAATAGTCAAGATATGGATTCAACCTAAATGCACGTCAATGGATGAATGGATTAAGAAAATGTGGTACAATACACAATAAAATACTATTCAGCCTTAAAAAAGAGGGTAGGCCAGGCACAGTGGCTCATGCCTGTAATTTCAACACTTTGAGGGGCCGAGGCAGGAGGATCACTTGAGGTCAGGAGTTCGAGACCAGCCTGACCAACATGGCAAAACCTGGTCTCTGCTAAAAATACAAAAATTAGCCAGGCGTGGTAGCAGGCACCTGTAGTCCCAGCTACTTGGGAAGCTGAGACAGGAGAATCACTTGAACCTGGGAGGCAGAGATTGCAGTGAGCTGGGATCGTGCCACTGCACTCCAGCCTGGCTGACAGAGCAAGACTCCATCCCAAAAAAATAAAATAAAAATAAAAAAGAGGGGAAGCCTGTCATTTGCAATAGCACAGATGAACCTGGATGACATCATGCTATATGAAATAAGTCAGGCACCCATGCACAGAAAGATAAACACTGCATGAACTCACTTATATGTGGAATCTAAACAAGTTAAACTCATAGAAACAGAGAGTAGAATGGTGGTTGCCAGAGGAAGAGAAAGTAGCAGGAGGGGTCGGGGTAGGAGGGACACAGATATGGGGACATGTTGATCAAAGGTAACAACAAAGTTTCACTTAGGAGGAATTAGTTCTGTAGGTCTATTGTACAGCATGGTAACTGTAGTTAAAACTAATATATTGTATGCTTGAAAACTGCTAAGAGAATAGATATTAAATGTTCTCACCATCCAAAAAAATGATAACTATGCGACGTGATAGGTTAATTCACTTAATCAGTTCACAATGTATATGTATATCAAAATAGCACAGTGTACATCACAAATACATGTAATTTTTATTTGTCAATCAAACCTTAATAGAGCTGACCAAAAAAAAATGAGAAGATGGCTAGCCCATCATTGACCCTAAATTAATGCAGAAGTTAATTTGAGCACTTGTGATTTTCAAATGGCTAAGGCCTTACCCACTATAATTAGCTTCTAATAAGAGTCTGTACTATCTTTGGAATCTTTTACCTCTCAATGGACTTATGAATTCGCCTCCACTGAGGATAATGAGCTTCTTGTTCAAAGCCACCTCCTTTGGCTCTAGTTTGCTGAGCCACGTTCAGGGATCGGGTGTCAATGATGTAGCCACGCTTTCCAGCCCTGAGGGTAGCATTTATCAGCTTCTCGTCCTCCTTGCACCTCCTCCCGTTTGTACCAGTGAGTGGCTGACCACTTCGCATAATTACCTAGAAGCATAATAAAGCTGAAAATTCAACAGCAGTTGCTTTTAAAGTTTCTGAAAACAGAAAGAAATTAGCTAGATTAAGAGTATCTCAAAAACAATTGTGTGACACTCTGCAGATGGATTTGATCCATAAACAAAGAAATATTTGCATGTATTGACAATAGTTAATAACTATAAAAGATAAGCCTTAAGCTTTTACACAATTTCTCTGTCTCAAAATACTGTCACATAATAAATTATATCTCCTCTTTAAGATCAAATATTGCAATTCATTTAGTGTGTGAATCAAATACCTGTAGACCTGGACCTGTAATAAAGACAATAATGGCCTATGAGCCAGTAAACCTTGACTTCAACTAAACATACATAGAGTTGGCAGGTTTTAACAACAATTATAAGAAGTAAAGGCACCAGTGGCAAAATTTAAAAGTTCAAACACTGTTCTCATTGTTTGGGAAATCATTTTCACTACCTCAGAAGCTGACTGTCTATTATGTATTCTCCAGTGGCCTCTACCATCCTTTTCAGTATTCAAGGATTTAACTACTTGTTTCTAAAAACTACCCCACCAACTATACATCTGGAAATGTTTGCTTTTGAAACTTTTCTCTAGAAATCAATGTCTATTATACTAATCTCTTCCCTGGCGAATGGTTTAGAGTTCTTTCAAGACGCCACCATTACAAGGTAGTTATCTTAACTCCTTGTTTAATCCTGACTCCAGTGTTTACTAGAGTTGTGACTAAATGACATGAGCATCACTCTTTTCACCTTTGAAAATAAATACGTCTGCTCCACCTTTCACGTGTAAAGTTGTTAAGAAAAATTCAAGTATTTTACCATTATTCTGAACAGAGAAATTTCTCATTTTTCTACCAGAAGAATGTTGCTGTAAGCATCAAATAAACACTAGTTTCCTTTGTATAGTGTCCTGGAGATAAAGCTATCAGGGCTTTTATACGGCTGAGCAGGATCATGGAAAGAATTCAGCATCACATCCTCACCACAGAAAACACCCTACTCCTGATTCCCTAAAGCTTACATGAAGGAAGCCCTTGTGGTGGAGACCTGGACAATCATTTCAGTGAACAGACAGAGAGCAAAAGGGAACATTTCTACGAAAAGATCCCCAACCCAAGCCTTTCAGTACATCAAGCAGTAGTGCTGTGCACTTACCATCCCATTTTTTTTGTGGTAATAGCTTAGTACTGGGAAGCGCCCTCCATGTCGAAATGTAGCTACCTTCCGAAGAGCTTCATCATCGATGGATTTGGGCACTGTGACAATTGGTGGGTAAGAGGGACAGACAGCAAATTCCTTATTGACATAGCTTAGCCTCCATTCACTGGTCTGAAAAACACAAAATACTTCAAAGCTAAGCAACTATCTCAATGTCGCAAAATAATCTGAGAAATTTTAAAAGACCTTAGAGGTCAACTTTCACTGATGAAGAAGCCATTTCTCAGGAATTTCACAGGTGGATCTCTAGCTTATATGTAAGTAGCTGCAGAGAAAAGGAGCTCTATGGTTCAGGGCCAGCTTCCTGCATTGCTAGGTATCACCAGTTCCCAGAAAGTGCTTTCTCACACTGAGCAAAACTTGTTGCTCTGTAGCTCCCTCTATTGGTTTTTACTGTACTTTCAGACAACACCGTACAAGTTCCCTATTTTACACGGTATCCCATCAAATGTTTGAAAGACAGCTGATCCTCCTTAGTGTTCTATTCTCCAAGTTAAATATATTAAGCACATCCACAATTATCACGGCCAACATCATCCTACTTCTTCCTTTTCTGGGTCCCATTTAGTTTGTTAATGATCCTCTTAAAGCACAAGTAAGACTGTACGACTCCAGATAATGCATCCCCAGAACAAATGAGAACACAGCTACTATCTATATCAAACCCTTTGTTTATTTTAAAAAAGGTAAAAAATGTACTAAGATTGGTAACACCTTTCTTAAAACAGTACCAACTCAATACTAAGGAAGGTTAAGCTTAGGAGTCAATGAAATAATTTCAAACTGAGTAAGGACTAGAAGTATACAATATAAAACTATCAAATGACAACTTATTTTAAACATCAGAATTAAAAACAGCTTGAACACTGTCAAAAGGTTTTACAGTAAAAAAAAAAAATCAAATTATATGTAAATTTCAATATGTTCTGTATATCTGAGTTGGCCTAACCATGGGTTACAATAGCAGGAAGATAAAGCTAAAAAGTATGTTAGACGTACTAACAGACAAGATTATTACTTTTAAAAAATGCTTTTATAAGATACAGTATCACATTTTTAATTAAATTTTTTCACTTTTCAAAGTTATTTATGTTACCAGTTTAAAAACATAGTTTCTAGGCTGGGCACAGTGGTTCACAC
This sequence comes from Homo sapiens, assembly GCF_000001405.40. Lineage (NCBI taxonomy): Eukaryota > Metazoa > Chordata > Mammalia > Primates > Hominidae > Homo > Homo sapiens. Next base: position 2,043,037 of record NW_018654717.1, read on the forward strand.
CTATCATCCCGGCACTTTGGGAGGCCAAGGCAGGCAAATTGCTTGAGTTCAGGAGTTCAAGACCAGCCAGGGCAACATGGCCAAACCCCATATCCACTAAAAATGCAAAAATTAGCCAGGCACAGTGGCACACACTTGTATTTCCAGCTACTTAGGATGCTGAGGTGAAAGAATCACGGGAGCCCAGGAAGTCGAGGCCACAGTGAGCTGTGACAGCGCCACTGCACTCCAGCCTGGGCAACTGGAGTGAGATTGTTTCAAAAAATAATTAATTAATTAATTTAAAAAAAACACAGTTTCTAAAGATTTATTATTTTTAAAAAAATGTAGTTATCTGTTCCTTGCTAGCCCATCCCAATTTGCTTTCCCCAAAGGCAATCATTTTCAACATTTTTAGCTTTTTCAGTGTTTACCTTTACATTTCTAAACAACATGATAATACTGTTATTTCTTGAACTTTCACTATGATATATTATTATTGATTTCCTACTCTGGAGAATGACAGGGCTCTCCATTGATCTGCAATGCCGCTTCTGTTGGTCCAAATGTACTGTGCTCTCCATCCCGTCGCACTTGTCCACTTTAGTAACTCCTATAGCTTTTAAAATAAGTTTGGTATCTAGTAGGCCAAGTGTCCTCCTCTCACCTTTTTGTTCTTCAAAGAGTAACGTGGCTCCTCTTGGTCTTTTGGTCTTCCATGCAACTTTTATCAAATTCAATATAAAAACCAACTGGGGTTTTTATTAAGATTGTATTGACTTTATAAATCGGAGGGAATGACTTACATCTTTAGAATATTCAGTCTCTCTATCCATGAGTATATTGTCTTTTCCATTTGTTTAAGCTTTCAAAATTTTTTCCATAAATTTTTATAATTCTCTCAATAAAGGTCTTACTATCTTTTCTTAGATATATTCCTAGAAACCCAATAATCTTTGTTGCATTTTAACTGCATCTCTTCAAAATTGTGTTTGGTGTACAGAAATGCCTATGATCTCAAGATTCTTTCCTTTTCCTATGTAGACAAGCATATAATCAATAAATATTGACAATTTTGCTACCTTCATTTCAATCCCTATACCCTGTATTTTTCCTTCTTGTCTTATTGAGCTGACTAGAAGTAGTCACAATGGACATCCTTGCCTCATTCTTGAACTTAGAGAGAATGATACAAGATTTGCTTTTTTTATGTTTTTGGTTTTGGTACCCATCCTTTATCAGATTAAATAAATTTCCTTCAAATCCAACTCTAAGAGCTTTTATCATAAATAGATATTGATCAAACTTTTTTCCTCTGTTAATCTAACACCATGCAGGTCATTTGTCTTTTAACTTTGTGGTATTTTCTTTGCTTTATTGTTCAGTAGCTGAACAACAACATGTCTAAAGATTTTTTTATTATCTTGTATGGTATTTGCTGGGATACCTCAGCTTAAGGGTTCAATAACTTCTACTGATTCTGGAGAATTATCAACCATTATGCATTTGAATATTGTCTTTCTTCTATCATCACCTTTTTTTTTTTTTTGTCTTCCTCTTTTTTTTTTTTTTTTTTTTTGGAGACAGGGTCTTGCTCTCTCACCCAGGCTGGAGTGCAGCGGCATTATCACTGCTCACTGCAAACTCAACTTTCTGGGCTCAAGCCATTCTCCCACCTCAGACCCCCAGGTAACTGGGACCAAAGACACACATTATCACACCTAGCTAAATTTTTTCATAGAGATGGGGTTTCACCATGTTGCCTAGGCTGGTCTCAAACTCTCCTGAGCTCAAGTGACCTGCCTGCCTCAGCCTCCTTAAGTGCTAGGATTATAGGTGTGAGCCACCATAACCAGCCTCTATCATCTTTTATCCTAAACTCCCATGTAATAAATATTGGATCTTCTTCCTTTATTAAGCATGCATGTGTCTAACCTCTCTGTTTTTCCATCTTCCTTCTCTGTTCCATATTCTGAGTAATTATTTCGGATCTATATTTCAAATCACTTATTTTCTCCTAAGCTGTTTCTAATCAGCTACTTAACATTTGCATTAGATTATTCTTTTATCTTCTTTTTAGTCAACTTTGAGACAAAACTTATAAAAAATAAACTGAATCCATTTTGACTACACAATTTCATGAGTCTTGACAGTTGTATACACCTGTGTAACACCCAATACTAGGAAATCACTAACCTGCTTTCAGTCACTTTTGGTGTCATATCTAAAAAATCTCTGTCTAACTGAAGGTCATAAAGATTTTCTCCTGTGCTTTCTTAAAGAGGTTTGATAGTTTTAGTTCTCATGTTTAGTTGCATAATACATTTTAGTTAATTTTTGTGGATGATGTGAGGTAAGGGTCTAGGTTTATCTTTTTTACATATGGATATCCAACTGTTCCAATACTATTGGTTGAAAAAGCTATCCTTTCCCAATTGAATTGTATTGGTACTTTTGTCAAAAATCAACTGAGCATTAAGGGGAAGGTTTATTTCTGTACCCTGTATTCTGTTTCATTGGTCTGTATGTCTTCGCTTACAGCAATACCATACTCTCTTGATTACTGTGGCTTTACAGTAATCAAGTGTTTTCTCAAAGCTGTTTTGACTTTCCATATAAACTTATATATTTAAATTTGCATTTCCATAAAATTTGTATCATTTTGTCCATTTCTACAAAAACACCTATTAGAATTTTAACAGGGATTGCACTGACTCTACAGATCAATTAAGGGAGAACTGCCACTTTAATGAGCCAAATCCAGCCTGCTACTTGTTTCTGCAAATAAAGTTTATTAGAACATAGCACCACCCATTCACTGATGTCTCATCTGATTGCTTTTTTCATGCAACAACAGCAGAGTTCAGTAGTTACAACAGAGACCACATGACCTGCAAAGCTTAAAATATCTACTATCTAATGGTCTTTCACAAAAGTCAGCCAACCACTAACCTGAACAATATTGTCTTCCAATTGATGTACACAGTATCTCTCCTTTTATTTAGATCTCTTGCAACTTCTTCCAACAATGTTTTATGTCTTTCAGTGTATAGACCTTGAATTTCTTTTGTTAAATTTATTCGTAAATATTTTATTCATTGTCAGATCGCTTGTTGCCAATTCAATTCGTTTTTGTATACCGATCTTATATCAACCAACTTTGCTAAACTTACTTATTCTAGTTATTTTATTGCTTTCTGCTCTTATTTTTATTATTTTTTCTTTCTAGTTACTTTGCTTTTTTTTTCTAGCTTCTTAAATTGGTGCTTAGGTCAATAATTTTAGACTTTCCTTTCTAGTAAAAATTTTAAAGCTGTAAGTTTATCTCTAAACACTGCCTTAGCTGTCTGTATTCCACAAATTTCAATATGTTACATAACCATTATCACTCACTTCAAAATGTTTTCTAATTTCTTTGACATGCAGATTATTTACAAGCGTTCTGTTTAATTTAGAAATACTTGGGGGTATTCCTAGATATCTTAGTATTACTGATTATTAATCTAATTCCTTTGTGATCAGAGATCATACTCTGCATGGCTTCAATCCTTTTAAATATATTAAGATTAGGAATGGATAAGTCAACTTCACCTTATTACTCTTCAAAAGAAGTGATCATTTTCACAAGTCAAATAAGGTATTGGGTTACTTCTCATAATCCACAGTTCTCAAAAGTTAACTCACAGCTGAAGAATAGAGTTCAAATTCTTGCTCAGGAAGGAAGGAATGCCAGCCATCTTCTATCACTTCAAACATAGGACGGTAAAAGAAAGGGTACATCAGAGTGATGGAGTCCAGAGTAGACAATGCCTGGGGGCAAAAAGAAAAGAAAGACAAAAAAGAAACATCCACAACTGGAAACATATTCTAACTGACAAATTAGTATTAAGCAAACATGGTCTAATAATGATGGGCACCCAGAATGTTTCTCTAACATTGTGTTTATCACCAGATACAATTTTAGTCTTACTGAAGCTGATTTCTTTGCTTCTAGTATCTAACAAAGGCATCTGCCACATAACACACACTCAAAAGTGTTGACGGGATGAAAAAAAGAACAAAAAAATGTGCATACCAATTCTAGAAGAAAAATGAAATAACACCTCGACATCAATTAATAAAGCTTAATAAAAAGGTCTAAGTATTTCTGGGGATCAGTTTTTGGCTAGTCAGTAAGGTCTTGGCTCAAAATCCAGTTATTACCTAAATAAACTTATGTAAATTATTTGAAATCAGGGTGGGTTAGTAACTGTAAAAAAGGATGATACAGCCTAGAGGTCTACAGTCAGATGGGAATGAGAATGCCGGACTGAAATTCCAAATCCTAGCAGTGCAGTAGGAAAGTCATGTAACCACTCTATGCCTCAGTTTCCTCAACTGTAAAATGGGGGAAATAACATACCTACTTCATAGTGTTGTTGAAGCATTAAGAGAGATAATGTGTGTAAAAGGCTTAGAACAGTGTCTGGCACATAATAAAATCTAAAGTAATTCCCACTTTTATTCTGAGACAGAGTTTTGCTCTTGTCACCCAGGCTAGAATGGCGCGATCTCGGCTCACTGCAGCCTCCGCCTCCCGGGTTCAAGTGATTCTCCTTCCTCAGCCTCCTGAGTAGCTGGGATTACAGGTGCCTGCCACCACACCCAGCTAATTTTTTTGTATTTTTAGTAGAGATGGGGTTTCACCATGTTGGCCAGGCCAGACTTGAACTCCTGACCTCAGGTGATCTGCCTGCCTCAGCCTCTCAAAGTATTGGGATTACATGTGTGAGCCACCGCACCTGGCCAATTTCAGCTATGACATGCTCTACATAGGTAGAAATTCCATCAATGTTCATTTCCTCTCTTCCTAGACTGGTATATGCCATTTGGTCATGTATCATCATATTTTCATGCTGCAGGGATCCATTCTCAAATGGGGGCAATAACTCTATCAGCCCCAAATGGGCCTATATTTACCTGGAGCACTTGAATCCTGGAAAACAGACATAGGAAAACCTGAGTAGATGGGAGGAACAGAGAGAAGGAAAGTCTCTATCACTAGGCAGATTCATCCTTCTCACAGGGGGATTATGGAAAAAAGTATTTCTATACTGGATGGCGGGGGGGGGGTGCAGCGGGGAAAGGATACCATATCAATTAGCATAATTCAAACTGCAGGAATGATGGAGACATTCACCTGGACAGGAGGAGAAGGCCCAACAGCAATGCTCAGAATGCACTTATCTCCCTCCAGGTCAGAGGAAGATCAGGCATGCAAAAGGATAGGCCCATGACTATTCAATAGTAGACCGGACATACAGCTCAGCAGTGTAGCAAAAACATCTCCATCCAAAGTTATTTTTCTATCCATCTATAAATCATGAAACCTTCTCTCCTACCTCATAAAACAAAATATAGAGAAGCATGGCTGTATAATCCATTATCCATATAAATATATATATATATATTTTTCCTACATCTATACTGTCTTTGGCTGCCAATCACACCAAACAGAAGCAGAACAGCCAGCGTCCATGTCTGACCTAACTCAGGGCTGCCGTCAATCAGAACCACCATTATTTTAAATGCAAGTCAGCAACCACTCTCACAGGCAATAAGCACTCATATTTCATCTTGAGATCTTATGTCACTAGAAAGAGGTCTTTTCCTTTAAACACATTAATGCTGAGAGAACTGAAAACATTTCACTTCCAAAGGCAGGTGAAACACTGAAAAAAAGCTTCACTAACTTATTGCTACAATTTAGATAACTGAGCACTTGCCAGCTATTCTTCCAATGGGATTCTACGTGAGGCAGCAGAATATATTTGAGTATACGGACTCCTAATTACAAAGGACAGCTCAGCTATGCTATATGAAAAATTCAATTACTACTCACAAATCGTGTCCAGATGTATTCGGGGAAGGGTGGAGGGCTAGCAGGAGGGATTCTGTGCCAGGAAAAGGATAGAGGACAGGTTCACTATGTTAATCACTACGCTGTAAGAACATTTAACAGAGCATTCATTTTCTGAGGTCAAATGAGCTCATAATTTACGGCTTCTTTTCAGTCCTAAGGGCTTTTATATAATGAGTCAGTTTCTAAAGAGTTTTAAAATATATACAGCTACTTAAACAACTGATCAGCGTCAGCAAGTGGGTAGCACACTTCCCCTTTTCCTTCACCACTGTGCCTCACCACAGGCAGCATCTCTGACACCAACCAGCCAGTCATCTTACAGATCAATTCTCACAAAGGAATAAGAAAAACGAAGACTGGTCAGTGAAAATCCAATCTCCTAACTGAAAAAAAAAAAAAACCACAAAACCCACAAACACATACATGCTCAATGGAAGTGGGTAATGTTCCTCTGCCCAAATGCCCAAATAGTGGGACATTATTTCAATTTAACAGTCTATAAACTACATGCATTCTCATTCAATTTAACAAATTACATCAAATCAACATCATGCATTACTTCCAAATGACAGATGTGTAAGACAAACAGTTCAGTTCATCTTCTCATTTCCTTAAGTAAAATTCAACAAAGGCAGGAAGAAATGTGTTATGTACCATTTACTTAGCACTATAACAGTTTTTCCTCTATTTCTCTATTCCTGTTTTAAAAATCACTAAAATCCTACTTCTAGATTTTTAAGACTTTCTACCCATTTTTAATAGCTAAGCTGATAGCATTTTTTGGACACAAAGTCCAGATTAGTTACACATACACGGAAAGAAAAAATCAACGTTCCTATAGTAGTCTAGAAAGTACTATAAACCTAAGATTAACTGATATAATTTAGTGGCAATAGTTTAAAATAAGGCAATTTAAAATTTCAGTGTACATCAAAATAGTTGGTTAGAATGGAAAGAAAACAGTATGAGCTCTTCCATTTAAACTAACCAAGTAAAATTTCTATTATTTGTAATCTGAACCAATATTCAATATTATTTATATAAATAAAAAGCAAACACACCCTGTCTTAAGCTAATTGATACGTGAAAATTCAGATTACTAAAAACAAACAAAAAACTATAATCACTGGTGACAGTTACTTGCTTTAGAAAAGAAATAACTTTTTAAAAGTCTCACCACATGCATCCATAACAATGGAATATTACTCAGCCTTAAAAAGTCAGAATTTACAACACAGATGAACTGTGAGGATATTATGCTAAGTGAAAAAAACCAGTCACAAAAAGACAAATACTATGTACTATGATTCTACTTATATGAGATACCTAAAGTAGTCAAATTCAGAGAAACAGAAAGTAGAATGGGGGTTCTCAGGAGCTGGAGAGAGGGGAAAATGGGGTGTTGTTTAACACAGAGTTTCGATCTTGCAAGATGAAAAAGTCCTGGAGATCTGCTGCACAACAATGTGAATAAAGTTTTATACCCTACTAAACTGTACACTTAAAAACGGTTAAGTGTTTTCTAACCACAATTTTTTTAAAAAAGCATCACCATAAAATTATAGTAAGTAATGACAGAGGACCCTCAAATGGTAGCTGCTATTTACCAAGTATTATACTAACCATTCTACACACATCAACTAATAAAATTCTTACAACAGCCCTAAAAGATAGGTACTATTATCCTTGTTTTATAAAACGTAGAAAACAAATCAGAGAGATGTTAAGTACTTTACCAATGGTCACAAGCTAGCATGTGGTAAAATCAAGAATCAAACTGTGCTATCGTTCAATAATGTACTAATACATGTAATAATGTGTATATATATATGTAATAATATGGTACAATAATATTCTAATTTATTAATATTTCTATTCAAATTTTTAGAACTGTATTTATTACAAAAGATATACTAGTATATTCAAGAAGAAACAATTCCACTTCTAGCTGCTAACCTGGTAGAGAAGTGAACAGTGCACTGGTTAACTCACTAGTGGTTTGCAGTGTCTCTAAGGAACTCTGTAGAGGGCAGATGGGAATAGTCAAGTCAATGAGGGCTTCTAGGTCCCCCCAGTCCCTACCTACTCACTGTAATGTGACTAAAAGCAATTCTAACTGTATCTATTTTATTGGTTTACAATTCCATATAAGATTTTACTTGAACAAACCTCAAGTAAAGGAAAGAAAAAGAAGTTTACAGTCTTTGGCACAGAGCTTTGTATAGTGAACATAAAATATCAAGCAAAACTTTAAAATTTCTCCCAAGAACCTCTTTACTAAATCTTCTAATGGTTTCCCCAAATAAGAACTCATACACTCAAGTGAAACAGTATCTGTTATTTAACCAATATGAACTCATGGAAATTCCACAAAGCCATTGGAAATGGAATTCCAAGCAACTCATGGAATTGAGCTACTCATATAACGTGAGTAACACCAGACACTGCTGGAAGTCAAGAAAGTTCCATTACACTCATATGACGATGAACCAGGGTGAGGCTTTTCCTATCAGTCTTCAGTATTTGAGTCAGAGAACATGACTAAATTATCTAATGAAGAAATGGAAGAGCTACACTGAGTCATAATATAAAATTATGTTTCATTAGATTTTGCTTCCAAAATACTTACCTCAATGGAACTGGCTATATTCAAGCATTCCTCCATTCCAGGAATATCCAACTGAATAATTCGAAAATCTTTACATTTTATGATGATGGTACCCAGTGATCCTACAAATCTGTAAGAAATTGCAAATCATGTTTAGGAACACATATATTACTAACTTTAAATATATTATTATTTCTTTGAAAAGAGAATATAGTTGTAGTTACCATCTATATTAACTTTCTTCTCCTCAGTCTAATTAAGGAAGAAGCAAGGCTGCATCATTAAAATGTGAGCCATACATTACTTACAATATATGTCTTTTTTAAATTTCAAATATATAAAGTAATTCACATTAAGCTAACTGTTCTGATGGAGATTATTTGGGGCCTTATTTCAAAGAATAGGAAAAAGATCTGTAACTAATGTGTTAAGTGTTTGTAGAGAGATATTTCTGGAGCATAGGAAAACAGTTCACTTCAGATTTCCCTTACTTCCAAGTGATACATATTATGTATCAATTTATAAAAAGCAAAAGGGCCGGGTGCCGTGGCTCACGTCTGTAATCCCAGCACTTCAGGAAGCCAAGGCGGGTGGATCACGAGGTCAGGAGATCAAGACCATCCTGGCTAACACAGTGAAATTCTGTCTCTGCTAAAAATACAAAAAATTAGCTGGGCGTGGTGGCATGCAGCTACTCAGGAGGCTCAGGCAAGAGAATCGCTTGAACCCGGGAGGCAGAGGTTGCAGTGAGCCGAGTCTGAGCCACTGCACTCCAGCCTAGGTGACAGAGTTGAGACTCTGTCTCAAAAAAAAAAAAAAAAAAGTGAAAGTATTTGACAAAATCTAACATCCATTTCTGATTTAAAAACATGAAAAACCAAAAATTTCTCAGCAAATTTGAAACAGAAGGGAACTTCCTCAACCTGATAAGGGCATTTACAAAAAACCCCACAAAAAAACCCCTAAATCTAATAGCACACTTAACGGTGAAGGATTGAATTATTTCTCTCTAAAATCATGAATAACACAAAGATGTTCACTGTCACCACTTCTAGTCAACATTGCACTCAAGGTTATAACTAGTGCAGTAAGGTAAAAAGAATAAAAAAGGATTAAAAAAGAAGTAAAACTACCTTTATTTGCAGATGACGATTGTGTAAATGTACCCAGAATTTTCTTTTTATTGTCAATTATTCCCCAAATTCATCCAGTGATACAACATAATTCCAAACAAAATCACAGCAGACTTTAATGTAGAAACTGAAAAGGTGATTCTAAAATTCATATGGAAATGCAAATGTCTTCAAATAGCCAAAACAACTTTGAATAAGAACAAAGTGGTATGGCTAACACTACACAATTTCAAGGCTTACTATAAAGCTACAGTAATTAAGACAGTGTGAAAATGACATGATGATAACAGATCAACTGAACAGAAAAAAAGAGTCCAGAAATAGATCCACTTACACGTGAACAGAGATACGAAGACAATTCAATTGAAGACAGGTCAGTCTTTTCAACAAATGGTGCTGGCACAACTGGATAGCTTTTTTTTTTTTTAAAGAATTTGAATCTATAATCATGAACCATATACAAAAACTAACTCAAAATGGGACCTTTTACCTAAATGTAAAACCCAAAGCTATAAAACTGCTAGAAGAAAACATGAGAGAAAATATTTGTGACCTTAGGTGAGGCAATGGTTTCTTAGATAAGACACTAAAATCCCAATCTATAAAAGAACAAACTGACAAATTGGACATGTTCAAAATGTAAAACGTCTGCTCTTTGAAACACAGGGTTAAAGAGCATGAAAAGGTAAGCCACGGGGCATTCCTGTAGGCTATTGAGGACTTCATCAACAGGCTACACTAAATTTACTGTTAAAATGTTTCTTTCTTCAACAATAAATTAACCTTACCTTACTGTAACTTTTTTACTTTATAAACTTTTTAATCTCTAACGTTTTACCTCTTTTGTAATAACACTAAGCTGAAAATACAACACACCATACAGCTGTACAAAAATATTTTCCTTCTTTATATCCTCATTCTATAAGCTTTTTCCAATTAAAAAATTTTTGTTGGTAAACTTTCTTGTTAAAACCTAAGACACAAACACACACATTAGCCTAGGCCTACACAGGGTTGGGATCATCAATGTCACTGTCTTCCATCTCCACATCTTGCCCCACTGGAAGGTCTTCAGGGGAAATATTAATAACATACATGAACCTGTCATTTCCTGTGATGATAATGCCTTCTTCTGGATAATTCTTGAAGGACTTGCCTGAGGCTGTTTTACAGTTAACATTCTTTTTAGAAGTATAAGCAGTATACTCTAAAATAACAATAACAAGTATACTATAGTAAATACATAAACCAGTAACAAAGTCGTTTTATGATCGTTTATAAATATTATGTGATGTATGCAATGGTATGTGCTACATTGTTGTGTAACTGGCAGCCCAGGTTTGTTGTTTATACTGGCATCACCACAAACACAACGTCACTGGGCAAGAGAAACTTTTCAGGTCCATTATAATCTTATGGGACTACCATCATATATATAATAAATCACATGACTGTGTATGAATATACAAACATACACTCTCAAAACGCAGTAAGAAAGCAAATAATCCATTACAAATGGGAAAACTATATGGATGGTCACTTAGCAAAAAAAAGACATATGGATGGCAAATAAGCATATGAAAAGATGCCCTACACCACTAGTCATAAGGGAAATGCAAATTTAAGCCACAGTAAGATACCACTTAACATCTATTGGAATTGCCAAAATTTAAAAGACAGACCATAGCAAATGCTGACAAGAATGTGGAGGAAATAGAACTCTCACACACTGCTCATAGGTATGTAGAACTGTAGGTACAAGCACTTTGGAAAACAGTTGGGGCAGCTTCTTAAAAAGTAAAACACATACCTACATCTGATCCAGCCATTCCACTGGCAAGTAAATGGCTTGCCACCCAAGAGAAAAGAAACCACATGTTCATTCAAAGACTTGCATAAGAATATTAAAAACAACTTTATTTAATAGCCTCAAATTGGAAACCCACATTTCCATCACCAGGTGAATAAATGAACTATGGAATACTGCAAAATGGACACTTAGTACTCAGCAATAAAAAGAATGAACTATTGATATATACAACATGGACAAATCTCAAAAGAGAGTACTGCATGATTTATGATATACTGACATAAATTTCTAGATAATGCAAACTCATCTGTGACTACTTGGAAAAGAAAAGAAGGAAGGGATTACGAAAGGGCACCACAAAACTTATGGGGGTGATAAATTCATTATCTTGAACTTATGGTGACAGTTTCAGGGTGTGTACATATATCAACACACATCAAAGTTTACACTTCAAATATATATAGTGTGTAATACGTCGACTGTACCTCAATAAAACTGTTTTAAAAATCACTGTCATTCTGCTTCAGCTGGAAGTGAAAGACACACAGCAACCAAACTGTCAGTAAAAAAACAAAAAAAATGTACAAGACATACGGTTATTCTCTTGTAAATTTCCATATCATCTATGCTTGTCATACTAACTCATTTTGTAAGGTGAATTTTGTTTTGTTAGTCTGGCAGGTTTTATGTAGTTGCTATAAAGTATAATGAATGACTAGAGGAGTTAAAAATAATTGTTACTTTATGTCAGAATAAATATGCTATAAACTATTAAGGTATTCTCCATTCATTTATTCAATGTTTCTAGTCAGTTACTTATAGAACAGTGGGCCAAGAAAAATATGTTTTAAAAACATAAGAGCTCCACAAAACTCCTATGATTCACATCAATTGTCAGATTCAGTTCTATTTTATCATTTTGTCCTTATTGTCCCATCCATGCCCTGTATACATCCCTATCACAGCATTTAAAATACTTTATTAAACTTTCTAGTTTATATGTTTATTTCTTATAATGGTCTTAGTTTTTTCAGGTAGAAGGCATGTTTGATTAATTTCTATATCCTCAGCTCCTAGTACAGCACCTAGCATATACACCATCTTAAAGTTCCACTAAGGGACTTAAAGGAAGATCTGAATAAATAATGTAACATTGTTCATGGATGTCAAGATGTCAATTTGACTCCAATTAATCTATAAATCCAAAACAATTCATTTTTTTAAAATCCTATGAAAATTGTATAAAGTCTGTGGTCTAGTTAATAGTACTGCACCAATGTCAATGTCCTAATTTTGTCCTCATTTTGATTACACTACAGTTATAAAACAGGTCAACATTAGGGGAAGCTGAGTGGACGATTCTAAAACCTCTATGTGCAATTTTTGCAACTGCCTTTGAGTCTTCAATTATTATTAAAGACTTTTAAAAATCCCATGAACATAGCAAGTTTTCCAAAATTGCATGGAAACATAAAGGTCGAAACATAGTTGTCAACTTTAAAAAAAAAAAAAAAAAACGAAAGCGGGGCAACTAGCACTATCCGATTTTTGGACACATCACAAAGCCACAGAAGGAAAGAGAATATGATGATGACAAAAGAGCAGATTAATGAACCAATGGATTATGACAGAGAGCTCAGAAACAGACCCGTATATATAGGATAACTTGACATAAACCAGCCAAGGTTGGGTTGTCACGTGATGGGATTAAGAAAACTGGCTTGCTCTATGGAGAAAAATAGGTTCTTATCACACTTGAAACAAAGATAGAATCCAAATTAAAGACCTAAAAATGAACAGTAAAACTATGAAGCTATTATGGAAGAAAATGTAGGAGAACATCCTGGTGATTTGGGGACAGGGAAGGAGTTCTTAAGACAAGCCACACACCATAAAGCAAAACATTGGCAAGTTCTGCATTAAAAGTAAAGATTTCTGTTCAACAAAGGGCACCACAGAAAAAAACAACAGATGGGTGACACACTAGAAAACATTCGTAATGCCTAAATGGAGAATGAACACCCACAGAGTATACAAGGTACCCATGCAAATCAACATGAGAAGGACAATAAACCCAATGTTTAAAAGTAGACCACAGAAATTAGGCAATTCACAAAAAGGAAAAAAAAAAATTTTAAGTATACTGCTCACAAGCATATACAAAGATAATTAAACACTAATAATTAATGAAATTCAAATTAAAACAAAGCAATAACTATTTCACAATCTTCAGACTGGAAAAATTAGAAAGACAATACCAAATGTTGGTAAGAAAGTGGAGACGAGGTACCCTCTCCTGCACCATCATGGGAAGGCAATGTGCAATTGTCATCCTGGAAAGCAATTAGTTTGTGAAATGAGATACGCACCTACTTTATGGCGCCATCCCATCCTAGGGGCAGTCTCAGAGCAATTATGGCACAAGACTATATAAAGGGACATGAATGAGTATGTTTACCAGAGTTGTTTGTGATAGCAGGGAGTTGGAAGTTACCTAAAAGGTCTGTTAAGGAAGCTCTTTTAGATACTTTGGAATCCTATGCTGTCAGAAGCAGTGAAATGGTTGTACACACAGCAATATGAAGAGATCTTGAAACAGTATTGTGTCACCATATTAAGAAGCAGAACAAGATCTACAACATAATCCCAGTTAGGCAAATTAAACTCACACATGCATGTGTGCGCACACCCATACACAATAGTGCTATCTATTTTATAGCAACAACTAACGTGGTTGCCTACAGGGATTGTGGATGAGGCAGGAAACGGGAGTGAAAATTAGGGAGGAAGAAAATCAACAACAGAGGAAACCTTTTAAGGAATCAATCATGAAAATGATGAGTCATCAACTGAGTAGTAGTAACTCAATTTTCTGAGGTCCATTAAAAAAAAAACCAGGTATAACTGTAAAACTTGTATACAACCTTGCATGTTGAAAGGATCAAATAAAATGATGTAAGCGATATATATGAAAGTATTCCACAGACTTGTGAAGCATTATTTAAACTTAAGTTTCTACGAGGTTAAGTAGTTTGCCCAAAGGCACTTGTCTAGTAAGAGGCAGAACTGAAGGAGTTACCCTTAATGACTTTCTCACCTCATTTACAATTCACCAGCAAGGCAAGGCAGCTCCACTTTCAAAAACACATCCCAAATCAGATTCCTTGTGACTACACTACTGTTTTTTGTTTGTTTGTTTGTTTGTTTTGAGACAGAGACTCACTCTGTCACCCCAGGGTGGAGTTCAGTGGTGCAATCTCAGTTTACTGCAACCTCGGCCTCCCAGGGTGAAGTGATTCTCCTGCCTCAGCCTCCTGAGTAGCTGGGATCAGAGACATGCACCACCAAACCCAGCTATTTTTTGTATTTTCAGTAGAGATGAGGTTTCACCATACTGGCCAGGCTGTGTCGAACTCCTGACCTCAGGTGATCTGCCCGCCTCGGCCTCCCAGAGTGCTGGGATTACAGGCGTGAGCCACCGTGCCCGGCCTACCATCATCTTTTATGTGAACTACTCTACTCTCCAAGCTGGGCCTGCTGCTTCCAGTCTTGCCCCCCTACAGTTTATTTTCTGCCAGCAGCCAGAATTGTCTTCTGAAACATCTATCAGCTGCTGCTTCCTAGCTTTCACCTCTCCAAGGGCTCCCA
The DNA here is from genome assembly GCF_000001405.40 of Homo sapiens. Lineage (NCBI taxonomy): Eukaryota > Metazoa > Chordata > Mammalia > Primates > Hominidae > Homo > Homo sapiens. Next base: position 2,058,117 of record NW_018654717.1, read on the forward strand.
TGAAAACCATTACTGTGGCCTGCAGGCCCTCCACGGTCTGACCACTGCTTATCCCTCCAGCCAGTCTCTACCATCAACTTCCTGTACTCTCTGTTCCCTGCCCTGCAGCCACACTGGCCTCTTCGCTCTTCTCTGCACATGCCAAGCATGTTCCCCATCTCAAGTCTTTGTATTCGCTGTTCCCTCTGGCTGCAATGCTCTTCCCCCAGACACTCACAGTTCTAGCTTCCTCATTTCATTCCGGTCTGTAGTCAGATGTCACCTGCCTTCTCTGAAATCCTTTCTAAGGAAACTGCCTCCCAGTGCTCTTTATCCTCTCATCTTCCGTTACTTTCCTTCCTGGCCCTTATTACCTGACATCATTATATATATATTATATATATATAAATATATTATATATTTATGTATATATATTATATATACATATTATAATATATATTATATGCTATATTATACTATATTATAATATATAATTATTATAATATAATTATTATTATTATATATTATAATTATTAATATATTATATATAATAATTACATGTATTAGGTGAATAGGTGAATAAATAATTATTCACCTATTCGCTGAATAATTAGGTGAATATTTAGGTGAATAATTATTTAATATAATTAGGTGAATAATTATATATATTATATAGGTGAAATATAATATATATTATATAATACGTATTATATAATATATATTATATATCATACGTATTATATACTATGTATTATATGTAATATATATTATATAATACATATATAATACATAGTATATAATACGTATGATATATAACACATATTATATAATATATAATACATATTATGTTATATATAATACGTATTATATATGTTATATATTATAATATAATATATAACATATATAATAAAATATATAATGTTATATATTATATATTATATGTATTATATAATATGTATTATATATAATATATAATAAATATATAATAAATAAATAATAAATATATAAGAAAATAATATATAATATATAATATATATTATAATATATATAATATATAATAAACATAATAAATATAAATATATCTAATAAATATATATATTTATTTCTGGACTTGCTTGATTGTCCATCTCCCTGGCCAGTACCTAAGCATCTTGTCTTAGTCACCACTGCAGCCGCACAGCTCAGACAATGCACGTGGAAAACAGGTGGATGTAAAGATTTCTTGAAAGCAGCAATTTAACAAACTCTGATCTGATGCCTCCCCTATGCTCTTTCACTACACCACGCTGCTTCCCAGGAAAAGGATAAATGTGTGTACAGTTCGTCATTCTCTCCTAACAGATTCAAAGGTCCATGGCTCATCTGCTTCTTCTTCATGTACTACAAAGCCCAGCACCTTGTAAATGCAAGGTAAAAAGGAGGAAACAAATGAGCGCAAAGTAACCACCATAAAAGGTAAATAAGAAAGGAAAGGTAGTTGATGGTCATGGAGAAACTACTCAGTTGTATTCAACGGCATCTGACCATTCAGCGGTCAATCCTTCTTTTGTTTCCTACGCGTCTATATGCCCAAGCCACAGTTAGACGTTTCGAAGGAGATAAAAATGAATTCCAGTTGTGGAATTAACAGAAGAATTTGTGAAGGAGGTAGCGGTCGAAATGGTTAAACTGAATACTCATAGACAGGTAACAGGCTCATTGCCTGTGAACTCCTGAAAGACAAGAACTGTAACATATTTTATTTACCTTGGTGTCTTAAATGCCTAACAAAACGTCCAGAACATAAAGGCATTTGGCAAATGTTAAACAAACTTGGGAGAGGCAAGGCATTCCAGCAGAAGGAAGAAGTCAATAAAATACACAGATGACAGAATACAGGACATATACCAGCACCAGTAAATAGTGAGGACTGGCTGGTAAAAAGCGTTCATGAAAGCAAGTGCAAGAAAGGCTCGTTAAAAGAAATGGCAAGAAATAAAGTGAGAAAGTAGGATAGGGCCGAGACACAGAATGCCATGAATGACTGAGGGGTTTAGATTTTCAATGAGAGACCACTGAAGACTTTTTTTTTTTTTTTTTTTTTTTTTTGAGATGGAGTTTTGCTCTTGTTGCAAAGGAAGGAGTGCAGTGGCCCGATCTCGGCTCACTGCAACCTCTGCTTCCAAGGTTCAAGCGATTTTTCCGCCTCAGCCTCCTGAGTAACTGGGATTACAGGCACCTGCCACTATGCCCGGTTAATTTTTTGTATTTTTAGTAGAGACGGGCTTTCATCATGTTGGTCAGGCTGGTCTCAAACTCCTAACCTCAGGTGATCCGCTCACCTTGGCCTCCCAAAGTGCTGGGATTACAGGCGTGAGCCACCGTGCCGGGCCCACTGAAGACTTTATACAGCAAAAGGTGGCTTGAGGAGACTAATAAGAGCCCCCTGCTCATATCAATCAATCAATCTACCATGGCTTCACCCAAACTGCCTGCAATTCTACCATTAGAAATTTTTATTTTAGGCCAGGCGCAGTGGCTCACGCCTGTAATCCCAGAACTGTGGGAGGCCTAGGCGGGAGGATTGCGAGGTCAGGAGTTCAAGACCAGCCTGGTCAATATGGTGAAACCCCATCTCTACTAAAAAATACAAAAATTAGCCGGGTGTGGTGGCGCGTGCCTGTAATCCCAGCTACTCGGGAGGCTGAGACAGAAGAATCGCTAGAACCTGGGAGGTGGAGGTTACAGTGAGCCGAGATTGGCCACCGCACTCCAGCCTGGGCAATACAGTGAGATTTCGTCTCAAAAAAAAAAAAAAAAAAAAAAAAGAAAGAAAGAAAGAGATTATTATTTTAAGGCATATCCTCTGTACGAATCTTCCTAATATCCAAATTATCCTGTGAGGCAATAGAAAATGTTGTCGTCATTCATTTATACTTCTGTGTAAAACGGATAATCAGTTTGCCCTCTCCTGGCTAGCGAGTAGCCACTAAGGAGATGGGAATTTTGAATGCAGATGAAAGTTTAACTTTTTGACTTCGAGGCACTGCCTTGGAAAGATAAAGTCTGGAGTACAAAAAGAAAAAAGAGGTTAACTGGTCCATGCCTTTCCTTGAGAGCCAACCCTGTTCTTTCAGCAAGCAGAATTGAGTAAAGATGAAGAGAAGACATCAGAATCTCCCTTAGTGAGAATTAAATTTTGATGACCCAGAAGGTAAGAAATAATATGATACACTGAACATTTTTCAGAAATTAAAAAAATGGTTCTGTAGCATGTAGACACTCATAACTTTATAATCTGTTTAGTTTTCCTCAGAAATGGTAAAGACTTTACCTAAATCACATCCAATCACTTCATGAACGGTGACTGACAATACCAATTCAAGGAATACGATGGGGCAAGAAGAAGAAGAAATTTATAAAGACAATGCCGAAAATCCACCCAAATGGTGTTACGAACCAGAAATGATCATCAGGATGGTACCAGCCACACGATAACCCTGAGAACTCCATCCAGGTTTAATGGAAACCGGGTCCTCCATCTGGACGGGTTTCAGCTTGGTAAATCCTGATTCTAGGCCACAGAGGGCTCATCTTGCCGGCTAGCTGGGCGGCAGGCTGCGCGGAAAACGCCAGGAAGTATTTCCCGGGGCGCCCACAAGGGACCCCCGGCTCCCTGCGGAGCTGGGGTGGGGCGGGCACTCACCGCTTGTCGATGGCGTCGATGTTTGAATGGAGGAGCCACAGCTCCTCCGTATTGTCCTGCCGGGAGGACAGGATCAAGTGGTGGCCCGTCAGGCACAGGGTGCCCTCGACAGCCGGGTAGAAAGGCCGGTGCAGCACCACATTGTCCACCCGCGGGGTCTTAATCAGCTCCGCAAACTCCATGCTCCCCCGCGGCCGGAGCCAGGGAACCGAGCCCGGTAGGTGCGAGGCGGTTACCCCGCCGCAGGGAAGTAGCGGAAACACCCGGCGCGGGGCTGGCCCGTGGGGCGGGGCGGGCCGGGCGGTGAGGCTGGGCCCGCCCCAGGCTGGGTGGGCGCGGCGAGGCCTACAGCCGCCGGCACCGGCCGCGGGGAGACAGGGGCTGGGGCTGGACGAGGCCCAAGCGCCTCTCCCGCACCGCGCGGTTCACCAGGCCTAGGACTCGGCCACAGAGAACCCCTCTCCACAGGCCCAAGGACCGCCGCTGCCGTTGGGCTCCGGGTCCCGCGTTGGCAAGCGGAGGGCAGTAGGAGAAAGCCGCCTCAGAATCCGCTTCCACGCCCTGGCCGCTAGGGACTCCTAGCGGAAGTGGCTACTCGCTGCTGGAGCCCACAACAACTCCGGGCGGAAGCAGCAGGTCTCGAAACTCGGAAGACGCGGAAGTCGCAGCCGGAAGTTGGTCCTCGCTAGGTCCTCTGGAAATGCCTCCGGAAACACAGCCAGACCAGAAGATGTGTGTTCCTACGAGAAAAAAAGCTTGTCTTTGCCTTCACGCCCTCCCGCTGCCTTTCTTAACCACCTACAAATATTCCTTATCAGAAGAGGTCCGGGAAGAGGGAGGAGGTCCCTGTCTTGCCTTCCTCCGCTTGAGTAGTATCCCCTCCAGAAGCTCTTCAGAGCGTGGGGCTGCTGTAAATTGTGATAATTGTTATGCATTAGCCCTGAAGACATGGCAAGTAGGGGATGGAGGCGGTGACTGTGACCTTACGGAATCCTCCAGGGGTCAGGGAGGGACACAGGGCCACTCCACAGGCTCTCCGAGAGCGCCGCGCCACGAGGTGTAACCTGGAGCAAGAAAGAGGAAAAACAGGAATACCTGTGAGAGGAACCCAAGTACATGCAGTGCACAGAAGAGCAAGTCACTTGACTTGCTGGCGGCCACCCCGTTAATCTGCAGCAGAGCCTGGACTTCAGTCTGCATCTGTGAAACCCAGCGCATGGGTGCGTTGGTCACCACCGCACAGCCTCCCCGTCAGACACCCACGTTTCGCCAAAAATTTATTCAAATAATTACTCCTTTGCTTGTTCCTTTCCCACCGCCCACTTCTGACATTTTTATTCAAAAGTAGGAAATAGAAGAGAAATATGTTTGAGTGCTGGTCTGCTGTGACTTCATTGACCTTTTAAATCCTCACCATCTAGTACCTAAGCACAGCGAGTTGGACAAACTCTCACAGTATTCACAAAGTAAATTGCCACAACCTCATCAGCTCATCCAACACTTGTCCATGCTTTTGATTTTGTCCTTCTTAAAATGTACCCTTCTTAAAATAAACCACTTTATAGACTTGTTTTAAGTGAGATACGTAAATGCCTACCAACTTTCCTTGGTGTCTTTGTTGCATAGTTACTGTAGACTGAATAATAGTTGCCATTTTTTATATTTTTGCAGTTTAATTGCTTTCGTCCAAATAGATGGAATCACTTCCTTTGTAATATATGAAGTGTTTTAATTCATTTTTATAACTAGCATTCCTGACAGCACAGGTATCCACCCCCTGAAGTTCCCATTCTATAGAACAAAATAGCAAATAAGTATTTTTTTTTTGTTCCATAATGGACACCCAGTATACACCCAGTATACACAGGGACACCGCATACAGGGAATCAGCTTTATTTTACAACAGAGCTTCACTTTACCCCTCTGGCAATTAATAGATTCTGGGTATTTATTAAGAACTTTAAATTTAATGCAAAGACTGTTAAATACCACCAGCTCAGCTCTGGCAAAGGACTGTTGGCTTTGTTTATCTCCTATCTTCATCCAGATACACTGCCATCCCTATCCCAGCCCGATCTTGGGTCCTTGAAAAAAATGACCTATCATTCCAACTACCAGGGAGGAACTCCCTTTGAATTAATGAATCTGGATGACTTATAAGACTTCAAAAGTATGGAAATGACAAAGGTTAAAATGACAGGATGAGCAGTAAACCCTCTCCAGTCCAATCAGAGCAACCTTTTTGAGGGTGCATTCCCACAGAAACCCATTAGGGGCCCAACATCAACATACACAGAGCTAAAATTCCAGATGCCACTTTGTATTGAAAGAAGCCAAAATTCTGTTCAGGTCGTGGGAACTTGAAGTCTTCAATGCAACCACACCCCAGAAATTAACCCTCACACAATCATGTAAGCTATGCAATTAACCAAACTGCATCGTTTAGAAAACCTGTATGCTTTTCATGGAAACCATCCCTAGTTAAGGGCACTTTAAAGGATGCACAGTCTAAGTACTGTGAAGGTGGGCCCACTAGCTGGGTTGACATTTTCGCTTGGCCACTTTAGTAGGAAACTTAACCACTTGGGAAAGTGAAAACAACAAGCTAACCCACATGTTCACCATGGAAAACAATTTTTGTCTTGAAAAACAAGGAACCTTTTCCCTGTGCAGCACCAGTTCCTACTGTGTTTACCAGCCAATTGGACTGGAACCTGTACACTTGGTTTTTAGCCTCCGAAATCAATATAGCTCCCGGCCGGGCGCAGTTTCTCACGCCTATAATCCCAGCACTTTGGGAGGCCGAGGCAGGCGGATCACCTGAGGTCAGGAGTTCGAGACCAGCCTGGCCAACATGCTGAAACCCTGTTTCTACTAAAAATACAAAAAATTAGCCGGGTATGGTGGCGCACACCTGTAATCCCAGCTACTCTGGAGACTGAGACAGGAGAATCACTTGAACCCTGGAGACAGAGGTTGCAGTGAGCCAAGACTGAGCCACTGTGCTCCAGCCTGGGTGACAGAGGGAGACTGTCTCAAAACAAACAAACTATATATATATGTGTATATATATATATATATTTAGAGAGAGAGAGGGAGAGCTCTCAACAACCAATCCCTCATTATACCTTTAACTGCAACCGCCAGACACAAATGAGCAATCCAACTCAAACGCCTTTTTGTTGGGCTAGGAATAACAGTGAGAGCAGGAACGGGAGTTACCGGGCTTGCAACTTCCCTATACTGTTACCAGCACTTTCCAAGGATTTTGTGGAAAGCTTGGATGACATTGCCCAAAGTATCGTCACAACACAAACTCAAACAGACTCCTTGGCAGCAGTTGCTTTACAAAATAGAAGGGGACTGGATCTCCTAACTGCTGGAAAAGGTGGCTTATGTCTTTTTCTAGAGGAAGAATGCTGTTTTTATGTCAACCAATTAGAATTAGTAAGGGATGCCACCCAGAAATTAGCTGACCAGGCTTCTAAGATACGACAACAGCTGTCCAAGTCGTGGTCCTCCTGTTCAAAAATGCTAATTAGGGGTTCATGAGTCCTTCCTCTGACTGGCTCGTTGTTAATTATACTTGCCTTGGTTTTTGGACCATATTTATTAAATACATTAACCAAATTAATTTCCTCTCGCCTAGAGACCATCAAGCTTCAGATGATCATGCAACAAGGTTTCCAGCCAGTTCAGGTGAAGACACCACTACTGGCTATCAAGAAGCTACCCTGTATCCACTAGACAGAGCAGAGTGAGAGTTCTGTGATCCCAAATAGGTAGGCACCGCACCCCAAGTCAGCATGAAGCAGTTACAGAAGAAAGACCATTGGTCCCTCTGCCTCCCATAAAGATTTATGGGGATCATGTCTCACAGCGGGAAAATGAGACAGGAGAATAGGGTCTAGAGGCAGGGAACCTAAGGCCAATTCTCACTGACTTCCTAGAACTGAATCAGAGGGGAAACCCCACCTCTTCACACGAATGTAACGAAAGGATCAGAGGCTACTCCCTTTGCACTGCACTGCAAATGAAAAATGGAAAGTACCTCTGATTGGTCCCCTCCCACAACCATTCAGACTGGTTGCAGGCCAAGTCTTCATGTGTAACTTTGTAACTACCGTCACTTCAGACTCTGATTGGTCACCTCCCATGATCAGTCAGACTTGTGACGGGCCACTCCTTCATTTACATAGGGTGTAACCAAGTAACCAATGGGAAACCTCTAGAGGCTATTTAAACCCCATGCTGCACGATGGCTCACACCTGTAATCCCACCACTTTGGGAGGCTGAGGAGGGTGGATCACAAGGTTAGGAGTTCCAGACTAGCCTGGCCAACCGACATGGTGAAACCCTATCTCTACTAAAATTACAAAAATTAGCCAGGTGTGGTGTGGGCCTGTAATCCCAGCTATTGGGGAGGCTGAAGCAGGAGAATTGCTTGAACCTGGGAGGTGTAGGTTGCAGTGAGCCAAGATTGTGCCACCGCACTCCAGCCTGGGTGACAGAACAAGACTCCGCCTCAAAAAAATAAAAAAATTAAGCCCCAGAAAATTCTGTAACCAGCGCTCTTGAGCCACTTGCTTGAGCCCGCTCCCGCTCTGTGGAGTGTACTTTTGTTTCAGTAAATCTATGCTTTTGTCGCTTCACTTTTTTGTTGCTTTGTTTGTGAATTTTGTCCAATTCTTTGTTCAAAATGCCAAGAACCTGGGTGATTTGTAGTCAGTACTCTCCACCAGTAACAATAATATTGTTACACCTGAGAGTCCAGTCTAAAAACAAGAACCAACAGAGTAGGGAAGATGAGGGGGGATGATTTACAAAGTTATTTTTTTAAACTGGAGTTTTTGACTTTCTTCATTTATGTGGATAAGTTATAACAATTACCAATTGTGGAATGAAGAATTTAATTACAGAGTGAAGAATCAGGGAACGTTTTATGGAGAAGGTATCATTTGAAAACAGGACCTTGAAGGATGAGGGTCACACTCTGAATGGAATGTGGCCGACAGAGATGTCCAATTTAGTGATATCTCCTAGAGGTGGGGATGCATTTTTCAGTAATTCCATTACCTTTTTCTTTTAGTTTCTTTATGTGGGGGGAGGCACATGAAAAGCTCATGGTTTCATTAAGTGAAAAATGTTTACTTTTCTATAACACCATGAACTTTTTTGCCCATGAAAGAAAATTGTCAATATCATGCTGGATTGTTGTAACAAAACTATTTAAAAATTACATCTACTTGTGTTGAAGCTCAAAGCATAGAAAGCCCTTGAGATCTGAGGAAAACAAAAATTCACTTGTAAGGAATAGAGCATAGAGGTGAGTTTCGGAGATTGAGAGCACAATATGTTACTTTATTATACGAACAGTAGATGGCAGTGGAGTTTAACAGTAATGGATAGGCTTCCATTCTATTAAAATAATTCAATGAAGCTGTAGTCAAACACATTCTTATCCAAACTGCCTGGACATAAGGATCTGAGAGGAGTCTGATAACCCAAAGAAGATGGTGGCATTTATAATGCACGTAAAAGAGTTACTCAACAACTTACAGATGTTATTATTATAATCAGTCTGTGAGATAACAAATGGCATTGATATGTAATCATCTAGACGTTATTCTCCCAAATAGTCAACCAGCTCTTAGTGCCTATTTGGTCATCAGCACTGTGGGGAATGGAAACAATAGGTTTGACATGGCCATTGCCCTCAAGGAGTAATAGCTAATTTGGGAACGCTAACACGTGCCACACTTGGGGAGAAAATACAAAAATTACTGTTGAGTTTTGAAGTACAGATTTACTTTCCTGGTTTTGTGTTGCCCTACTAGGCCGTGAGTACTTAGTAGAAATTGAGGCCTTTTGAATGTGGTTTGAACAAAGCAGGCCAACCGTGTCCAAAATTAGCAGGAATAACTGAGACGGAGAAGACATGGCCTGTGTATGCTCCTAATGAACAGCCATTCTCCGTGTACTTAGTTGTTTTGTATTGACAGTCAGCAGCTGAAACCAACCCAATAACCTCATTCCAGGTCTTTCTTATGTCTTCCCTTCCCTTCATCTCCCCCAAGCAAACCAGTCACCAAATGGATGATTCTGTCTTTTCATATCTCTTGAATTCCTCCACTTCTCCCCATGCCCAAGGCCACTATGTTAGATCAGACTACCATCATTTCTCATCTACTTAACAGGAAAAATATTTTAGTTGGTTTTCTTTCTTCCAGTGGGGCTCTCCTTCAATCCATTTTTCCATTTGGAAGCTCTTTGGTTGTCTTTGGTGCTCTAAATTCTCTCTCTCTCTCTTTCTTTCTTTCTTTTTTCTTTCTTTCTTTTCTTTCTTTCCTTCTCTCTCTCTCTCTCTTTCTTTCTTTGCTTAACTTATAAGGCCCTTGGTGATTTAGCCTTTTAAGCAGAGATCAGCATCACAGGTCTCATCTCTGCTCTTCTTTCCCTATCCAGCAGTCTCTAATCTCCACCCATATGCAATTTTCATGCCAGCTATCCTCAAATAACTTGCCTTTTCCTCCTGAGATTTTGCACCCAGTTATAAACTTGTTACTACATGGAGGTGTGGAACAGGGACCAGCATCACTGTCATTCTCTGGGATCTTTGTTAGAAATGTCTCACTCTGAACCTGCTGAATCAGAATCTGCATTTTTATAAGATTCTTAGATGATTTATACACACATTAAAGTTTAAGAAAGCAGTACTTTAAATAATTTTTGTGTTCTTTCTGCCTGGTATACATTTACCTCACTCCCAGCAACTTGTCTGTCAACCCGCTAATGCTACCATCCTTCAGATCTCCTCTCAGAGATCACTGCCTATGGGAAGCCTTCCCTGATTTTCCCTCACAAATATGAGTTTCACAATACATAGGCTTCATAGCACCATATAATAATAACTCATACTAATTGAGTGTTTACTCTGTGTTCTAGACATTGGCTAAATGCCTTACATGTAGTCTCATGTCCTCCTTCTACAGTGTTCTGAGGTTGATCTTGGGAGGAATTATGTCTCTCCCTCCGCCAAATTCATGTGTTGATGTCCCAACCCTCAGTACCTCCATAGGCTATTTGGAGCTAGGATCTTTAAAGAGGTAAGTTAAATGAGATAATTAGGATGTCTGTAATCCAATATGACTGGTGTCCTTATACTAAGAGGAAATTTGGACACAGACACATATGAGAGGTGAGGAGAGAGGGTTCAGGAGAACTCAACCGTGCTAACGCTTTGATCTCAGATTTCTGGCTTCCAGAACTGTAAGAGAAATTTCTGTTGTTTAAACCACCCAGGCTTTGATACTTTATTATGGCAGCCCTGGAAACTAACACGGTTGGTTATTGTTCTCCTTTTATTGAGGCACAGAGAACTTAGGAACTTTTTTTTAGGAACTTTTCCAAGGTCGGGAGTAAATGGTCCAGATCTAGACTCAAGCAGTCAAGTGTAGACCCCACGATCTTTACCACCATGCTTTGCCAACCATGCACACTGAGTCCACCTTGGTTACTGATATGGTTTGGCTGTCTCCCCACCCAAATCTCATTTTGAACTGTAGTTGCCATAATACCCATGTGTCGTGGGAGGGACCCAGTGGGAGGTAATTGAATCATGGGGGCAATTACCCCCATGCTGCTGTTCTTGTGATAGTGGGTGAGTTCTCATGAGACCTGATGATTTTATAAGGGGCTTTCCCCCTTTGGCTCAGCACTTCTACTTGTTGCCACCATGTGAAGAAGGACATGTTTGCTTCCCCTTCTGCCATGATTTTAAGTTCTCTGAGGACTCCCCAGCCATGCTAAACTGTGAGTCAATTAAACCTCTTCCTTTATAAATTACTCAGTCTCAGGTATGTCTTATTAGCAGCATGAGAACAGACTAATACAGTGACTCTCTCTAATTTTACTGATGGTGGACAGGCAAGCCCCTAAATCGGGACTTAGCCCGGGATGGTTCTTGGCTTTGCCCATGAAAGAATTCAAGGGTGAGCTTGTGGTGTTAAACTGTAACTTTTATTGAAACAGCAGTGCACAGCAACAGCAGAGGCACTGCTCTTTGCGGAGCAGGGCTACCCCATAGGCAGTGTGCCCAGAGTAGCAGCTCAGAGGCATTCTGCAGTCATATTTATACCTACACTTTTTTTTTTTTGAGACAGAGTCTTGCTCTGTCACCCAGACTGGAGGGCAGTGGTGCTGCCTCAGCTTACTGCAACCTCCCCCTCCAGGGTTCAAGCGATTCTCCTGCCTCAGCCTCCCGAGTAGCTGGAATTACAGGTGCATTAACCTGTGATACCAAAGGCTAACTTTGGTATTTTTAGTAGAGACTAAAGGCTAACTTTGGTATTTTTAATAGAGACAGGGTTTCACCATGTTGTCCAGGCTGGTCTCGAACTCCTGACCTCAGGTGATTCGCCCTCCTTGGCCTCCCAAAGTGCTGGGATTACAGGCGTGAGCCACCGGACCTGGCATATGCCTACTTTTAATTACATGCAAATTACGGGGCAGATCATGTAGAAATATCTAGGAAAGGTGGTAACTTCCAAGTCGTTGGGCTGCTGCTGTGAAAAGGAGCAGCAACTTCTGGGCATTGCCATGGCAATGGTAAAATGACATGGTGCACTGGTGGGCGTGTCTTATGGAAAGCTGCTTCCACTCCGTTTTAGCTAGTCCTTAATTTGGTCCAGTGTCCAAGCCCAGCCCCTGAAGTTGAGTTCAGGCTCCTACTTCATTACTACTTAATAAACTGTATTAAGAGAGCTTTCTGTGCCATAATGTTCCACTAGACAGTAAGTTCCTCAATGGGAAGGGCCATTTATTGCTTTCAGTATGTCCACAACCTAACTTGGTGCCTGTACATAGTAGCCACTCAGTGTTTGTTTGTTGAATAGATACCCATTATTTACTTAACATATTCCACCCTGACCTCTCCTCCCTACACCCCAATCTGAGTGACTTTAGTTATTATTGCACATATTTATAGCAGTGTCTTGATGAGAATAGGGGAAAGGTCATATTATATTGTCCCCACCTTGCAGATGAGGGAATTAAAGCAGATAAATAACTTCTCAGTGACAATTATACTGAAAATCTCTTGCATTTGGTTAGTGTATTACAGCTTACAAAATGTTTTCAAGTATGCTATCACATACGACTCTCTCAATACGACCTGGTGAAGTAGACAGGTGAGGTATTGTTCCCAGTTCAGAGAGGAAGAATGAAAGCTCAAAGGGACGGTGCCATCCTTTCAACAACAAAACCAAGCAGTGAGGCAGAAACCCAAAGGCAATACTTCTAAGTCCAAGGCCCGGGCCCTTGCTGTCACACTAATTTAAATTGGACTTATTTTGCACTGCTTTTGCCTGTTAAGATTCAGAACTGTGGATATTGGGAAAAGATAGTCTTTCTTAACTAGTCAAAGGGGGACTAAGCTTTCCTTGTACAGAGCAACAAAAGGAAAGTTCTGGGGACAATAATATAATCAATGGGTCTGGCTTCAGATATTGCAGTCTAACAATCATATTTCCTATGTCTGGGTTCTGTGTCTTCAATCCCTGGGCCACTTCATTTTTGAGACCAATCAGAAGAATAGGAATCTAGCACCTTACAAGAAAGTGGAGTAGTGAAAAGAGGAGGCCCTGTTGGTATTGCTACATTTAAAAATACCCCAAACAGAGTTGCTCAAAACAACGCCCATCAGTTGGTGGATGGGAACTGGAATAATGGGGGGCTGGTGGAGAGAGGCTGAAGCCACTAGGGCTGTCCAATCAACTCTCTCTCTCTCTCTTCCTGTCTCTCTGCAGTCTCAGGGCCTCTCTTCATGGTCTCCTGGGGAGCTGGTTTGGTATTCCTGCTAGTATGGTGACCTCAGGGCAGTGAGGCTGCCTACATAGCAGAATTTGAGGGCAAAGTGAAACCTGGGTCATTTTTTATGACTTAGATGCCACATAATGTCGCTTCCACTGTGCTCTGCTGATCTAAACAGTCACGAACACCCACCCAATTTCAAGAAGACATAGGCCCCGCCTCTCAATAGCAGCAGTGTCTAAGGGCGTCTGTTGAGGGTGGGAAACATGTCTATACAAATTAACTTCCCCTATCCACACTGGCCACTGGAAAGAAGAGTAAACAGAATATGTGGAAAGTCAGCACACTTTCCGGGCAAAGTGCTTTTCTGCTCATAGCCATAATGAAATGAACTAAGAATATGCAATTACATATAATTAGGTATAATTAAAATACAGAGACACATCTAAAATAAAGGCCTAATTAAGAAGTAGGATAACTAGGTGGGAATGTCAACAATGATAATTCAGTGATTACTGTTGGGGATTATTTTGTTGTCATTGACCCTAAATCAGGGTCAGCGTCCAGAGAAATAGCGAAACAATCTCAGTCTGCTCTCAAGTCTTAGTCACACCTCCCTAGCTTCACATTTCTTATTTCTCCACACTATTTAAGTGAAGCTTTTTATTTTATTTTATTTTGAGACAAGGTCTCACTCTGCTGCCCAGGTTAGAGTGCAATGGCATAACCATGGCTCATTGCAGCTTCAACCTCCTGGGTTCAAGCCATTCTCCCACCTCAGCCCCCTGAGTAGCTGAGATGACAGGCAGGCATGTGCCACTATGCTGAGCTAATTTTATTTTATTTTATTTTATTTATTTTAATTTATTTTTATTTTTATTTTTATTTTTGTAGAGAGGAGTCTCACTATGTTTCCCAGGCTTGTCTCGAATTCTGGGACTCAAGTGAGCCTCCTGCCTCAGCCTCCCAAAGTGCTGGGATTATAAGTGCGAGCCACTGTGCCAGGCCTGTATATAATTATAAATGTGATATATAGTTATATTTTCAATCTTTTTATTTTTTAAATGGACTATGACATGCCTTCCACATGCCCTTCCTTACTTACCTTCTCCCCCTTTTGTGTTCTTTTCTTTCCTGCTCTACTTTTCTCAGAGATGTTCACCTTAAGAGGACAGATCTGCAGGTACCACCCGATCCGTAACTCGGTGATTCCAAAGAGAAGAACATACCTTTCTAATGGAGATGTCTGGTGATCACCACCATAGCCGAGGGATAGCAGTGCGGCACCCGGACGTGCTGAGCTGCAGACACAATGACAGGTGCACTTCCCCTGGGAGGCGGTCTTTCCCAGCACCCTTAACTCGAATCTAAGCATGAGGAAGCCATCGGTCAGGTCCTCAACGGAGGAGTGTTGCAGGGAGATTTTCTACAGGCTAGAGGCCTGGACTCTCCTAATAATCCAATGCCATGTAAAACAAAACAAAAGCAAGAAGGCAGGAGGACCACCGTAGACTAAAAGAGGCTAAAGCGATGTAACCACCAAATGTGAGACATGAAAACTGATTAAATCTCCAATCAGGAATAACATGCCACAGAAGACATTTGGGAAGAGACATGAACATGGTTGTACAGGAGATGACATTATTGAGTTAAGTTGATATTCTTAGATAGGATAATCGTGACGGTTATGGAGGAACACGTCCTTTCTCTCCACAGTCGTGTATTGAAACTTGGAAGATTAACTGTTATAATAGCTGCAGGTTACTTTCAATTGTTTATGACAACCTGGGTGTACATATATTTATTATATGTACTGTGTGTATGCATGTGTTATGTATGTGTATGTATGTACACACTGTATTGGTATGTTCTTGCATTGCTATAAATACCTGAGACAGTGGAATTTACAAAGAAAAGAGGTTTAATTGGCTCACGGTTCTGCTTGCTTTACTGGAAGCGTGGTGCTACCATCTCCTTGGCTCCTGGGGAGAATTCAGGAATGTTACAATCATGGTAGAAGGCAAAGGTGGGGGCAGGCACGTCACATAACAAAAACAGGAGCAAGAGGGAAAGGGGAGGTGCTACACACTTTTATATGAGAACGAAATCACTATCACGAGCATCAAGGGGATGGTGGTAAAGCATTCATGAGAAATCCACCTCTGTAATCTAATCACCTTCCACCAGGCCCCACCTTCATCATTGGGGATTACAATTCAACCTGAGATTTGGGTGGGGACACACTTCCAAACCATATCACACACACACACACACACACGGAGAAAAAATGTGGCAAATTGTTGACAATTGGTTAATCTGAGTGAAGGGTTTAAACATGCTTATTGTACTGTTGTTTCAACTTTCCTGTAGTCTGAAATTTTTTTCAAAAGTAAGATTTTAAAAAGTGAAATTAAGAAAAAACATATCAAATTTTGACCTGCTACAGTGTAACAGGCATTAATGTGGATTTCTGGAATTTGACAGCTAAACACCCAGTATGAGTGGAGGTTTAGCACCACACGTGGTCTGGAATGGCGGGGTTGGTGGATCAATTTTAATGGGCCTGACACTGGGAAGCATAGTCATCTACCAGCTTGAAGATGATTAGATCCTAAGGTCACCAAAAGACTAGGCAACAGCAACTGCGGCTGTGGACTTGATTGTTGCGTTGTTAAGGGGTTACCTGTAGGAGTTCAAATGAGAATTGTTGAATCACACATTCATAATTTAAAGTGTGCACTGTCATCTTGTCATCAAGAACTTTTATGCATCTGAAATGTTCAAATCCTGAAATTCCACCTTTTGACTGCGGTTTCCTTTTCCTGAATTTCATTCAGTATAAATCTGCCCTTCTCAGGGAGCCTTCGGGTCTCCATGGTCCTTATTTAACATCATTTCCTTCCCTGCCCAGGCTCCATCTACGGGCTAGTAATTTTCATTATGCTCTTTCAAGCACTCATAACTCCTTTACCCGTGTGAAGGCAAGAGCTGGGGTTCATTTATCTTTGCAGCTGGTACATAATAAGCATTTGATAAATACACATGCATGGAGTTGGAGTTGGATCTTCCGATTTAACCAGCTTGTTTTACAGGTGAGGAGATCGAGATTCAAGGATATGAAATGACTCAGCTAAGAGCACACAGCTAGTTAGTGGCAGGACAGAGACTAAAATCCTTTTTTAAAAAATTTAACCCTCAAGTCTTTTTTTACTCTTTTTTTACAGCCAATGTGTCCTTCCCCTTTATTTGCTTAGTCTAGCTCAGTTTTTACTTTTGAGTTGGATTGGTGACAAAGATTCACTGCTTGGCGAAGCTTGAGTTAGAGTCTTGAAACTTCTTGTAGGACCATCTGTGCACTTCCTTGTAAAATCCAGTTTTGGTAAAGAGCCCTGCGAAGTCTGTTTAGTGAGGACCACCCCCCCGCCGCCGCCCGCATCTTCAATACCTAATCGGGTTTCTCTTCCTCCACCATTTAGCAGGTGATGTGTGGTCACTCTTGCCTGCCTTCAGCAGGAATCCTCTTACGTTAGTTCAGCCGAAATTCCTCATATCCCTGATGGTTCCTCTTAGTAATTTTCACCCCACTAACCACTCCCACACCCCACCCACTTGGCCAGGCTGTGTCTGGAGTGGAGCTCAATCTCTCTCCACCACTGCAACATGCAACTGCAGAGGTCCTTTCATCTATCACAACGGTCTTGAATAAAGCCTTCCTTACTGTGCTTTAACAAGTGGCATGGCATGGCTTTTTCCTTAAACAGTGAGTGAGAAACAGGGGAAGAATGAAAAATCAGCGAACTGCCCAACACATGTACCCCACAGGCTGGCCTCTGGTCTCTGTTTTCTACAACTTCCCATTCCCGGGCAATGGAGGAGCATGTGAATAGACACCAGGAGAGGAGTTCCTTGCTCTGCTGGCTTTCTGCTGCATTTTCAGTCAATTCTTCCCTGGTGAGAAGTCTTTAGTCACTGGAATCACTTTCACATTTTCTCCTTGGTTCAGACGTAACTGTGCATGTGTGTGTATCCCTGTGTTTGTGTGTGTATCCGTGTGTACCTGTAGGTTTTCACTTTGAATGAACAATGACAGTCTGTTTCTCATAACTTTGAATTTAGAGCATCTCCTGGCCTAAGGTTTCAGCAGGCATTCTATCAGCATCAGTGTCAAAAACAAGCAAAGCCAGACACCAGTTAAATTGGTCTGGACAGGTCTTCATCAGTAATGTCTATTGCAATAGGAAAAAGAGTCCAGCATGAGCTGAACTCAACTGTGATTTGTACACAGGGCATTTGAAAGGGGGAATGGGGGAGTACAGACGCTGACTGGAGGAGGATCGGTAGATTCCGGGAAGTGAACAATTGCAAAGGCTTAGTGTCAATGCGATTAGATCCTCCGTGTCTGCAGCAGGAGACGGGGCCCTGTCCTTCCTGATTGTTACATTTCTTTTATTTTTAATTTTTTATTTTTTTTGAGACAGAGTTTCGCTCTTGTTGCCCAGGCTGGAGTGCAATGGTACGGTCTTGGCTCACTGCAACCTCCACCTCCCAGGTTCAAGCGATTCTCCTGCCTCAGCCTCCCACGTAGCTGGAATTACAGGCATGCACCACCATGCCCGGCTAATTTTTGTATTTTTAGTAGAGATGGGGTTTCACCATGTTGGCCAGGCTGGTCTCGAACTCCTGACCTCAGGTGATCGGCCTCCCAAAGTGCTGGGATTACAGGCATTAGCCACCACGCCTGGCTGATTGTTACATTTCAAGGGAAGCACTTTCAGGTCCTTGAGACTCTTTTGAGTCATATCACACACCTGTACCTCTCAAAGATGGAGGAAGATTCACAATTATAAGCTCCTTTTGGTAAATGCTCTAAGAAAGGGAGGTAAGAGACCTATGTCAGATACTGGATAGAACAAACAGTAAACTCATTTGGCAGCCTTAAATTTTTGTGTTTTTTTTTTTCAAGGAGGCACTTTAAGGGGAACTAGGGACATCCTAGGGTTGTGGCCTTGAGCTGTTAGAAGCTGTGTTAGCATTTGCTCAAGTCTTTTAATTTGCCTGTGTCTGAAATGCAGGAGGCAGGGCTTGCAGGTGCTAGGTTGCTTCCCACAGCCTGTTAGACTACTTTGGCTCCAGAGCCTCCTGATCATCAGCGTCCCCTTGGGGTTACCTCGGCAGCGACAGCCAATCATTACTGACCCTAGGCAGTGTTTCTTAAACTATGGGGTGAAAGGCATTCACATCAGTATGTCCTGGGTAAGCACAGGGGAACATGCAGATTCCTGGACCCAGACCCCAACCAGCGAATCAGAACCTCTAGGAGCCAGCCAGGTGTGGTGGCTCACACCTGTAATCCTAGCACTTTGGGAGGCCAAGGCAGCCAGATCACTTGAGGTCAGGAGTTTGAGACCAGCCAGGTCAGCATGGCAAAACCCCACTTCTACAAAAAAAAAAAAAAAAAAAAAGAAAAAAAAATTAGCTGGGCATGATGGTGCATGCCTGTAGTCTCAGCTATTTAGGGGGCTGAGTTGGGAGGATTGATTGAGCCTGGGAGGCAGAGCTTGCAGTGAGCTTAGATCATGCCACTGCACTCCAGCCTGGGCAGCAGAGTGAGACCCTGTCTCAAAAAAAAAAAAAAAAAAAAAAAAAAGAGGAACCTCTGCGAGCCTAAGCTTGTTCTACAAGCTCGCCAGTTGTTTCTGAAGCTGCAGCTGTCACCATGCCTCTATACGGTAACAGCTCAATGAATAGTGCCCAGTTCTAAGACCTGCCATCTTTCCACTGCGTGAGATTATACCATGGCGACTTTTAGAGAAGCCCCACCAGTCTCAGTCTGTGAGTCTTTCAGGTATCTGAGATGATCACTAAAATGTTTCCAATCCTTGTAATGCCATTCTCAGTTCCATTCCTAGATACAGGTGAGAAGTCTTCAGCTTCAGTATTTCAGTGGTTTATTCGGAAAGCAAGTATAGGCAGATCAGTTGATGTCAGCTCCCTGCCAAATTCTTGGAACAGCTTGGGAAAACATAAAATGATTAGCAAACAGCCCTCCCACCCAGGCTGGAGTGTAGGAATGCAGTGGTGCAAACATAGCTCACTGCAGCCTTGAACTCCTAGGCTCAAGCAATCCTCCTCCCTCAGCTTCCTGAGTAGCTGAAACTGTAGGCATACATCACCATGCTCAGCTAATTTTGAAACTTTTTGTTGTAGAGTCAGAGTCTTGCTATGTTGTTTAGGCTGGTCTCCAACTCCTGGGCTCAAGTGATCCTCCTGCCTCAGCCTCCCAATGTGCTGGGATTACAGATGCACATCACCACACCCAGCCCAAGCCCCGCCCATTCTTTGCATAAAAGCAACCATTTAATTAGAGGTTCTATTATGGTCTGACATTTTAAGTAAAAAAGATTATTTGGGGAAAACATCCAGGCATGGGTCTTGAAGACAGCCTCTAAAAGCCTTCTGCTTCTCGTTAGACAATGCCTCTGAAGCTTCTCTGATTCTGTACAGAATCAGGACACGAAGAGGGGGAGGAAATACTGTGATTGCAACTGTAAAAGCAATCAGAAGTATACAGTTATTGGAAGGTCTACAAGTTAGGACTAGGGAACCCCCCCCCCCCCCGAAAATGCTGTATAATTATCAGCAAGATGGCGAGAAATAAACAAGGGAGATTTCATAGGAGAGAAGCAGAGTATCAGAAAAGAATATCTAGGCTTTGCTGCAGGAAAAAGTAAAAATAGAATATTGGAACTTCTACCACATAGATATAAGTTATTTCTAATATTTGGATGGTAATAAAATACAGTGTCCTCAAAAAGTAGACAGAGCAAACTTTTCTGATCAAAAGGTAGGAAGGGATTAAAAAAAAAAAGGCTAGCTATTTTAACCTTTAAACAGTGGATAGTCTTCATTTAATGTTCTGTCATTTCTAAAGAGGCTGTCTGGAGCCAGGCATGGTGGTGCGAACACCTACGGTCCTAGCTACTCAGGAGGCTGAGACAGGAGGATTGTTTGACGTCAGGAGTTCAAGGCTGTACTGTTCTGTGACCTCGCCTGTGAATAGCCATTGCAGTCCAGCCTGGGCAACATAGCAAGACCCCGTTTCTGAAAGAAAATGTGTTATGCTTTAAATCTCTCTAGAACAAAGTAGGTTTTGAAATCCTAGCCAACCGCTTACTTATTTAACACATATTTGATACATCAAAGAATTAGGATAGTTCTTTGAAGCTGATTGCACTGGGATTTATCCTGGCATTCTAAGTTTTTGTCTTTAGATGGGATAAGATTTGCTGATCAACTTCTCTACACTTACTCTTATCAGCAGCCCTGGGTTATCTTTATGTGGACCCAGACTCAGTCCAAAATCCTTAAGTCTTCCCATCCTTCTGATCTTTCACTTTTTTTCAGGTCCCACCTTACCTGGAAGAACCATGAAGATCAAATAGAAGGTCCTTGTGCATGAAGCTCAGCGGAAAAAAGCTCGGGTATGAGGCAGGGGAAATGTAGCGAACAAAGCACTGGGAAGAACAGTCACTTTGCACCTTTTGTATCAAAAGGAAGCAGGTCTAGGGTGGATAGAAGACATTCATCAAAACTGTGAAAGCCAACTCTTTATTACTTGATCTTTGCTTTCGTGTGTCATTTTGCCCCTAAAGCTGAACTCATGAAAGTGCCTAACAGAACGCCCATTCAGGGCCCATTTTACCTTTCCTTGCACTGTTAGAATCTGCAGAAATGAAATTTAGCTCAACCTCAAACTAATCAGAAAAATAAGTTCCAGATGAGATAGAGCTCTCAGTATGAAAAATCATTATAGCCTTCCATTTTTAGCAATATGGCAGACTTAGGAATCATAATGAGACTTTTGATTTAAAAAAACCTATAATTGTGTAAATATTTTTTAAACAACAGATTATTAAATATATTGCTGGCCTGGCAAAAAGTAAAAGAGAAATCCTTAAAGACCACAAATAATGGAACATATGAATTCAGAAAGGTAAGCAAGGACATTGAAACGGTTTTGCTTAAGGAATATCTGCCAGTCTCTGGGGACCTGGAGATTCCATTTACGTGGTTTAGTTCAGGAGAAAAGGAGACAAAATCTAGTGCCCACACTTGATAGATTTTTCTTTATTTGTATTCTCTATTTCATTAATTTCTCAGGTATTAATGAAGGTGGGAAGTCTGACTGTAGACCTTTTTATTTTACATAAGGCTTAGACCCTGAAAGTCACACACTGGGTAATACTAAAAAAAAAAAAAATCCTGCCTTTCTTAACGAGTTAGTAAGGAAACTTGTCTACCTTGATTTTGCCTCTGAGTAAAGGGGAGAAAAACATGTTTAAGAATTTGTATTTTACCATCACACAAGTTTAGGGACAGAATTTCTACTCTCCAAGAATTCTGGAAACACCAAACTGATAACATAATTTAAAGACATCCTGTACTGGATGTGGTGGTTCATGCCTGTAATCCCAGCACTTTGGGAGGCTGAGGCAGGGGAAACACTTGAGCCCAGGAGTTCAAGATCAGCCGGGGCAACCCCATCTCTATAAAAAAGTTTTAAAAATTAGCTAGGTGTGGTGGTGTGCAGCTCTAGTCCCAGCTACTCAGGAGGCTGAGGCAGGAGGATTGCTTGAGCTCAGGAATCCATGGTTGCAGTGAGCTATGATTGTGCCACTGCATTCCAGCCTGGATGACAGAGCAAGACCCTGTCTTTAAAACAACAACAACAAGAAAACAAAAACAAAAAAAGATATTCTGGATTGCTAATATATCCAGTACCTGCAAAAGCAACTGTCAATCTTCTCTCGAGGAATGCACCTCAAATTAAAAAATTATTACAGATTTGTTCCACAGCACAGAATTTTACAACAGCAAGCTGTAAGACACAAGAGGAAACCATCATTTGAGCGAGAGTTGGGAGGAAGAAGAAACAGAAATGCATTCCAAAACACTGAGCATATTGGAATGGAAATTGAAATAAAAATTTAAATATGTCTAAAGAAATAAAAGGGACTGTTAGACTTTGGAAGAAATATGAATTTTGCAAGCTTTACAAACAGTAACTACCATCTGCCATGATCTCTACTTAACTAATAGCACCCAAACAGAAAACTATAGAGTACCTGATAACCCGACAACAAAGACACGCTAAGATCTGGCTTCAAAGTCATGCTTCGACAACTGCCAACCTAAATGACAGACAGAGAGGCTCTCTAATAGAAAATGATATTTATGTGGGAATGGACACTGCAATGGGAATATGTGTGTCATAATAAACTAAGTGCATATTCAGGAGGTAAAAGAAGACAAAGGTTTTTTTGAAGAAAAATGAGGAGGGCTGCATAATTGTTTTAAGATAATTATGTTTGGCAACAAGAAGCAATAATAAGGGTTGTGCCAGCCTGAGGTCAGACAGGCAGCTGCTGGGCAGATGTCCTTGCAGAAGTATATTTGTATGCAAGGTTGTGATTTTTGCAGACTTGTGTGATAATTCCTCTTATCAGGCATTTGTGCTTGGGAATCCTCCTCCCTTCATGCCCTGCGCTGGGTCTATTGTTTAGATTTTTAACACAAGCAACTCCATTTTCATTCTGACAACTTTCACACAGTGTAACATTATAGAATCATTTTGACCAACAACCTAATTCTGCACTAAAAATCCTTCCGCCAAGATCCTCAGACAATCTGGTATTTGATTGTCTACTATGCATACCATAAAATTTTGACAAGCCTCATGGATCAGTCCATTCTCACACTGCTAGAAAGAAATGCCTGAGACTGCATAATTTATAAAGAAAAGATTGGCTTCCTTGGCTCATGGTTCCAGGCTGTACAGGAAGCATAGAGGCTTCTGCTTCTGGGGAGACCTCAGGAAGCTTTTAATCATGGCAGAAGGCAAAAGGGGAGCAAGGTATCTCACATGGCCAGAGCAGGAAGAAGAGAGTGAGTGGTGAGGTGCTGCGCACTTTTAAACAACCAGATCTCACCAAAACGCACTCACTATCACGAGAACAGCACCCAGGGAACGGCGCTAACCCATTCATGAGAACTCCACCCCCACGAGCCAATCGCCTCCCACCCAGCCCCACCTCCAGCACTGGGGATTACAATTCGACAGGAGATTTGGTAAGGACACAGAGCCAAACCCCATCAGCTCAACTGTGTTGACTTTTTGTCTTTTACAGTTTTGGAAGTCCAATACTCAGAACTTGCTTTTCACCTCCTGACCAAAGGACACTGTGGCAGCATGCCAAAATGTCTTTTTGCCTTTAAACTTTCTCACCTGAAAGTCCAACATTGACCAGAGGGTCCGTGTTGTTATAATGCCTGGGAGCCACTGAGCTCTGGCTTGTGGTGAAGATACAACTGGCTGAAAGGTCGTTGAATCTGAGTGCTGAGTACGTAAGTGTTTTCCATAAACAGAGTGGCTTAAACAATATAATTTTTTTTTTTTTTTTTTTGAAACTGAGTCTCACTCTGTTGTTCAGGCTGTAGTGCAGTGGTGTGATCTCGGCTCACGCTAACCTTCACCTCCCAGGTTCAAGTGATTCTCCTGCCTCAGCCTCCCAGGTAGCTGGGATTACAGGCACCTGCCACCAGACCCGGCTAATTTTTGTATTTTTAATAGAGACAGGGTTTCGCCATGTTGGTCAGGCTGGTCTCAAACTCCTGACCTCAGGTGACCCATCCACCTCAGCCTCCCAAAGTGCTGGGATTACAGGCGAGAGTCACTGCACCTGGCCCAACAGAAATTTATTGTCTCACAGTTTTGGGAGCTGAAAATCTAAGATCAAGGTGTCAGCAGGATTGGTTCCTTCTAAGGGACAAGAACCTGTTGCATGCCTCTTCCCTGGCTTCTGGTGGTTTGCCAGCAATCTTTGGCGCTCCTTGCTTTGTAGTTACATCTCCAAAATCTCCACCTTCATCTTCACATGGTGTTCTTGTGTTCATGACTGTCTCTGTGTCCAAATTTCTCCCATTTTAAATGACAGCCATCATATTGGATAGGGCCCACCCTACTACCTCATCTTAACTTAATCATGTGCCTCCTCCCCACAAAAAACCCTTTGTTCACAGACACTGGGGGCTAGGAATTCAATATTTTGGAAGAGGAACACAATTCAACTCACAATTATTATATTATTATCTCTACTTCTGCACACATTTGAGATTTTCCTGAGTGAGTTTCAAAAAATCTGCTATAGCTCTAGAACACTCTATCAAACAATAGCAAAATGTATGTTCTTTTCAAGTGAATATGGAATGTTCTCTAGGGTAGGCTTTATGCTAGGTCATAAAACAAACCTCAGTAAATTTAAAAGGATTGAAATGATACATAGTATCTTCTCCAACCACACTGGAATTAAATTAGAAATCAAAAACATAAAGTAATTTGGGGAACCCACAAATATGTAGAAATTGAACAACATACTCCTAAATAGCCAGTAGGTCAAAAGAAAAATCAAACTGAAAATTAGAAAATACTTTGAGCTGAATTAAAATGGAAACCGCAACATTCCAAAACTTATGGAATTCAGCTGAAGAACTGCCTAGGAAAAATTATAGCAGTAAATGCCTATATTAAAAAAGAAAAAAAACTCAGAACAATTACTTCCATCTTAAGACACTGGAAAGAGAAGACCAAACTAAACCTAATTCAAAAAAGAAAGGAAATAGTAAATATTAGAATGGAAATTAATGAAATAGAGAATACAAAATGGTAAAGAAAAATCAGTGAATCCAAAAGCTGGTTCTTTGGAAAGGTAAACAAAAATAACAGAATTCAACCAAGACATAAGAAAGAAGACTTAAATTATTAGAATTATAGAAACGATATCAGTTTTTCACAAACTTCCAAAAAACGGGAGAGAAGGGATGCTTCTCAGCTCATTCTATGATGTCAGTATTACCCTGATTCCAAAACCAAAGACATCACAAAAAAAGAAAACTACAGATCACTATCTCTTATTACTATGGATACAAAAATCCTCCACAAAATCGTGGCAAATCAAATCCAGTGACATATAAAAAGAATCATACACTATGACCAAGTGGGATTTATTCCAGGAAGGCAAGGTTAGCTTAACACCTGTAAATTAATTATTGTAACAGACCCTATCAATAGAATAAAAACCGAAAGCCACATGCTCATATTAATAGATGCAGAAAAAGCACTTGACAAAACCTAACACTCGTTTTTTGATTAAAAACCACAAGAAGATACCTCTTAGCACCTACCATCATGGCTATAATCAAAAAGATAATAAACTTTGGTGAGGATATGGAGAAATTAGAACCCTCATACATTTCTGGTGAGAATGTAGAAACGATGCAGTCACTTTGGAAAACAGTGTGGCAGTTTCTCAAAAAAGCTAAACATAGAGTAACCATTTGAGCAGCAATTCCACTAGTAGGTATACACCCAAGAGAAATGAAAACGTATGTCCATATGAAAACTTGTACATGAATATTTATAGCAGCATTAGTCATAAAGCAAAAGATGGAAACCCAAATATTTATGAACTGTGAATGGACAAACAAAAGGTGATATATCCATAAAATGAAATATTATTTGGCCACAAAAAGAAATGAAGTCCTGATACACGCTACAACATGAATGAAACTTGAAAATATCATGGGAGGTAAACAGTCACGAAAGACCACCCATGACATGATCCATTTATATGAAATGTCCAGAATAAGCAAAATAAAGGGACAGAAAATAGATTGGTAGTTGCTTAGAGCCAGGAGTATGGGGGAATTGGGGAGTGAAGACTAAAGCAAATGGGAGCCTCTTTTTGAGGTAATGAAAATGTTTACAGTGGATTATGGTGACGGTTGCACAGCTCTGTGAATATACTAAAAACCACTGAATTGTACATTTTACACTGATGAATTGTACAGTATCTAAACTGTATCTCAATAAAACGGCCACAAAAAGAAAAGTAAGGAGGAGTGAAGCAGGATAAGGAAGGTTAGGAGGCCATACTGACTTACTGACTTTTCCGCTGGTGTAAAGCCTAGTGGGCTCCGCATCCCTTGCACCCTCTTACGTCAGCGCCTGACTCTTTTGCAAGATAAACAGTCCTGCAGGACACCAGCCAACTGCCTGATGGTTACAAGTTCCTAATAGCTAGCACAGCCCGGGAAAGAGACTTATTCATAATGTAGCTTCCCCAGTACCTAGCCAATCAGCATCCAAAACCCAAGAAGCTATTAGCTGCAAATTACTGCCTTGGGGCAGGAGGGCTGAGGATTGCTCCAGGGTCCCACCTGTGCAGCTAGGCTCAAGGTTTAGCTCATAGTAACCTTTTCTTCATTTTAATAGTAAAAAAACACACCCCTAGGCGGAGATTTTATATGCTAATGATACATGCATTGCATGTTACAGCATGCAGATGCTGAGCGCATGTGTCAACCGCAGGTCTGTCTTTACGTACTTGACCTCACCAGTATTTTATGAATATATACGAACAATTCCCGCAAAAGGAATTCCTCTGAAGGCACTAGTTGCTGTCTCTCCCTTTAAGCAGCCCACTCAGCCTCTCAGAGGGTACTTTCGCTTTACAATAAGCTTCTTTGGCTACTCTTCCTTTGGAGTCACTCTCAAATTCTTTTGTGTGGTGAGATCAAGAACCTAAACTTACCTACCGACCACGGGAGGAGGAGGCGGCCTTCGTGGTAGCAAATAGCAGCAGCAGCTACTAAAAGCAGTCATACACAGAATCATGGGGTGAATGCCTAAGCGGTGTTTCAGAGAGTATGGTGTAAACCAGCACGGCCCAGTAGATATTTCCATGATGTCAATATGGTCACCACTAGCTATACGTGGATCTTGAACACCTGAAATGTATCTAGAGAGACTGAGGACATCAATTTGCAAATCTTTTTTATGCGTTTGCATTATGGGTTGTTCTGGTTCTAAGGAAACAAATTTTTTCACCAAGAAATTCCTGATTTTTACATGTCCATGCATTATAAGAAAGAGTCTTAAGCTAACTCGACTAGACTAGTTCACTAGTTAACCCAGACTTGCCATCGCTTTCACAGACAGAACTCGATATGATCAAAATGAGACATTTTCAAGAGGCTCTTGAATTTGAGGATGTAAAAAAGCCCAATGTCCAATGGTTGCCTACGTCACATCAGGAACCACTGTTCCACCTGCATTGATTCCCATGCCCCTTTTCCACGCTGCTAGAAGGAAATTCACCCCACCCACTACTGCAATCAGGACAGGAAGTCTGACTGATCCAACAACACCCTTTCTCAAATAACTCTTTCGGAGATAGGTCTCTGTTGTCAAATGTCACTTCCCCACCTTTAGGAAGAGAACAAGTAGCAACATACAAATACTGGTTATAAGCAAGTTGATAGCTATTTTTAAACTAATTAAGAGCCCTTCAATTTCAAAAATAAAAAGTGTTCGTAGTAATTTGTGAAACCTTTAACACTAGCCAATCCATGCGATACCAGATGTGTGAACTGATTACATCCCTACCACAGCTAACAAAATGGTGCAGAAATGAAAATGGGAATAGTTGGGATAGTCTGTCTCCCAAGGGAATTAGCAAATACAGTTGGAAAGTCTTGCAAATTCAATACAGCTCCTATTTTGATGGTTTCTAGAAGTTAAAAAGAACATTAATGAATAAGATAAAGAATCTCAGACCCCCCAAAGCGCAAAAAAGTTTAAGAAATTATGCCAAAACACAAAATGCTTTAGACACGTGGCCCTTTAGGAAAACCTTTCCACCTGACAGAAATAAAGTGTGAAATTTGCCTAAATGCACCTAGCTGAAAAGCTATATATTGTAATGACACGTATGGATATTTTAAAGGGTTTAAAGAAATCTGTCTTCTGGAAACTGAAACATCCAATAGTTTCCTTCTTGGAAAAGGAGATTTTCAAATGAGAACAGATTTTTTCAAATTAATTTAATTATTAAGACATTCATCAAAAGTATATATCTTTCAAAACAATGTGAATATACTTAACATCTATAACTATAAACTTCATAATGATTAAGATGATAAAAATAAAGGTATATATTACCCTAATTAGCATAAAATTAAAAAAATTTAAACTATGTATAAACAATTAAGTCATTAATAGAACTGTGAAAAGTGTTCCTGTTTTCTAATATTAAATTACATCTCTCTCTAAAAAGCTTTTGGATCAGAAAAAGGAAAAATGCAAATGTTAGTTTAATAACATGGACTTTCTACTGTTGAATTACAAGAGAAGAAAGAGGTGTAAATAATCATTAAGCCACCAATTAGTAGTCAGATGACGGCTTCACAAAACACCCTTCCGTGTTAGAAATTTAGGTAAAATGTAAAGGAATTCAGTATTACTTACTAAAAATAAATACAGAAGAATTATATAAAAATCCATCATGCATACTTAATGAATTATAGATCTTGGCAAAATAGATAGCTACATATTTTCTCTTTGATTTTATCACGGTGTAAAAACATAATATAAATGTAACTCTTTATGCATAATTTTGGAATTATCATCTTATCTCAAGCTTAACTAAATAGAATATCCTAAGGTCCTTCTACTTGTCAGGTAGGTTATCAGCGCTAACACCATATATTTAAGACTAGAAATGTAAACGTATGTATTTATTTAATGAAAGCTGTAACAATTGATGTCTTCATATAAAACACTGCTAGTTAGGTGAGCCTATAGAATCACTTCACCTTTACTGTGGGAGTTTTAAAGAGTTTTATTTCTAATAATTACAGTGATTATATTTTCTTTAATGTCAAATTAAAATACATGTTCTAAGATGCCTAACTGACTTGAGACCTTTAGCTGATTATCAGCTGAAGTAATTAGAGAATAGTCTTTATGTATCTGGAAATTTTCCAAGGAAAATATTTTAAATTATAAACAAAGAGAAAGAAAGTACATAATCGTGGTTTTGGCTTATGTCTTTTTGCCCATAGAAACATATATATATTTTTATAACACTCAAATGAAGATAGTACAAATAGACCTAATATACTTGATAAGATTAGTTCTGTTTAGAAAATTCAAATTTCAAAGGGCTGAGTAGTGTTGTCATTTTAACATTGTTTGGTGTGACACATGCCTACACGCACAGGTTTAAATGCACTTAAATGTGTCTCTTCCCCTAAGCAGAGTCTGGGGTGAAGACTTGCATTCAGGACTTTTTCTGGGAAGTCGTCCTAGGGAGCAGGAGTGAGGGGTAGGAGGAGTGACTCAGAGGAAGGTAGAAAGCCAGCCCACGGCGGGGGGTCATCAAGGCAGTCACAGCCAGTGCAGTTGCTGCTCAAACTTTCAGGACCTTTGGAAGAGATTCCTGAAATGCATTGCAGATGGCAGGGGAGGCATTTCCGATCCACTTCACCCCAGTCACTCAGGGGTAACCGCAGTGGCCATCCTGGCCAAGGCATCAAGCAGTCTAAGGGTGCAGGACGTGGGGATAGCCCATCAGAGCCTGCTGGCAGGCGTGGCCACTGAAGAGGCTCAGACCCTGCGCTGGCACTAGCTAGCAATGTATGGTGGCGCCACCAGGACCCTGACACAGGTGTGTGGTATGAATGAAGGAGAAGGAATGGGCACAGCCATGCCCACTGTGTCTGGGCCAGCATCTTACATGATTCTCCTCCGTGAGGCATGATTTGTAATTTTTTAGGGCAATTTTGGGCTTAGAGAAGAATTGATTGGAAAGTATAGAATTCCCACATATCTCTCCCTGCCCAGGCTCCCCCCTCACATTTACCTATTATTTACATCTTGTATTAGTGTGGTACGTTTGTTATAACTGACAAACCAATTCTGATACGATCTAGCGTTCTATACGAATGATGATAGTTAACAATAATATATTGTTTCAAATAGCTGAGGGAAAATATTGAACATTCCCAATGCAAAGAAGTGATGAAATGTTTCAGATGATGGATGCACTAATTACCGTGACCTGATGTCTACACATTGTATTTATGAGAACATCACTACATACTCCATAAATTATTTGTCATATTTGTATAATTATTATTTATCAATTGAAAAAATAGAATTAAAATATATTTCAAAAAGATTTTCACCAACACTATCAAGAAAAAAATTTACAAATTTAAAATTTAAAAAGTTACCAATAAATAAAATAAAAATACCAAAAAAAGATACAGAATTATTATTAACTAAAGCCTGTAGTTTATATTAGGCTTCACTCTTTGAGTTGTACATTTGCTGGGTTTTGACAAATATATTATGTGTATCCATTATTATTGTAACATAGGAAATAGTTTCACTGCCCTAAAAGTTCCCTTCTTCTGGATTTTAGTTTACTTTCTGATGCTGTTTCCAAGATCTAGCCCCAAATTCACAACCTGACAGATTTTTTTGAATCTCCACCATGTTTGATTTTTCTAAAACAGCCCCTTGGTGGTGCCTAGACCAATGCACGTGCCCGTTGCTGGGGAGACATACACACGCTAGAAAGACAAGAATCAGGTCGGGCGCAGTGGCTCACACCTGTAATTCCAGCACTTTGGGAGGCCGAGGTGGGCAGATCACATGAGGCCAAGAGTTTTAGACCAGGCTGGCCAACATGGCAGTATCCTGTCTCTACTAAAAATACAAAAATTAGCCAGGCATGGTGGTGCACGTCTGCAATCCCAGCACTTTGAGAGGCCAAGAAGGGCAAATCGCATGAGGTCAAGAGTTCAGGACTAGCCTGGTCAACATGGCAACACCCTGTCTCTACCAAAAATACAAAAATTAGCTAGGAGTGGCGGTGCATGTCTGTAATCCCACCTATTCAGGAGGCTGAGGCACAAGAAATGTTTGAACGAAGAGGCAGAGGTTTCAGTGAGCTGAGATGGCACCACTGCACTCCAGCCTGGGTGACAGAGTGAGGCTCTGTCTCAAAAAAATAAAATAAAAACAAAAATAAAAAAAAGACAAGAATCAGCACCTGGGTACAAAAACACTGGAGATAAATTTTATTTCATGTTTATTTATATAACTAATTGTGTCACCTGCAAGCAGCATAACCCTGGAATATCTGTAAAGGTGTGGCAAAGGCATCAGGGAGCGTGCCGGGTCCAGATGACTTGGATTTCAGACACTTAACGAATATGTCCTACTGTGTTTTCAGAGTGGTGGAGCCCTCTTTTGTTGCAAAGCATCTCTTTATCTTTTTGCAAAGACATTCATACAGCTTTTCCTTGGTTCCCACCTGGAGAATGCCTTCAACCCGTGCCAAGCTCTTGTGGCTATCAGGGGCTACTGAGTCACTGAAAAATGTTACTATCTGTATCTATGTCTGCATTTCCCAAACCTGGAAAATGTAAAATAGATGGACAGAACTGTCAAAACCAAACTGTCTAATCTAGTGGGTGGAATTGGAATGTCTTGGTCCTTTCACTCATCTTTCATACTCATCAAAATTCATTCCCCTGTGCAAGAAAAGCACTGAATCCTTATGAAACAGCTCCTGGCAGGCCTGTGCATCTCAACGCCATATCCCCATGAAGGGACTCCACTTGGCGTGACCATACGTCCTAGTTTTCTCAGGGCAGTCCTGTTTTTTTTTCTTTTTTTTTTAAGGCTTGTTTTATTTTAATGGCAGATCTATGTAATCACAGTGGCCAGGATGTGCAGAAAAAGGGGAAGCTTTTTTTCTTGTCTCTTCTTCCTTGGACAAAGTCTTGATGATCTCCTTCTTTTTGGCCTGGAGGCGCTCTTCACGGAGCTTGCTTGCTTTATTGGTCTTAGAGCTGCGGGCTTCAGCCTGGTCAGCCAGGAACTTCTTGTGGGCCTTGTCTGCCTTCAGCTTGTGGTTGTGTTCCATGAGAATCTGCTTGTTTGTGAACATATTCCCCTGCACCTTCAGGTACAGGCTGTGATACATGTGGTGATCAGTCTTCTTAGATTCATGGTATCTTCCAAACAACCAGTGCAGAATCCTCATTCTCCTCATCCAAGTGACCTTCTCTGGCATTTGGAAATTGGCTGTACCCTTGCGCTAACCTGTGCCCATGTGCCTGCCCTTCTGGTGGGCTAAGGTGCTTTTCTGGCATCCAGCCTGGGAATGGACAGTCACAGGCTTGTGGATGATCAGCCCAACTTTGATCAGCTTCCGGATCTGCTGATGGGAGTTGGCGTTGACGATTTCACTGGTCTCACTGGGGTCCAGCCAGACCTTCTTGCTACCGTGGAGGCACTCGTGGCGAGCCTCTTCCGAAGCCTGAATATCCTCATGGCTTCGGCCACAGCAGTGACAAAGGACAGTGTTGGTTTACGCTTGTGGTCCCAGTGCAGCTATTCATACTCACCCTCTCCCGCTTCCCTCACTCTCTAAGGTATTCCAATTGGGTGATAAATTATATGGTCACTCTAAGTTGTCACATTCTGATATTTCCACTTTTGTAAAAAAAAAAAATCCAGACTGCATTGTCCAGTGTTTTCATCAGCATGTCATCACTTGCTTGTACCTGACTCCACTGAAAGCTGGAGCCATGAAGGACAAACCCCTGATGAGGAAAACCAGCATTCAAATCCCAGGGGAAGGACTCTTGTTCTGTGTCCTCTTCATCAGCCACTGCAGCGACTCCACTGTAGAACCTGGGGTGCCCCAATTTATATGAAATAATTTGTATTTGGGGATCCAAATTAATTTTGTATCCCAAAAGGAACACTTTTGAAAGGTACCACCTACAGAGTTTTTCGTTTGTTTGTTTTTTCTTTTTGTTTTTTTTGTTTTTTTTGGGAGTCAAGTTCTCTCTCTGTCACCCAGGCTGGAGTGCAATAGTGAGACCACAGCTCACTACAGCCTCCAATTCCTAGGCTCACGTGATCCTCCAGCCTCAGCCTCCTGAGTAGCTTGGATTACAGGCATCCACAGATATGCCCAGCTAATTTTTAATTTTTTTATAGGAATGGAGTCTTGCTATGGTGCTCAGGCTGGTCTCAAACTCCTGGCCTCAAGTGACCCTCCTGCCTTGGCCTCCCAAGTAGCTGGGACTACAGGCATGAGCCACCACTCCCAGCTTAAAAAACGTTTTTCAAGATGATTTCAGTCATGATGCAAGCATATGATTTACCAAGATCATCCAGAACAGAACTGTTTTAAGTTATAAACAATCTAGCAGAAGAGACACAGAAGTTGTTATTCATTTAGGGCTGTTTCTATTCTAAATATTCTATCTGATTCTACTATCATGATACTCCATCATTTATATTCACTGTTAGTTCTGATCGTATATGTGTTGCCTCAAATTGAGATGCCCATCTATAGATAAACATTTATAAAAAGTGGGCATTAAGTTTCAATGCTACATTTTGTACACGATATTGGGACCCTGGTAAAGTACATTTCATTGGCAATTTCAGCAAAGACTATGGATATATGTTTTTAAAGGATGACTCTTCAAATTTTCTACAGGACACAGTACAAGCCTTTGTGTATAACTACAAAATCAAACAGTTATATTTTACTTTTATGGCACTGGTCTTGGCAGTCATACAACTAGAGACTACTAAGGTTAAGAATTCTGCCTGTGTCCTGCAGCTAATAAAAGGCAGAACCAGGATTTGATTCAGTTCTGTCTGGCTGTCAAATCTACCATCTATGGGCTAAACATTCCTTCTATTCTTTTTTTATAGAGTATGATTTTTAATTTTTAATTGACAATAATTGTACATATTCATGGGGTACATAGTGATGTTTCTATACATGTAATGTATAGTGATCAGGTCAGGGTAATTAGCATATCCATCATCTCAAACATTTATCATTTCTTTGTATTGGGAATGTTCAATACCCTCCTTTGAGCTATTTGAAACTATGTATTGTTGAGGATGTAATTTTGAATGCCTTTACCATCCAGGTCCCTATGGTCAAGATGTACTTGAATAACCTCTGAGTGCTTAAGTGCAAAGCCCAGGACTAACAGGGCTGCCCCATGAGGTGCCTCCTGCAGATCACACCAGCCATCTGCTCCACCCACCCCATGCAGCCTGAGATCACGGGGTGTTTCTGCAGGCCCATCTATCCCACTGTGAGCTTCCCACCATTTTGTAGCTTCCAGGTGTTTGCTAGTTGTGCAGCTGCTGTGAAACAACTTCTTCCTCATCCTGTACTCAGTTGTGCTTTTGACCCAAGTGCAGCCTTAGCACCCGTGCTAAGCTTCATCTTAGTCATTTAGCCCAGCATATCGACTCTCGAGATCTTGTGGGAGCTTCATTCCATCATCAGTCGCCCTCAATTCTACCACCTCTGTCAATTTCACCAACACATCCGTTGCATGGCGTTATCCATTCATTCATTGTTGGACTCCTCTTTCCTGAATTCTGCTATGGGCCACCACTATTCTAGGCCCCAGGGAACACAGCAGTGAGCAAGGCAAAGGCCCTGACTGCATGGAGCACACACTCCACTGGAGGAGACAAATAATGAACAGATAAATGAGTGGTTAAGATAATCCCAGGCACTGATGAAACTCATGAAGAAAAATAAGGTGTGCTATGGGGTTGAAGGGATGTGCTATTTTAATAGGGTGGCCAAAAGCAGTGAGGATTGAGCAGAGTCCTGAGTTAAATATGGGAATGAGCCGTGCAATGGCCAGGGAGAAGAGCCTGCGAAGGGAACACAGAGTGACTGCAAGGGGCCTGGGGCAGAAACATGCTGGGCCAGTGAGACAGGAGGGGCCGTGTGGCTGGAGTGTGAGGCCTGCTCCACTGAGGAAGGAACTTGGATTGTATTCTGAGTGAGGGCTGAGAGCAGGTATGTCACACAGTCTGACTGATTTTTTTGGGGGTATGTGGCAAACACACACATAACATAATATTTGCCATTTTATCCATTTTTTCAGTGTACGTGGCTTTAAGTACAACCACACTGCTGTGCAGCCCCCACTGCCATCATCTCCAGAACTTTTTCATCTTCCCAAACTAAAACTCTGTTTTCATTAAACGCCAACTCCCACTCACCTCTCCCCAGTCCTTGGCCACCCCTGTTCTACTTACTGTCTCTATGGATTTGACTACTCTGGTGCTGAGTATTAGTGGAATTATACAGTGTTGTCCTTTGGTGTGTGGCTTATTCCACTTAACATAATGTCCTTGAGATTTATACATGTTGTAGCTTTGGTCAGGATTTCCTTCCCTTTTAAGGCTGAATAATGCTCCTTGCATGGACGGACCAGATTTTGTACATCCATTCATCCATTGATGGACACCTGGGTTGATTCCACCTTTTGGCTATTATGGATAATGCTGCTGTGAAAACGGGTATGCAAATGTCTCTTCGAGACTCTGCTTTCAGTTCTTTGGGGCATCTCCCCAGTAGTGGAATTGTTGGATTATGTGGTAATTCTATGTTTAATTTTTTGAGGAACCACCGTACTGCTTTTAAGAGCAGCTTAATCATTCTGCATTCCCACTAACAGTGCATGAGGGTTCCAATTTCTCCACGTGCTCAACAATGCACAGTATTTCTGTTTTTGGGGTAGTAGGCATCCTAATGATATGTGAGGGTGTGAGGTGATATCTGATTTTGATGTGCATTTCCATAATGATTAGTCGTATTAAGCATCTGTTAATATACTTGTCGGTCATTTGAATGTCTTCTTTGGAGAAATGTCTATTCAAGTCCTTTGTCCATTTTTTAAAAGGAATTGTTGGTTTTGCATTTTTGAGTTGTAATATTCTTTATACACACTAAATATTAACTCCTTATCAGATATATGATTTGCAAATATGTTCTCCCATCCCATGAGTTGACTTGTGGAGTTTGGTCTGTTGATTGTGTACTTTGATGCAGAAAAGTTTTACATTTTGATGGAGTAAAATTTACTCATTTGGTCTTGTGTTGCTTGACTTTCAGTGTGATCAACCAGAAGTCATTGCCCAGCAATATCATAAAGACATTATTTTGCTGTATGTTTTCTTAAAAAAATTTCATCATTTTAGGTCTTATATTTTGGTCTTTGATCTGTTTTGAATTAATTTTTGTGTGCGGTATAAGATAACAGTTCAACTTCATTCTTTTCTATGTGGATATCCGGTTTTCCCAGCACCATTTCTTGAAAAGACCATGCTTTCCCCCACTGAATGGTCTTGGCACCCTGGTCAAATAGTATTTGACCATCTACACAAGTGTTCATTTCTGGGCTCTCTATTGCATTCCGTTGGTCTATATGTCTGTCTTTATGCCAGTACCACATTGTTTTGATTGCTGTGGCTTTGTAGTAAGCTTTGAAATGAGGAAATGTGAGACCTCCAACTTTGTTCCTCTTTTTTGAGATTGTTTTGGCTGTTTAGGGTTCATTGAGATTCTATATGCATTTTAGAATAGATTTTTTTATTTCTGACAAAAACAATGTTGGAATTTTGGTAGAGATTGCATTAAGTCTATAGATTGTTGTGGGTAGTATGACATCTTATCAATATTACGTCTTCCAATCCATGAACACAGGATGTCTTTCCACTTTTTGTGTGTGTGTCTTTTTATGCCTTTCGGCAATATTTTGTAGGTTTTAGTGTACAAGCCTTTTGCCTCCTAGATTTTATTCCTAAATATTCTTTTCTTTTTGATACTATTACAAATAGGATTGTTGTCTTAATTTCCTTTTTGGATTGTTCATTGTTGGTGTATAGAAATGCACTGATTTTTGTGTGATGATTTTGTACCTTGCAATTTGCTAAATGCATTTACTAGTTCTAACAGGTTTTTTTGCTGTTGTTGAATCTTTAGGGTTTTCTACATATAAGATCATATCACCTGTAAACAGGGATAAACTTACTTCCCTTTCTTTTTCTGAGACAGAGTCTCACTCTGTCGCCCAGGCTGGAGTGCAGTAGCATGATCTCCGCTCACTGCAAGCTCTGCCTCCCGGGTTCACGCCATTCTCCCGCCTCAGCCTTCCCAGTTGCTGGGACTACAGGCGCCTGCCACCACGCCAGGCTAATTTTTTGTATTTTTAGTAGACACGGGGTTTCACCATGTTAGCCAGAATGGTTCGATTTCCTGACCTCGTGATTCGCCTGCCTCGGCCTCCGAAAGTGTTGGTATTACAGGCGTGAGCCCGGCCACTTCCCTTTTTTTTCATTTGGCTTTTTTTTTTTTTTTTTTTTTTTTTTTTTTTTGCGTAATTGCTATGGCTACAATTTCCAGTACTGTATTGAACAGAAGTGGCAAGAGTGGGCATCCTTGTCTCATTCCTGATCTTACAGAATCTGGTTGACAGTTTAGAGGCTGTTTCTGGCTGCCTGTGGAGAATAGTCTGGGAGGTAGCAGGGTTGAGGGGCCTGTACAGGTGAGGGACAATAGCGCTTGGGCTACGGTGGTGGAGTGAGCAGAGGTCAGTGGTGGAGTTTATTTTGGGTAAAATAAGGTGTGCTGATTAAACAGATGTAGAGTTTTAAAGTTCTTTCTCTTCTAGGTTGGCTTTCAAGCTTACATTGGTCAACTGGGGAAAAATTCTCTTCTTATTAAGTCCTCTCATAGTGAAGCTGCTCTTCCTCAGGGCTATTCATTTTAATGGCTGAAAATAGGCCCAACGTGCCAACATAAATAAATAAGTATCTGTTTATGGGGGAGGGGGTATGCCATCTTCCTAGCACCCCTTCCTTGAACACAGGTGCTAAGTAAGGGTCCAGCTCAGTCTCCCATTCTGTGTTTGATAGAAGCTGATGGAGGTGTGGAGGAGGAAGTTTTCCTGCCTTAGCAGCGCTGGCCCAATGGCAGAAGAGGGGCTTTCTTAGCAGTGACAGGGAGCACAGGCTGTTCCAGCACAGACTACATCCCCCCAGCTATGTGCAGCTGAGCAAGAACATCCCAGGTGGGCCTAGCCTGTTATCTGCTGGCCAAAGGGCAGAGTTCACTTCTCTAGTCACAGGCAAGCTGGAACCCACAGGCTGCACTCGGGACTGAGGGGAGAGGACCAGAGCTGCTTTTGGATGTGGATGGGACCAAGGACAGGGTCACTGCTCTAATCTAAGAGGAGGTGCAGGCTAACCATCCTGGGATCCAAGCGGTCTCAACACAGAGCCCCCTTGGCCTTTACAAGGAAGAAACTGCAATTTGCTTTAACTTTCTAAGCTACCGTTTCTACATCTTCTAGATAGGCTCAACAGCAGAAGAGACAACACAGCACAGTTCTGTGAGGTGTGCCTGAGGCCGCACAGTAGTTGAGGCCATGACTTCTGCAGCCTGACCACCTGGCTTTGAATCATAGCTCTGCCACCAACCAGCTGTGATCAGGGGAAGTTATTGAATCTCACGATGCCTCCATTCCCTCATCTGAAAAATGGGGATGGTGATAATAATACTATCTGCTTTATACTTAAGATTTGGGAAAGAAGAAGAAGAGAAGATTGGGAGTAATTGTTTAATGGGTACAGAGATTTAGTTTTGTAAGATGAAGAGTTCTGGAGATGGGTGGTGGCGACGGTTGTACAACAGTGGGAATGTGCTGAAGACCATGACATTGTACACTGAGAAATGGTTAAGATGGTAAATGTCACTTTATGTGTAGTTTACCACAATTTTAATTTGAAAACTTAGAACTTAAAAAAGGAGGCCAGGCGTGGTGACTCACACCTGTAATCCCAGTGCTTTAGGGGGCTGAGGCGGGTGGATCACAAGGTCAGGAGATCGGGACCATTCTGGCTAACACGGTGAAACCCCGTCTCTACTAAAAATACAAAAATTAGCCAGGCGTGGTGGCGGGCACCTATAGTCCCAGCTACTTGGGAGGCTGAGGCAGAAGAATGGCATGGACCCGGGAGACAGAGCTTGCAGTGAGCCGAGATGGCGCCACTGGACTCCAGCCTGGACGACAGAGCAAGACTCTGTCTCTCCAAAAAAAAAAAAAAAAAAAAAAAAAAGGATTTGGGCGTTGGGGGAAGAATAAGCTTACTTCTTTCTTTCTTTTTTTTCTTTCTTTCTTTCTTTTTTTTTCTTGAGCCAGAGTCTCGCTCTGTTGCCAGGCTGGAGTGCAGTGGTGTGATCTCAGCTCACTGCAACCTCTGACTCTCTGGTTCAAGCGATTCTCCTGCCTCAGCCTCCAGAGTATCCGGGACTACAGGCATGCGCCACCACGCCCAGCTAATTTTTGTATTTTTAGTAGAGATGGGGTTTCACCATCTTGGCCAGGATGGTTCTTGATTTCCTAACCTCGTGCTCCGCCTGCCTCAGCCTCCCAAAATGCTGGGATTACAGGCCTGAGCCACCACGCCCGGCCGATTGAGCTCATTTCTATACATGCCTGGAAGAATGCCTGGTGCTCCAAGATACAAAGAGGGCTGGCTCCTTGTATCATTAGCTGGGTGATGTTTTTGCAACTTGCTTGAAGTTACTGCAAGAATTAAAAATAAAGCAGACAGAACAGTTTGATTTGGTGTGTACTTCTACTCTTAATAAATGGTATGAATTGTTACTAGCTTGGTAGCTATTGGGGGAATGGAGTTGGCTATGTTTCTAGAAACATGTACTATGGATAGGAAAGAATGTTTTTGCTTTCTTTCATCCCTCTAATTTGGGGATGGGAATGTGAAACACTGCAACAATGCAAAGGAGAAGGGAATAGAAAAGTTGTCCATTTATTTTGCTGGATAATAACTGACCAAGTTCCATGGGAGGGTAGCTCATGCATTCTTGAAGCGTAGGTCTGTGTGTAATAACATGCATATATCATGGTGTGGTCATAGCCAGAACACACTCAAAGCAAGGCTTTCAATGGGGTTTCCCTTGCCTGGGCCTGCCCCTTCATCTAGGATACAGAGATTGAAACTTCCTCCCACTTGTAGACCAAAGTTGGTATTTGTAAAGTGCTCTGAGATCTTCCCAAATAGGGCCTCCTTAAATAAAAGGTCTCCAGGGGTGCAGGAGTGGAAGAGACAGGGCTTGGAGGGCTTAGGAGTCCAGGGGCAGTGTGTATGCTCAGGAGAGCAGCCAATCCCATCTGCCCACAACTAGGATTCTTCTCAGCGCATCACTGGGGGCTCTCCCAGGGCAGTCGGCCTTCCTTTCTTGGATGTGCAAAGCGACTTAGTTGGGATTTAAGACAAAAGTAGACCTAGAACAGTTGACACCTGGAGTGGAGAGTTTTTAACACCCTCCCCATACATCAAAATTATTTTTATAGTGATAATCATGCAATCATTAGCAATCATTATTTTCTTGAGTCAGTCTGTAGTTTCTTCATTTTTAAAAAATTGACCAGTTGAACAATCTCTAGTTTCAAAACACAATTGAAAGAAAGAGTACCTTTTCATTTGAATATTATTCAAATTTAGGAACGCATCACATATGAACTAAATTTGCAGTTTGCCAGTAAAAAATTGACCTCATGATTCTCTGCCTGTTTTGGTTTTAAAGTTTAAATACAAATTTAAAATTTTTTATCACATAAAATGACAAAAGTAAGATAACCCAAGGTCTACTCCTTTCATCATTACAATCACAGTTATTATGGTTTGTTTTGAATTTACTCTTTAGATGTAGGGGTTGGAGACAGTTGTCGCTCAAGGTGCAAACTCCGGGCTGGCGCTGTGTGTGAACAGATAACAACAAAATGTATGTGGCTGAGTCCACTAGGAAGACGCTTCTGTACCACATGGAGTTCTCTGAATTAACTTCCAGATATATTAAAATTATTAATGGTAAGTAAGAAATGTATCAAATTGAAGCTTACATACATATTGCTAAGATGCCATCATATCTGCAGAGATTATTTGGAACTTTGAACAACAAAAGATTTTTTTTTTTTTTTGCAGAACAGTATTTTATCACTGATGTTATTTAGAGTTGCTAGCACTTGGTGATATCACAAGCGAACTGACTTTTAGTCAGCTGTGTTATTGTGTTTAAATTCTCTACAAACATCCCTCATTGCCTGCCTCAGGGGCAGGCGGCCCCTGCAGCTCTGTCTTGTGTATGCAGCTGATTTAAAGCCATGGCAACATCACAGTTAACACTATCTATGCACCTGTAAGAAGTGTTTAATTAAAACTAACAGTCTTGAAGTTGAGCGTCTTTATTTTAGGTGTAGGACCTCTCAGGGGTGAAGAGGAAAGCAAATGGAGAGTCTGCCAAGTCTTTTTGCTGACACCAGTGCTTAGGATCTTGAGAGCATGTTTTACAAATTGGGTGTTTGGGGCAGGGGGAGTCTGGACAACAGTTTTTCCAAGTTTCAGGCTAGTGTTTGGCACCCTCTAGTGGAAAATTTGAAAAGAGAATGATCCGATACTGTATAAAAAATGAATAGTTTATCATATAGCTTATTCATC
Source organism: Homo sapiens (assembly GCF_000001405.40). Classification (NCBI taxonomy): domain Eukaryota; kingdom Metazoa; phylum Chordata; class Mammalia; order Primates; family Hominidae; genus Homo; species Homo sapiens. Next base: position 2,099,871 of record NW_018654717.1, read on the forward strand.
CTTTATTAAGTACCATGCACTGAGCTAAGTCCTTTGTGTGCAATATCTAATCCTTACAACTACCTATACATTAGGAATATGAGGTCAGCGTTACTAATTATAGAATAAGCTCAGAGAGGTCAAGTAAATTGACCACAGCCACACAGCAAGGGGTGGAGCTGCTTGTCTTTCCTCTCTCCAGAGACATATGGAGTGAGCATACTTGGCATATGTAGCACAATATTTCAAGCTCCTGACCCCCATGGACACACTACCAGCTCCACACCTCAGAGCCTGGGGGCTCGAGGAGTGCCCACCCTGAACCATACTTCCAGAATTATAGTTACTTGCACAATTCTGATTGTAAGATCTAAAAGTAATTTTTTTTTTATTTTTCCCTTAAAGCTTGTGATTTGCTCTCAAAAGTAAATGCCTTGGCTTGGTTTGCCATATTTCCTTCTTAGATTCATGTTCCTTTGTGTCTTATGTTCTGGTCAGGTCACGGCAATGGCCTGCGATAGTAACTCCCAGACTTTAAATCTCATTGGCAATCTCCTTTACCTGTGACACCCCAGAGATCTTAGAATCGAAGTGAGCTCGTTCTGGGAGTGCTTTGGGAGTTATCCAATTTAGCGGTTTGTCATCATGGATCTCTTGAAAATCTTTGAAGGAAGTTTTGGTTGCCATGATGATTGGAGGGCACTAGTGATGTTTAGTCGGGAGGACACTGGATATCCTGCAATGCTCAGGACAGGTCACACAAGGAGAAATTGACCCAGGACTGGTAAGACTTTCCATCATCCTACCGGACATGCTGAGACAGAAGGCAGGCTTCAACTTGTGGTGGGATTTCAAGTTCAGAGACACATTTGCTGTGATGTGTCATTATTACTGCCACATCCCATGTCGTAACAGCAGCCCCTTTGGGGTAAGCAACGTGTGTTCATCCATTCTCACACTGCTATAAAGAACTACCTGAGACTGGTAATTTACGAAGAAAACAGGTTTAATTGACTCACAGTTCTGCAGACTTAACAGGAAGCGTGGGTAGGAGGCCTCAGGAAACTTATAATCATGGTGGAAGGTGAAGGGGAAGCAAACAAGTCTTTTAAACCATCAGATCTTGTGAGAACTCACTATGGTGAGAACAGCAAGGGGGAAACCCACCCCCACGATCCAATCACCTCCCATCAGGTTCCTACCCAAACATGTGGGGATTACAATTTGACATGAGACTTAGTGGGGATACAGAGCCAAACCATATCACAAGGCCCAAGTGTCAAAGCATGAGAATTCAGAAAGTAAAAGACATGGTTAATATACTGCCCAAGTATTCACATACCGAAATACATATTACTGTATTATAACTTACTTTTACTTCAACTTCTGATTGATTTACATTTTTTTCTTTTAATTTTTGAGACAGGGTCTTGTTCTGTCACCCAGGCTGGAGTGCAGTGTTGTAATTTCAGCTTATTGCAGCCTCGACCTCCTGGGTTCAAGTGATCCTCCCACCTCAGCCTCCTGAGTAGCTGGGACTACAGGTATGCATCAGCACACCCAGCTAGCTTTCATATTTTTAGGAGATGGGATTTCGCCATCTTGCCCAGTCTGGTCTCAAACTCCTGGGCTCAAGTGATCCGCCCACCTTGGCCTCCCAAAGTGCTGGGATTATAGGCATGAGCTGCAACATGCCAATGACATAGAGTTTGTGTTCCATGTTTTCGTTCAACTGAGTCAGCACACTCTTCATTCATTCCCTAAATCCTTCTGCCTCTCCATTACCTCTTGTGCTTCTTCATCAGTCAAATAGGGGCGGTGGTTTGTTTTCTGCTTTTTCTATCCGGTGAAGATCCCAACTTCTCCATAAAGGCTTTCCTGATTAACTAGCAGTGAGATCGTCATTCTCTCCCATGTACTTCACCTGGGCCTGTGGATGCCCTCAGCCAGTACTTCTCAAGTTTCCACGGGCTTGAGAATCCACTGGGGACTCTGTGAAGATGCAGGCTTGGTGTGTCTACAAGTCCCCAGGAGGTGCTGAAGCTTCTGGGATGGAGACCATATTCAAAAAGCAAAACTCTCAGATTAAACCGATGGTTCCCAAACCAGGTTTTTCATCACAGGGACCTGGGCAACTTTTGAAAAATACCCTCCCGAGCCCACGCCAGACCCATCCTATCGGAATCTCTGAAAGCAGAGCCCTAGAATGGGATTTCTAGACGCACTCCAGACAATTCTGGAGGCACTCTCCCAAACACCAGCCTCTGACCTAATGCTTAGGTGAACTGCAAGGTGTTACAATAACTTAATTTGAAATTCGCCCCCAGAAGTAAGCACTTTGCAGACTGTTGCTAACCTAGAGTCATTGTGACATGTTTTCATGCTTAGGCCAGACTCCAGGAACTATGCTTTCTCAATTACAGAACCAAGGCAGATGGGCAAATGATCTACAACGATCTTGTGATTTTAATGTCTTATATACGTGTACTTATACATCTCCTAAGATGATCGTAGTAGTTTCCAGAAACCCAAATTAAGACATTTTACTGCAACAAGATTTAAAAACTAGGGCTTTGACGTCTATTTTATGAGAAGTTCATATTTGCATAATTAGGAGTGTCCTACACTTTCTTGGGCAGCACGTGTCAGTCAACAGCTGCAAGTCATTCTGGCTCCTTGCCCAACGGAAGAGAGAGCATTGCTTAAAACAGTCTCTGCCCTACCTCCAGAGAATGTGATAGAAAGCGAGTGACAGACTAAGAGCAGAGGCGAATCCCCAAATTAGATGCCCTTCCAAGCTACAAAGACACTTTAACAACTTTTCCAAAAGATCAGAGCAGAGCATCACAGAGATGAGCTGAGCCACCTGCAGACACAGTTTCTCCAATGTGACCAAGAAACGACATCTGGGTCTTCCTGATGGAAGATGCACACAGGCTGCTGAGAAAACTCTGGAGATGCCTCTGACAGGAACAAGAAGTTCCAGAAGGCAGAGTCTTCCCTCCTCCCCAGGCTGCCTCGTGGGCAGAGATGTGCTGTGTCTTCAGGCCCACATGTTCCCCCAAAGAAATGCTCCCTTTATTTGAGAAGACAAGTGAATGTTGCTCAGGTTGGGGGCAGGGGTTATGGGTTCAGCTTGATCCTAAGTGCCATCAGGCAGGGCCAGGTGTGTTTGGTTCCCCCCATCTCCCCAGCACCCCCTACCATGCCTCACTCACAGCACCCACTCGGGACACTTGCTGACTGACTGACCAGCTATGTAGTGAGATGCTTTTAAACTCTGGAAGTGCCTTAGCTGATATGCTGCCCAGCTACCTTGGATTAACCGAGAGGGCAGAAGGCTGAGTGATGATGTCAGGCAAGGTGTTTGGTTAGTTTTCCACATTCTTCTGGAGTTAGGTCTTCACAGTGAGGTGTAGTTTTTGTGTGATGTCGTATTAAGCAAGCCTTTTTATTCTGAGGCTTGGCCATATTGGGGACTTGTTGACGCTGGAGGGACTGCCCCACCCAGGGTTAGCCAATTCTTAGTGGAAGCAAAGAGCTCTTCTGTGAGCATGCCTTTGACATGCGAACCAAGCCACCCAGACCCCACCTCCCAACCACCTCCTTTGTGGGGCTCCTGCACTCTGGGCCACCATCACTGCAAGGCTACGTTCCAGGCAACTAGGAGCAGCCTTTATGCCCCAGAGCCCACTGAAAGGATTCACACTAGCCAATCCTGAGCCTGCTCACCTGCCTCACCTATTCTTTCCTGCAGAAGTCACAGTAAAGGCTATTACCCACACTTCTCCTCTCTACCTTTGCCTCCTGGTCAACCCCAGTGCTTCTCCATGTGTCCCCCACTCCCACCATCACGTGGTGTGGCATGCCTTGCCCCTTCTCTTGGGAACTGTGAGTAACAAACTATCTTTTCAATGGCAGTTGCCTTCTGAATCATGTTGAAACCTACATTTCACAATAGACATATTGTCAAGTTCCAGGACACCAGATATTTATGTTTAAGTGTAGGTCCCAGGACCATTTCCATTATCTAGAAGGAATATTTCCTAGGGATAATAAATAGCATAGCTTATTGAAACGGATTAGGGGCCAGTGTCGATCAGAGTTCAATCAGAGAAGCAGAGGCACTAGCATACACATCTCACTAGATACACCACCAGGGTACTTGTATGGCAAGCAGCCTTGTAAGAGAGCAATAGGGTTTCCATCAGCAGCAAAGGGCAGGCTTGTTTACTGTCTAAAATGATAAAGATATCGTCTCCCTCCAGAGCAAAGTTCATACAAGCTTACTGCCCAATATAAAAGGCTTGGGCTTCCAAAGCTTGAGCTTCTTCTCTAGGAAAGTCACCCACTGCCTCTGGAGATAACACCTGGCTCTTGTCACATTAGCCTGCAGGAATTGGGACTGGGGAGATGAACACAAATGCTGACACTTGGTTACTGCTATTGCTATGAGTAATGAAGTCCTTTGTCTCTGCCTCTGTTGTGTCTTCTGCCAGCAACCTTGAAAGTGTGGCAGGCTAACTTGTTAGACTGCAAGTAGGGTGAAATCTCAAACCTTTCCCAGCTCTTGATATTTCCTAACCAACACCAGTCTCATGGGTCAGGAAGGAAAGGGGCTTGTTCCTCTCTCTGTCACTGGTCAGTGATAATGGCCTCCTTAAGGGATCACTCTACATCCACCTCTGGAGGGACAGACATCAGGAGTCCAAGCCAGGATGCTCATACAAAGGAAGAGTTGCTGATGAATGAGCCATGCAGGTCTCACTATCAGCAAAACCAGGCAAAACATGCAACTCCTTTTGGGAAAGCCCCTGTGTTCGTCTGCTGAGGCTGCCATAACAAAATGCTATAGACTGTATAACTTAACAGAAATGTATTTTCTCACAGCTCTGGAGCCTGGAAGTTCCACATTAAGGTGCCAGCAGATTTGGCTCCTGGTGAGGGCTCTCTTTCTGGCTTACAGACAGCCACCTTCTTGCGCCATCCTCACATGGCCTTTCCTTTGTGGGTAAGTGGAGAGAGAGCCCTCTCATATCTTTTACTCTTCTGGTAAGGACACCAGCCCCATCAGATTAGCGCCTCACTCTTTTTAAACCTTAAATCACTACTCTAAACGTTCTATCTCCAAACACAGTCACATTAGAGGTTAGTGTTTCAACATATGAATTTGGGAGGGGACCCAATTCAGTCCATGGAAGCCCCTATCTGGGGAACTCACTCCCAATATTTCAATGTAAGTTATTTCTATTTTCCATAAGTGTTGGCCAGCTGAGAAATAAAGAGAAAGAGTACAAAGAGGAATTTTACAGCTGGGCCACCAGGGGAGCCATCACGTATCGGTAGGACCGTGATGCCCACCTGAGCCTCAAACCAGCAAGTTTTTTATTAAGGGTTTCAAAAGGGGAGGGAGGGGGTGTCATAACAGAGAGTAGGTACAAAGATCACATGCTTCAAAGGGCAAAAAGCAGAACAAAGATCACATGCTTCTGAGGGAACAGGACAAAACGGCAAAAGCAGGACTACTGATAAGGCTCCAACAAAGATCACAAGGCAAAGGGCAAAAGCAGAACTACTGATAAGGGTCTATGTTCAGCGGTGCATGTATTGTCTTGATAAACATCTTAAACAACAGAAAACAGGGTTCAAGAGCAGAGAACCGGTCTGACCACAAATTTACCAGGATGGAATTTTTCCCCACCCTAGTAAGCCTTTGGGTACTGCAGGAGACCAGGGCATATCTCAGTCCTTATCTCAACCACATAAGACAGACATTCCCAGAGTGGCCTTTTACAGACCTCTCCCCAGGAATGTATTCCTTCCCCAGGGTATTAATATTAATATTCCTTGCTAGGAAAAGAATTTAGCGATATCTCTCCTACTTGCACATCCATTTATAGGCTGTCTGCAAGAAGAAAAATATGGCTCTTTTTGCCCAGCCCTGCAGGCAGTCAGACCTTATAGTTGTCTTCCCTTGTTCCCTAAAAATCGTGGTTATTCTGTCCTTTTGCAAGGTGCACTGATTTCATATTGTTCAAACACACATGTTTTACAATCAATTTGTACAGTTAACACAATTATCACAGTGGTCCTGAGGTGACGTACATCCTCAGTTTATGAAGGTAACAGGATTAAGATACAAGTAAAGACAGGCATAAGAAATTATAAAAGTATTATTTGGGAACTGATAAATGTCCATGAAATTGTCACAATTTATATTCCTCTGCCACGGCTCCAGCCAATCCCTCCGTTCGGGGTCCCTGACTTCCTGCAATAAGGCCCCAAATAGCTGTGAGTGAATTCAATCCCATTCACACTCAACTTAAAAATGTGATCATATATCTTCAACCATCTGCTTGAGGGAGGAGGAGCAAAAGGCAAGTTCTGAAGAAGACAAAATGGAGAGAAGGACTTAACAAAGTGCAAGTAGCCCTTTGGCTTCCCAGGCAGGTTTCTCACAATTTTCTCCATGGTCTTTTGCTGCTCAAGTCAACATCTCATGCCATGGTGTTTTCCTGTGGAAAGCTGTTGCCCACTTTGTACCTTAGAGGAAGTGTGTGAAGAGCAGGTCATCCAAGCTCCATTCACATCATCATGTGGAGAAGGTACATAGAGGAAGTGGCCAAGATGGGGGAAGAGCTCTGAGGCAGAGCTGGTGGGAGTCAGAGCTCCAGCAGAAGCTGCTTGGAGTGGAATATGGGGGTCCTTGTTACCAAGCCAGGGAGTCACGAACATTTGTGTGGGATGCTGAGCAGGAAAGCAGCATGCTCAGACTTGTGTTCGAGGAAGATTGTGGTAGAAGTACCATGCAGCTGGACCAGAGGGTGAGGAAAAAGGCACAGAGAGAAGTTAGGAGTCTAACACAATAGCTCATGTTATGGGCTGCATGGTGTCTCCCCAAATTCCTATGTTGAAGCCTTGACCCCCAGTAACTCAGAATGGGCCTGTATTTGGAAATAGGGGTTTTAAAGGGTAATTTAGTTTAAATGAGGTTATTGGGATGGGCCCTCATCTAATATGACTGGTGTCCTTATAAAAACAGACTACGGGCCGGGTGTCGTGGCTCACACCTGTCATCCCAGCACTTTGGGAGGCTGAGGTGGGCTGATCATAAGGTCAGGAGATCGAGACCATCCTGGCTAACACAGTGAAACCCCATCTCTGCTAAAAATACAAAAAAAAAATTAGCTGGGCATGGTGGCAGGCACCTGTAGTCCCAGCTACTGGGGAGGCTGAGGCAGGAGAATGGCATGAACCCAGGAGGCAGGGCTTGCAGTGAGCTGAGATCGTGCCACTGCACTCCAGCCTGGGCAACAGAGCGAGACTCTGTCTCAAAAAAAAAAGAGATTACGATACAGCCATGCACAGAGGGATGACTGTGTGGGGACAAAAAAGAAGACAGCCATCTGCAAACCAAGGAGAGAGGTCTCGGGAGAACCCAACTCTGCTGATATCTTGAACTTGGACTTCCAGCCTCCACAACTGTGAGAAAGAAATTTCTCTTGTTGATAAGCCACCCAGACTGTGCTGTTTCATTATAGCAGCCCAAATGGACTAAGACATCATCTCTCTGCCAAAAGAGAAAGGGGAGTGAGTGGATTCCAGGACTGAGGAGAGTCAACCTGGAGAGGTGTCTAAGGGATGCCAGGCAGCCAAAAAAAGTACACTGGGGCCTTGTCAGTAAGACTGGTGGACTAGACAGCAGTGGAGCCTGAGAGGCAACAGGTTAGTGCTCCAAAACTTGTGAGAGGGAGGCAGGTGAGAAAAGGGGGACTCAGGATGCAGCATTAACACCAGCAAATGCAAGGCTCATGAGACTGGAGAGAACCTCAGACACCATACCGAAATCTTTGGTTAGCTGGCTCCAGTCTTGCTTGGAGATGGGGTCAGCAAGGTCCTTCAGAATGCCAGTGAACACAGGTCTCTAAGTAGCTCCCATCGCGGGCTCCAAGTCCTGTAGAAGAGAAGTCAGCAAGGTCAATGCATGAAGCCCCTTGGTGCATATCTGAGATATTTTCTCTACTATGGTAGCAAAGATGTAGTGCATCTGTACTTTCCAATATATATCTACGACTTTTGGTACATTCGACAGACATCTGTTCCGTGCTCTTAAGCACCTGCCAGCCATGGAGTTTCAGATGCATTTCTTAGATAAGCGAGCTTCTTTCCCATTGCAAATCACAGAGTGACAAAAGCACAGATCCTTGCTAGGGCTGCAGGCTGCTGGCAGTGTCACCCAAAGGCTGCTTTCTAAGGAAAACATTCTGCTGGGGTTTTTTTTTTGGACAACACGGTTTCATGTGCTCATTTATTTCACACCCATGTTTTAAAAATTATTCTTTTCGGCTGGAAATATATCTTCACCCATGATAATAGATGGAAATTGTGAGCTGCTTACAGTTCCCAAGTGACATTAGCATATGTAGTGAGTTTCTTCTTGAATCCCACCCCTCCTCGCCTTTTTGCTTTTCCATCTTTTTCTGGTTCTTAGGAGGAAATTTTTAAAAGAACACACTGCCTGGATGATATATCTCATACTCACCTTCCTTCCTCCAACCTTCTTACTGGAGAAGGTGGAGAAGCTTCAGATTCCAGTCCTTCAACTTTATTTTCGGCCTGTAGGAGCATCCTATTCACACCTGTGCCCTCCTCCCCCTTTTCCTGACTTTGCCTAGCCAGCCCATACCTTCTCCTGCCTGGACAATTACAATGTCCTTACCTTCTCCAAGAGGCCCTGCAATCTTCAGTGTTTCCTTATAATCCATCATCCACACTGCAAACAGAGGTATCTCTCTAAAATTGTAAACTGGGTTGTGTTAAATTCTACTTCATGCTTCGGTGATCCTGTTACCTACAGAATACATCCAACCTCCTTACCACCATACTCATCTCTCACCCTCCTGCCATTTTACTCCAATACTGCATGTGATTTCAAGTCATTCTGCTGAGGCACATGGTTCTTTTCTCTTCCCCAAATACCCTTTTCTTCCTTGTCCAGCTGGCCCACCCCCAGTCACTCTTTGGGTCATGGCTCAAGCGTTGCTTACTCTTGGAAACATCTCAGCCCTCCTAAGCTGAACTGATCACTTCATCAGAGGCTCCTAGACAAACCCTGGCATGTGCCCCTGCGTGTCTCCAATGTCTGCCGCCTTGATGTCACCTGCTTGACCAAGTACCTGGCTACAAGGGCTGACATTCCTCTTCTTTGCAACTCCAGCATGAGCCCAGTGTTTGGCTCAAAGTAGACTCTTTTAAAATATATTGAGGCCAGGTGCAGTGGCTCATATGTGTAATGTCAGCACTTTGGAAGGCTGAGGTGGGAGGATAGCTTGGGTCAAGGAGTTCAAGACCAGCCTGGGCAACATAGTGAAACCTTGTCTCTACAAAAAATAAAAAAAATCAGCCAAGCATGATGGCACATGCCTGTAGTCCCAGCTACTCAGGAGGCTGAGATGAGATTATCGCATGAGCCCAGAGTAGTTCATGATTGCAGTGAACTGTGACCATACCACTGTATTCCAGCCTGTACTCCTGGGTGCCAGAGTGAGACTCTGTCCCCCAAAAAATAAATAAATAAAAATAAAATAAACTATTTGAATGAAAAAGATACATTGAAATGGTTTAGGTGGCTGATGGCAGTCGTAGGTCCTACTCTCTGTGTTTATTGGAAGGGTCACTCCAATTAAACAAATATTGATGGACCACTCATTCTGTGCCAGGTTCTCTCTGAGTACTGAAGGTACCCAGATGAACAAAACATCATTCCTTCACTGAGTGAGCACACACCTGAGCAGTGAAGACCAGCAAGGAATATCAATAGCACAAAACGATAGCTGCTATACTTATAGGAGCAGAATACCATGCCAAAGGCTCCCGAGCATAGCTGCACATCCAAATCTAGGAGTTTTAAAAAAATGTATGTCTTGATCTTATTGTTTATGTATTACTGCTTCACAAATTACTCCAAAACTTAGCAGCTTGAATCACAAACCTTTATTATATCACGACGTTGTTGTGGGTCTAGAGTGTGGCAGCAGTTTTCCTAGGTGGTGTTAGTATTGACACTGGGATTTCTCATGAGATTGCAGTCAAGATGTCAGTAGGGGCTTCTGTTATCTGAAGTCTTGACTGGGGCTGGAGCCTCTCACATAGCTGGCGAGGTGGTGCTGGCTGTTGGCAGGAGACCTCAGTTCCTCACCACGCGGACCTTTCTATAAAGCTTCTTGTGTGTCCTCATGATATGGTGGCTTTCCTCAGAGAGAGAGAGAGAGCAAGATAGAAGCCAAAATGCCATATATGGCCTAGATCCAGAAGTCACATTGCATTGTTTCCACAATATCCTACTGGTTACACAGGGCAGCTCTATTTGGTGAGTGAGATGGCTACACAAGATTGTGGATACTAGGAAGTAAAGATCAGAGGGAGCCATTGGAGGCCGGCTACAGCCTGACTCTTACCCCAGGGAATGAATTCAGTGTGCCTGGGTAGGGCCCAAGGTTCTGCTTATTTTGCCTTTTCTTTTCATTATCGTGGCTTTTTAACTTTTTATTGAAATATAATATACATACAGAAAAGTATACAAGTCACAAGTGTTATCACAAGGTGCATAATTTTTTACAAAAGACACACACCCATGGAATCTATACCCAGATCAAGAAACAGAGCATTGTTCAGGTGCAGTGGCTCATGCCTGTAATGTCAGCACTTTGGGAGGCTAAGGTAAGAGGATCACTTGAGCCCAGGAGTTCAAGACCAGCCTGGGCAACAAAGTGAGACTGTCTCCACAACTTGTTTTTAAATTAGACAAGTGTGGTGATGTATGTCTGTAGTCCCAGCTACTCAGCAGGCTGAGGTGGGAGGATTGCTTGTGCCCACGAGGTTGAGGCTGCAGTGAGCTGTGATCACACCATGCACTCCAGTATGGATGACAGAGTGAGTCCCTGTCTTAAAAAAAGAAAAAGAAAAAGAACATTGCCAGCTGCCACCTCTTCAGGGGCCCTCATTACACTCTCTTCCAATCACTAAACTCTCAAGAGTATGTCTTCATGACTTCTAACAACCTAGAATCATTTGTCTATTTCAAAACTTTATAAACATGGAATCATATAATAGGTACTTATTTGTATCTGGCTTCTTTTCACTTGACATTATGCTCATAAGAGTTTTCTGTATTATTATGTGTGGCTGTTTTTATTAATTCTCATTCCTACATAGCAGCCCCTAGAGTTAAATACCTATTCTCCTGTGTACAAGTGTTTGGCTGCTATGCCCAATGCAGCCACGAATAGTCGTTTAAGTGTCTTCTGGTGAATATGTGTACCTTTTTATGTGGTGTATACACCTAGGAATAGAAATGCCGGGTCATTACAGCAGGCATATGTTCAGCTTTATGGAGACTGTAGAACAGGTTTTCAAAGTGGTCCTACCAATATACACTCCTATCAACAGTCGATGAGAGTTCCAGATCTCCAATACTTAGTATTTTCTGTCTTTTTGATTTTAGTCATTCTGGCTGGCATAAGGTGATATCTCATTTTGGTTTTAATTTGCATTTTCCTGATGACAAATGAAGTTAGCACATTTGCCTAGGTTTATTGGCCATTTGGACGTCCTCTTGAAGTGACTGTTCGTGTATTTTGCCCATTTTTCTATGGAGCAGCATGTCTTTTTCTTATAGATGTGTAGGAGTTCTTTATATATTCTGTATAAGAGTTTTTGTTAGATATACATATTAAAAATATCTCCTCCCATTGTATGGGTCACCTCTGACTCTCTTAATGGTATGGCTACCACCTTGTGCACCTGGGAGGCAGAGCTTGCAGTGAGCCGAGATTGCACCACTGCACTCCAGCCTGGGCGACAGAGCAAGACTCCATCTCAAAAAAAAAAAAACAAAAAAAATCTTTGCCTACTTCTAGGTCATGAAAATGTTTTCCCTATTTTTTTTCTAAAATCTGTGTTGTTTTACTTTTAATATTTAGATGTGCAATCCATCTGCAATAGTTGTTTTGTTTGGTGTGAGGTAAGGATCGTGATTTTTTTTTTTGCTTCATATGGAGATCTAATTGACATGAACCCATCTATTGAAAAGATGACCCTTCCCCACTGCACCTCCACATCACCAGTACTGTATTCAGGTGACTACATACATGTGTGTCTGCTTCTGGGCTCTCCATTCTGTTCCATTGGTCTACTTGTCTGTCGTTGCACCAGTACCATACTGTCTTAACTGTTACAGATGTACATAGGTTTTTATACTGGTGTTATAAGTCCTCCAGTTTTCTTGGAAACCTTTCCCTCCAAATCAGGAATGGTAAGGTTATTCAGTGTCATCCCTTCCACTCACCATTGTCCAGACAGTCCCAGGACATGCAGCAAGACAAAAGGAGAAGTGCTGCAAGAATTGGAAAGGAAGGAAGAAAACTGTCCATATTTGCAGACAACATGATTGGATAATAAGTAAATTTACTGAGGCTATCAGATACAAGGCTAATATACAGAAAGCACATGTATTTCTATATATTAGCAAGACATGGAAAAACAGAAATTTCTAAGTAATACCATTTACAATGGCATCAAAAGCTACCAACTGGCTGTGCAAGGCCTCTCGTACACTGAGTACTACAAAAATTTATTGATAAATTGTATGGAGGGATATACTATGTTCTTGGACAGAAAGATGTAATATTTAATGTTGTCATAATCAAAATCCCAGCAAGGTGGGGTGTGTGTGTGTATATATATATATATATATATATATATATACGTGTGTGTGTGTCTATGTGTGTATTTGAGTCCATCAGAGATAGGAACTCTCCAAGCAGTGGTTAGAATGGAAGCACATCCTTCCGCCTAAAAATAAAGAAAAGAAAAAAGAAAAGGAAGAGCTAGCTCTGGGAGGGCATTCCATAAAAGGGAAAGTGTTGGCATAACATCATGGATGTTAGCATGTGCAGAGCACATCCTAGGAACTTAAATAGCTTGGTTGGAGCTTAGGCTGAGTGAGGGTGGTATAATGAGAGATGGGGTGGGGAATGCCAACCAACAGCCAGAATGTTAAATATTTTAAATGCCAGGGATAATTCAAATTAGAGTATGAGCTTTATCGCTGGTTCCTTGGATTGCCCACACAATCCTTTTAAGCAAGGTAATAACATGCTTTGCACGTGTTAATTCGTAATCTCCACGATTATCCTGACAGGAGGTGTTATTATTATCATCCCCATTTCATAGATAGAGAATCTAAGGCAAAGAGAGGTTAAGAACTTGCGCAACCCAAGGACACAGCTCATCAGAGGGGAGACTTGGAGTTTGATCTCAGGCAGTCTGGCTCTAGCATCTCGAAATATTTTAGTCCCCACACTTTGCTGCCTCTGACTATTAAAACTTTATCAGACGGTGAACTTTGGCAACAGTATGAGGGTTGGTTTGAGGCTGTGATGAGAGAAAATATAGGCAGAGAGACTTCTTAGGAAGCAATCAGTGGCAAGTTTCTGAAATCGAGCAATGCCATTGGGAATGGAGAAGCAGGGATAGAGCTGACCAATGTCACTGAGCTGAGATGACAGATTTGCTAATTGGGGGTCACGGGACAGGAGAAGGGGAAAAGGGAACTCAATGAATAAACCCTGAATAAAGGTGGAAGTTGGCCGGGTGTCACCACATCTATAATCTCAGTACTTTGGGAGGCTGAGGCAGGCAGATCGCTTGAGGCCAGGAGTTCAAGATCAGAATGGTCAACATGGCAAAACCCCATCTCTACTAAAAATACATAAATCAGCCAGGGATGGTGATGTGCGCCTGTAATCCCAGCTACTCGGGAGGCTGAGGCAGGGGAATTGCTTGAACGCAGGAGGCGCATGTTACAGTGAGCTGAGATTGCATCACTGCACTCCAGCCTGGGTGACAGACCAAGATACAGGCATACTTACACTTAGCGTTGTAGGTATGGAGGCCCTTGCTGTGGGTGTGGGAAAACAGGGTTTTCTATGACAACAGTGCAATAGCTCAAGTGTATATAGTTCTGTTCCCAAAAAGTCCCTAAGTCGTTTCCAAACCATAGCTTCAGCCTCACTTTCTTTAATGCTCAGGGCTCCATTCCTTCTTCTTTTCTTTGTCTCCGATTCATGTCCCATATAGAACAGTTCAGTAATTTATTTTTTGGTCTTAGCAAGGCTAATCCTTGCCCTCTGGACATCACTGTCCACACCAAGAGGCTTATCCAAGAAAGTTCACCTCCAAGAGGAACTATAGCACCAGGTGTTAGGATAATACATTTGCTGCTCCATCATAGCACGAAGGTCTTTCATTACTTCCTACATTTAACTTCAAAGGGTCCACCTTCCACCCTGAAGCCTCCCTCTGGTGTCTTCAACTGTGGGGTGTTATAGTCATGTGTCGACTCTGTGTTTTCATTTGTAAACTGAAACTTTAATCCAGCTCTCTTAAATGTTAGAACGAGTTGAAAAATCGCTTAGGGAGCTTGTAGAAATGCAGGGTCCTGGACTTCCCTCCTAAAAATAGTCCTTTTTACTATGCCTGGAGTAGGATCAAGATAGCTCTCTTTTTGACGATTTTTAAACCCCAGCCTCTGTTCCAGATGGTTTTGAGGAAGGTGGTTCTCACACCACACTGAGAGGCATTGCTGTAGTGGGTGGTGGGGATGCTTCCACCTCCCGTGCAGTAAGCCCTTTCCAACCCCCTGAGTGAGGGCCTGGATAAGCACTTGACATAGTGGCTCATTCTGCCAGCAACTCAGTGAAAGAGACGCTATTATTAGCCCATTTCACAGGGAGGAGAGAGTGGCTCAGAACGATCAACCTGGTCCAGGTTTCACCGCTAGTTCATTGATTCACTCACTCATTTATGCTCCATCATATGCTAGACCCTATCCTGGGGGCCAGTAGGTGTCAGAGGAAAGGTATGAACTTAGAACTCCAAACCTACATTCTTTACCACCATGGCATAATGTCTTCCTGAAGCATTGTGATGTGGAGGCCTTGTGTGACCGGGCAAAGGATGTAGGAAATAGGGAGGCCCCATCTGGCTGACCTGTGCTGGCTCCCAGGGAGGTACTGGGGGGCCTGTGGACCTGCAGAGGGCATCCACGGCCAAGCATACACTCTGCAGGTGGAAGGTGTGGGGCCACTGGGACCAAGGAAGGCACCGCGACATCAGGAGAGGAAGAAACAGAACCCACCCGAGCTGGGGGTGCTGAGATTGAAGGAGAGAGTGGAGGTAATGTTAGAGCCATCTACTTTCCCCCAAATTCCTCTTTCTTTCCGGCTCTTCCTTCCCGAGTCCTCTCTGCCTCCTTCTATTCATCTTCCTTGTTCCTTCTTCAGCCTCTCCTTCTCACTCTTCCTTCTCTCTTGATCATCTCTTCTCTCCCTCTCTGGCTACCTGTCCTGGGAGGTCTGAATCGCTGTGGTAACAGCTGTATCTCCCAGCCCCTGCAGCTCTCCTGCAACTCCCCTCCCCACTGCTGGGGACATTTTAGGACTCTCTCAGGTCACCCCTGAGTCCCTGGACCAATCATGACAGAAGACAATGCCAACCCTCACCTGAGCCCAACTTGTGTTTGAAGGACCAGGCAGGGAGCTAAGAAGTACAGAGGGAAACGAGGTCTGTGTCTCCAAGACCCCATGGACACAAAATGCAGAGGGTGGGGATGGGTCATGGTATAAAGTGGGAAAATGGTATGAGATAGGTACGAAGGATTCCACCCAAATGTCCTCATATCCCGCCAGGTTTTCTACGTCCTGACTGTCATTGCCTTGGTCCATTGTTCATCTGGACCGTTGTCCACCTGGATTCCTGCAGAGACCTCCTTTAGACCCTGGGTGTGCATCAGTATCCCTGGAGGGCTTGTCAAACATAGATTTGCTGGTGCCACCACCAGCATTTCAGATCCAGTAGGTCTGGGGTGGGGCCTGATCATTCACACTTCTAATAATTCCAGGTGTGGCTGCTGCCCCTGGCCCAAGCACCACAATTAGAGAATCTCTGTTCCAACTGATCTTAGACCCAGCTCTCACCATTCTAGCCACTACATTATAAGCGGTATGCATTATTATTATTTTTTACTTCTTTATTTTTTTTGAAACAGGGTCTTGTTCTGTCGCCCAGGCTGGAGTACAGTGGTGCGATCTCATCTCACTGCAGCCTCAAACTCCTGGGCTCAAACAATCCTCCCACCTCAGCCTCCGGAATAGGTAGGACCACGCCTGGCTAAGTTTTTAATTTTTTGTAGAGATGGGGGTCTCACTATGCTGCCCGGGATGGTATCAAACTCCTGGTCTCAAGCAATCTTCCTGCCTTGACCTCTCAAAGTGCTGGGATTACAGGCGTAAGCCACCACATCCAACCAGAGTTATTATTAGTTTTTAAATAGAAATCTGATCATATTTCTCTCCTGCTTAAAACCAGTTAGTGTTTTTACCTTTGTTTGCAGGTTCACCTCAGGCCTTTGAGTCTATCCTGCCAAAAATTCTGGCCCTGTTCCCTGGAACCCAGGCGAGCTGCTCACTGACGGGCTCTCCGCTCACTGACAGGCTCTCCACGGCTGTGCTGCTTTGTTCTTGCCGTTCCTTCTCCCTGGGATGCCCATCCCCTTCCTCTGCCTGCTAACTCCTAGCTGTCTTCAGGACCTCCTTGGCTCCTCACCCCTGGAAGCCTTTCTTGCTCTCCCCTTCTCTCCACACCCCCATGCATCCTGAGCACCCCTTGCCCACAGTTGCTCGTCTCTACCATACTGGTACATCCTCCTTGCCTTTCTGACCCCCTTCCTCCTCCACGCACACACTGGGCGTTCAGCAGTTGATACCTGTGCCCAGATCACCCGTTGTCTGTCTTATAGTCCCCTCCAGGCTCTCATGGTGCATGCATTCCTGTGTTCATTTGTTTATTCATGACCCAGATCACTTACACAGCTGTACACCCACTTCCTTCTGAAGCACCAGCCTCGAGGCACTTCTGTTGGAGTCTCACCAAGACACAGGCTCTGGATCTGAGCCTCTTCCTTGGGGCTCATTTCCCTTCCAGCCTTCTGTCTACTGATCTGCCTTGACCACAGTCCCCTTCTAGGGGATGCGACAGTAGATGCTCTGGAATGTTTGCCTCCACTTCCATGTTTTCAGCGTTGGTGGTGCCATCTATAAAAGCAAATTTCCCAGCAGAGTGAGCCCCCCTCATTGGTCCAGGTAAACCCTGCTGGGCTCCCAGCCCTGTGAGAGTGGGAATTTCAGCAAAAGCGGGGCAGAGCCGTCTATGTAAAAAAGGCAAATATCTGTTCCTTAGCGCTGTCAGCAGCACAATAGCAGCAGTCCCTATTTTAAACCCTTGGAGAATTTGATCTTAATTATATGGTGTGCAGAGGCACTAATAAGTTTACAAAACTGCCAGCAACACTAAACACATATGTCTCAGAAAACGCTACCCCTTTCTTTGCTTATTGTAGGACTCGGAATGTGGGTAATTGTGAACAATTAAGAGGGAGTGACCAAACGGTGATTCAAGGGAAGCCTCTAGATAGGTTGGTGGAAGCAGCAAGTCTGCAGGGGGAGGAAGGGCACTTGGAGGCTAGGGAGGTGGCCCGGAGCCTACAACGGCAGGAATTGCAGTTGAATGGGATCCAGAAAAGCTCGTCAAGAAAGCCAAGACATGTCTGTAATCCCAGCACTTTGGGAGGACAAGGCGGGTGGATCACTTGAGGTCAGGAGTTTGAGACCAGCTTGGCCAACATGGCAAACCCCTGTCTCTACTAAAAATACAAAAATTAGGTGGGCATGGTGGTGGGCACCTGTAATCCCAGCTACTCAGGAGCCTGGGGCAGGAGAACTGCTCGAACCCGGGAAGTGGAGGTTGCAACGAGCTGAGATCGCGCCACTTCACTCCAGCCTGGGCGAAAGAGCAAAACTCCATTTCAAAAAAAAAGGCAAACCAAGATATTGTTCTTTCTTACTTCAGATGGGTACCAAGAGGCCCAGTGATAGGTTTGAGGGTTTCAGAAAAAAAAGGCTGTGTAGCAAATCCAAGCTTCTGCTACCAGCCCCTTGTACCATGGTGGAGTAGAATCAGCGTGGGCCTTGGAATCCACAGTTTGCATGACTCCCAGCTTGGCTCTGCTGCTCGGCAGCTAAATGCCATCGTGCTGGTTACCGTGGCTGTTTCTTGGCTTCTTCATCGTAGAAAGGGGGAAATCCCTGCCTCCTGGGAGTCATGGTAGCACTAACAAGCACGTGTGAAGCCTTAAGCAGATGTCTCGGCGCACAGTAGGTACGTGAATCACATTCATTCATTTCATTCTCTGCCTCCTTTCTTTGCAAGCAGATAAAATGCTTTTATCAAGGTCTTCTATGACTGGTACATTTCCAGGCCCATAGGAGGTACTTGATCAATATTTACTCAAGGAAGGAACGAATAATCAGTAAATACTGTTTGCTACTAAGTCAAGGAACTCAAGCACAGAGAGGTTAAGTAACTGGGCTAAAGCACACAGGAAATAGATGATAAGCTGGCCTTTAGTCATAGCGGGGGTCCGGATTCAGCACAACTCAAATTCAATCTAGGGCAGAACCCAACTACAGCATGAGGCTGGGCTATATTCCCTGATCTTTATCCTGAAATTGCAATATTTTACAAGAACACTTATTTCACAGAGGAAAAAAGGAAACACCCCAAAAGCTGAGGGAGTGTGAACGCCTGATTACAGGCTTCTTTGGATAGAATACAAACTTTGCTTCTGTGATACGTGTGTTTAGGCAGATTAAACTCATGTTTGATTACAAACCCCAGGATAAAAGGAAAATAAATATGTTCATAAAGCCGAGGAATTCTCAAAGGGAGGAAGACAAAAAATCATCAGTTAATACTCTGATGGCTGCCTCTAGAAGAGTCTAGGATAGATCCCACCGAGGCATCCCTGTGCTCAGAGCCCCCCTGTGTTCCCCATTTCCCCCACACTATTCACTCTTCCAAGCATGGTGTTCGTGACCCTCTAGTTGTGTCTGAATCCAGGACACGTTCTGGCTTCATCTCTCCAACTTTCCCCTCCCACACCAAGCCTAAGCCAAGCATCAGACTGCCTCCTGGGCCCTGAAGACCTGAGCTTTGCTGCCCAAAGGCCTTTGCCCCTCTTCTCCTTAACCTGTTGGGAAATACTAATCAGTCTTTAAAGCCCAATTGAAATGTATAAATTCCCTCAAAGTCCTCTCCTAGCTCCTTGACAGGAAACAATTGTTTCCTCTGCAGTCCTAAAGCACTTGGTAGTTTTCCTGTTCCATTCATCGAAATCTGCCTTTTATTAAAATATTAAATTTATCTGGGCATGTGTCTGATTTACCCCTGAATGTGTAAACACACTCTTGTCCCCTACCTTCAGAATCCTGAACACTGAATAAGTGTTCAAAGAATGTGACTGGATGGGAACCTCTTTAAATGAACAAAATAGAGGCCCAGGTGATTCAGGTATGTCATGCAGTGAGGTTTTATGCAGTCATTCCAAAAGTCATGTGCATATTTAAAGATACAGGCATATAGCTGGTAGCCTTTAATTTCTACTGCTCTGGCATGGCCACAGCTACTCACTGAACATTCCATCTGCTTGTATTTTTCCTGTCCCCTTGCAGTGAGTTATGCAGGATCATGTGAATATTCTAGCCAATGGAACATCAGCACGAACCATTTGCTAAGGCAGTGAAAAGTCCTTGTGTGACTCTCTGGGTTTCTTTCTTTTGCTGCAGTGACTGAGACAGCCAGATAGTCCAGCTACAAAATGGCAATACCTCCATCACCTGGATACCTGAGTGACCACACGGAGCAGAGGCACATGTAGGCTAATGTGCCAATCAAGTGATATTACACTGTATACATACAGTGCCTAAAACAGCCCTTGGCTTATTGTAGGTACTTGACAAATGCTAGCTCCCATCTTCCCTTTCATTCTTCCATGTGGCAGACTTAAAACCGTCCATTTGTAAACCCAGTTATTTAACAGAAGGAGCCCAGGATAAATAAGTTGAGATGGAGGATTCAGAGGTCCACAGCATGAGGTGTTGCTGTAAGAGTGGGCCAGGTAAGCTGTGACGGTGGAAACTCTGGGAGGACTTGCGTGGATGAAGAAACGGGGAGCCTGAGGGTGCCCCTAACTTGGTAGTTTGACATTTGGCTTGCCTGTCCTCTCTTACGTATTGATAGCGTTCAGTCCTCGCCCCGGTGGGGCAGAGGATAAGGGAGACAGAGAGGAATCTCTGGACTTCCACCATGACAGCAGAAGAGAGATCTAGAGGGTGGTGTGTAGGGATAAAAGGTTATAAAGGGAGTGAGGTTTAGGAGCCTGCAGAGAAAGAAAAGCATCCCACTTAATCCTATTAGTCCTATGGGAGTTTTCCAAAGCCAGACAAAGAAAATTCTATCTGACGTCCGGTCTCCACGCGCACACTGTCCAGGACAGTCTTTATGTTCTTTTTTAACTCAGCATACACTTGGCTGCACAGATTTTAAGAAGGAAAAAGGTTGTTTTAATAGTGTTAATGGGGGGTGATGGGCGAATCATAATCTTTAACCAAAATGGCTCACTCATTTGTGCAGCTATTGAAAGCTAAGGTTCTTTGGTAGGGATAGAAGAAAAGGACTGGAAATAGCTTGCCGCCCACCTACTCTGCAGGAGTGCTGTGTGCATTTGTGAGGGGATGCTTGGCGCTGTGAACTCCGGGGAAGGAAGTTGCTTTGCCAATCCCAAATATTATTGTGACTTGCTTAGGCAGAGATGAAGGAGCGATGGGGGTGGGAGGCTGGCTACTGCATGGGGTGTTTTTCTTTTGGGGCTCCCAAGATACTTCAGAAGCAAAACTCCTGCTGAGAAAGACCCCAAGGAGAATGGAATATATACTCTGGAATCTTATTCCTATGAGCCCCTGGTCGAGAAACAGTGCCTTGTTGTGGCTTCATGTCTTCATGTATCCCAGCTGCTGACTTTTAACCTTATTGAAGGAAGGACACATGCGGATCTTGCAAATAACTTAAAGCTTGTTAGAAAAATGGAATGAAGTAAATAACATTAGAGTAATAATGTAATGAAAGCAGAGCATGAACATTTTGTATCGTCATCCTTGCAAAATAGCTTAAAGTGCTTCTCAGGAAGGACTGCACTGGTATAAAGCTGTGCGTGAAACTACTGAAGTGCAGTTGGGTGGCAGAAAATAATCACAATAATTATCACTGTCTTGCATTTGGAAAGCAGTTTAGAACTTACAAAGCACATTCCACATGCTTCATCTCCCGTTAATCCTATAGCACGGCATTTAGGAGAACACTCGGGATGCTCTCCACTTCAGAGGCAGGAACCATGAGGCCCACCCAGGTGAAGGGATTGGGCATCACGGCTAGTAAAATCCTCCTGCGTCCAATCCATTTTGGTTCCACCAAACAAAAATTCAAAAACAAAATACACCAAGAAAAAGAACAAAGACGCATAATCAGTGATTTAAAAAGCAGCTTGTAACATGGTAAGGAAAGGCTTTACAGAGAGAGACTTCCACAGTGATTTCTAAACACATTTTGTTTTGTTCTTTGCTTAAGGAAACCATGCTATGGTTTGGTGGAGGAGAGAGGAAAGTAGGCTTTTTTTTTTTTTTAATATACGTAGAAAAATGGAATTTAGAGAGCTCGAAAGGCAGGAGGGAAGATGGCATTGCACTGAGCTGAAGAGACAATAGACCCAGGAGGTGGGAAGACAGGCCTCTTAGATAAATTAGTGGAAATGTTAATTTAACTCAAGAAGAAATTAGGCCAGGCATGGTGGCTCACACCTGTAATTCCAGCACTTTGAGAGGTCCAGGCAGGAGGATCAATTGAGCCCAGGAGTCTGAGGCCAGCCTTGGCAACCTGGTGAAACCCATCGTTACAAAAAAATACAAAAATTAGCCAGGTGTGGTGGCACACATCTGTAATACCAGCTACTTAGGAGGCTGAGGTGAGAGGATTGTGTGAGCCTGGGAAGTTGAGGCTGCAGTGAACCAAGATCACACCACTGCAGTGCAGCTGTCTCAAAAAAAAAAAAAAAAAAAGCCATTAGAAGCCCATGTAGGTTTCTGAGAAAGGGCATGACAGCAGCAAACCGCTTGAGAGATGATTCTTATGGCACCCCAAAACATGAAAAGGGGAAATGTGTGTGCAATTGGAGAACATTATGGAGGAAGGAAGGACAGACAGGACTTTGTGACAGAACCAACTAAAAGGAAGACAGGGAGCAGTCACACCTGACAGAGTCCAGAGCAGTAGGCTGGGGATGGGGCATGCTGGAAGCTGCCAATCAGAGTCGCCTAGAAGCTCATCTGCACCACAAGAACTCATCCTCTTCACCCACCTGTGCTCGAACCTACCCTTCCAATTCCACATAGACTCTCTGGAGGTAGGGTGTTGATATGGTTTCGGTCTGTGTCCTTGCCCAAATCTCATGTTGAATTGTAATCCCCAAGGCTAAAGGAGGGGGCTGGTGGGAGGTGATTGGATCATGGGGGCAGATTCCCCCTTGCTGTTCTTGTGATGGTGAGTCAGTTCTCATGAGATCTGGTTGTTTAAAAGTGTGTAGCATTTCCTCCTTCTCCCTCTTCCTCCTGCTTCAGCCATGTAACACGTGCATGCTTCCCCTTCAACTTCTACCATGATTGTAAGTTTCCTGAGGCCTCCCCAGCCATGCTACCTGTACAGCTTGCAGAACTGTGAACCAATCAAACCTCTTTTCTTTATAAATTACTCAGACTCAGGCAGTTCTTTATAGCAGTGCAAGAATAAACTAATACAGGTGTGTATTGGGAAGAGCTCCCCGGGTAATTCCCCCTTGGGTTACCAAGGCATGGGATAAAAGGATAAAAATTAAGACCCCAGTGCCAGAAGAGCTTAGGTCTAACACGAGTAGATAGGAAACATGAACTGCAACTGGCAGTGCTATGTGATAGGGTGGGGTATGTAGAGAAGGCTCTAGGAACTCACATGACAGGGATGGTTCACCCTACATAGAGAAGGGGAGAGTCAGGAAAAGAGACAGTTGAGCTGTTCTCAATCCTAGCTGACTATTTCAAATAACCAATTAAATCAGGCTGGAGGGCTCCGGGCGTGGGGTGGTGGTGGGGGGACGGGGCGGGGTTGCCTGGGTAATGAGCTGTTTTTTTGCACGTGGTTCTAATGGAACCAGGGTTGACAACAGCTGTCAGATTTTTTTTTTGAGACAGGGTCTCGCACTGTTACCCAGGCAGGAGTGTGGTGGCACCATCACTGCTCAATGTAGCCTCAAACTCCTGGGCTCCAGTGATCCTCCCACCTCAGGCTCCTGAGTAGCTGGGACCACAGGTGCGTGCCACAGCACCCAGCCAATTTTTTTGGGGGGATGGAGTCTCTCTCTGTTGCCCAGGCTGGAGTGCAATGGCGCGATCTCGGCTCACTGCAAGCTCCGCCTCCTGGGTTCGCACCATTCTCCTAACTCAGCCTCCCAAGTAGTTGGGACTGCAGGCGCCCGCCACCACGCCCGAGCTAATGTTTTGTGTATTTTTAGTAGAGACGGGGTTTCACCGTGTTAGCCAGGATGGACTCGATCTCCTGACCTCGTGATCCGCCCGCCTTGGCCTCCCAAAGTGCTGGGATTACAGGCGCGAGCCTCGGCGCCCGGCCACTTTTTGTAATTTTTTCTAGAGATGAGGTTTTTGTTTTGCCATGTTGCTCAGGGTGGTCTCAAACTCCTAGGCTCAAGTGAACCACCCGCCTCAGCTTCTGAAAGTGTGGGGATTACAGGCATGAGCCATTGTGCCTGACCCATAAACCATTTTTTGGAAGAGAGCTATGACACAGCTATGTTTTATAACAATTCTGGTGGGGGAGTGATCTGGTTAGGCTTTGTGTTCCCATGTATGGAGAGAAGGGAGTGATTGGATTGTGAGGGTGGTTTCCCATGTTATTCTCACGATAGTGAGTGAATTCTCACGAGATCTGCCGGTTTTATAAATGGTAGTTTTTCCTGCTCTCTCACACGCTGTTTTTCACCTGCCACCACGTAATACGTGCCTGCTTCGCCTTCCACCATGGTTCTAAGTTTCCTGAGGACTCCCCGGCCATGTGGAACAGTGAGCCAATTAAACCTCTTTCCTTTATGAATTACCTAGTCTCAGGTAGTATCTTTATAGTGGTTTGAGAATGGACTAATACAGAGAGGATGCGTAAAAAGAGATGCAAAAATTTCCAACATTTGGCTAAATTTATTCGGGCTATGGGGCCCCCTTTTGCCTGCAGTGGTGATAAGGCAATGGCCAGTGAATCTTAGAAAAACGGTATGTTTGAAAGCCACAAAAATGATTGTCTTACTTCTCCATGAGATTTTTGTTTGTTTAAATAAAATGAAAGCTGATACAGTACACTTCCCTTCCAAATTCCAAAGTCTGGAGTTGCCTCACCTCTAGCTAATTGAAGGTTATGAAAATAAGTGATTTCAAAAACACCTGTCCTTCCAATTCAGGACGTAAAATCCATCCCATCCTCAATTTTTGTAAGAGTTTCAGGCAGTGTAATCATATTTTAAGTATCAATCCAGGCACTTGGAAAAGCAGTTCTAGTAAATGAGGTAGGTCTTTGCCTTTGGACTAATGTAAGCACGGAGGGCGGCTATTTTCTTCCTCTTCCTGGCCCTGTTCCTGCCTTCCTTAAGAAATCTTTGTATTAAATTGAAGTTTCTTTTCATTGTTTATAGTTTTTAATTGAAAACCTTTAGTTCTCTTTTCATATTAAAATACGGGTGAATTAAACTTTATATTTAACCCTTTTACACCTGTAATCCCAGCACTTTGACAGGAAGATCGCTAGATACCTGGGCAACATAGCAAGACCCTGTCTCTACAAAATTTTAAAATTAGCTGGGTGTGATGGCATGCACCTGTGGTCCCAGCTACTCAGGAGGCTGAGGCAGGAGGATTGAGTGAGCCCACGAGATTGAGGTTACAGCAGCCATTTCTGTGCCACTGCACTCCAGCCTGGGCAACAGAGTGAGACCTTGTCTCAAAAAACAAACAAACAAAACAACAACAACAACAACAACAACAAAACACCCTTTTAAAAACCATTAAATTAAGTTGATTTTTACATGTATGTTCTTGGATTTTACCCTCCTCTTCTCCTTCTATGAATACAAGATACTCATAGATATCTCTTAGTACAAAGTACACAAACACAGACACTGTTTCCAGATGGTCATACAAGTTTAATGGTGGGTAGGAGCACTGTAGACCTGAGTTTACAGACGCTTCATTTTATTTTTAGACTCCTCAGATGGATTTCCTTCCTCAATGTAATCCAGCATTCATTAAATGCCCAGTAGACCAGGCCTGGGGGTGAGGGGCAGAGAGATGAATAAGCTAGGCTTTGCACACTCCTGATCTTCCTACTAAATTTAAGATATAAGTATGGGAACGAGATTATTTTTTCTATTTTAGTGTAATGAAACTGGGGCCCAAAAAGGTTCAGGGCATCGATTGAAGCTTATAGGAGTGGATCCAACAAGACCCTTCTGCCTTGGACCCCATCCAATCGTTCTGTTACATGATGTGTTTCAAGAATGCCTGAGTCAATGGGGAGGTGGCAGTAATTCATCATTTATTTTACTCTTACAGAAAAATTGGCATTTCCGTTATGTACTGTTTTTCTGAGCTTTTTAAGCATGGACTAAAAAAAATGATAGAACCTACCTGGTAAAGTGCTTATTAAGTGTAGGGTATCAAATATTATACCTTTAACTGTTTCCCATTAGAAAAGACCAAAATGTTTGAATAAAACATTTTAATAAATGTTTTTTAAATGTTCAATATTTTACTTAACATCCTTTTAGACTCATTACAGACCATTAAAAAGTATTAATTGACCAGGGACTATTAAATTCCATATGATTTGTACTTATGTTTTTAAAATTGTGTGAGCACTGACAACAGTGCTGACGATTTTACATTTTCACATAACTACCCTAAAACTTTGAAGTTTCTTAACTATTAAACAATAAAACACTAAAATCCTATAATAAATTCTGGCAAAACCCAAACCACTGTTTTATACCTTAAAAAATCCTAAAGGAATCCTATAATTATTATATTTTTTTTTTTTTGAGATGGAGTCTCGCTCTGTCACCCAGGCTGGAGTGCAGTGGCGCAATCTCGGCTCACTGCAACCTCTGCCTCCTGGGTTCAAGTGATTCTCCTGCCTCAACCTCCTGAGTAGCTGGGGCTACAGGCACCCGCCACCATACCTGGCTAATTATTTTTGCATTTTTAGTAGAGACAGGGTTTCGCCATGTTGGCCAGGCTGGTCTTGAGCTCCTGATTTCAGGTGATCCACCCGCCTTGGCCTGCCAAAGTGCTGGGATTACAGGCATGAGCCACCGTGCCTGGCCAGAATCCTCTAATTCTTTATGTCTCAACTCACTCTTGAACTTCGTTAAGAAAAAAAGGCAACCATAAGTTTCTGAGCTGTTAGACACATAAATTGTGGTATTGTCCCTTTTTACTTATTTCTTTGTTTTCTTCATGCATGCAATAAATCTTCCTTTTTCTGTTAGATAGTAGAAGTGACTCCTAAAACTTGCTTAAATTAATCTAAGTAAAGTGTAATTCATTAGCTTCATATTTTGTGTTTTCAAAGTTGAAATTTTAGCCACAGCAGTATCAAGGATTCCACTCTATTTCCTACCCCAACCTTGACAGGTTCTCTTATAATTATACTTCAACTGCTGGAAATACTGGAAATAGCATGAACTTTATATTAAGGTGGGCCTGAATTAAAGTCCCAGCTTCACCACTTTTTGGCTGGGTGACTTGGGCAAATTACTTCTCTGGGTCTGTTTCCTCATGGGCAAAATGAGAATACTTTATCTTCAGGAGAGTGGTAAAAATTAAGTAATAATGAGTGTTGAACTCCTAGCCCAGTGCATGGTGCAAGTAAGTTCACTGAGGTGAGTTTTCTTGTCTTTTTCTGGTAAGCAAAGAAATAAACAGACAAACAAAAATCTTACCTAGCACCTGTTTCTTCTAAGTCACAAATCACATTCATAGACTTTTCATCCCAAATCAGACATCTTCAAATGTGCACTCTACAAGAGCTGGCTCTTATCTCTATTCTCTAGAAAACGAGGAGCTTTGTTAACTCTCCTCTCCTTTGGGAAATGCTAGCTTTCACTTCAGAAAGCAGAATCTTAGGAGTTTGAAATAAACATTTTAAAAGCCAGTTTGGTTGCAATTTTAAGTACATTAAGAGTATATTTTATTAATTTTTTTTTTTTTGAGAGACTGAGTCTCACTCTGTCACCCAGGCTGGAGTGCAGTGGTCGATCTCAGCTCACTGCAACCTCTGCCTCCCAGGTTCAAGCAATTCTCATGCCTCAGCCTCCCAAGTAGCTGGGAATACAGGCATGTGGCACCATGCCCAGCTAAGTTTTGTATTTTTGGTAGAGACAGGATTTCACCATGTTGGCCAGGCTGGTCTCATACTCCTGATCTCAAGTGACTCACCCACCTTGGCCTCCCAAAGTGCTGGGATTACAGGTGTGAGCCACTGTACTCAGCCAAAAAATTTTTTTTAAATAATAGTGAATATTGAAGATGGATGTTCTTATCAGTGGAGACCCATCAATGGGTATAAATGGTAAATCTGTTTGTTCTGGAGTTTTATGAAATTTCCTGCCCAGAATGCTCCTTCTCTTGGGGGCTGAACCTTCCTGGAGCCTTCCCTGAAATGTTCTGACCAAACTCATCCCCCACTACCCCAACCATAATTAACTGGCCCAAGAGAGGGCACCTGGAAGCGGAGCCAATGAATTCTTTCTCTACAGTTTTTGACCTATGGGCAAAAGAGGTCAATTAGCATCTGGTGTTACAAACTACAACATGTGAAATTTGAGAACAATATGGACACACTTCCTACCACCTGGATAAATCTGGTGAAACAAGTAGAGATGAAAGATGGGTAGGGGGCCCGGCATGGTGGCTCACAGGTGTAATCCCAGCACTTTGGGAGGCTGAGGTGGCCGGATCCCCTGAGGTCAGGAGTTTGAGGCCAGCCTGGCCAACATGGTGAAACCCCATCTTTACTAAAAATACAAAAATTAGCTGGGCGTGGTGGCAGGCGCCTGTAATCCCAGCTACTGGGGAAGCTGAGGCAGGAGAATTGCTTGAACGCAGGAGGCGGAGGTTACGGTGAGCTGAGATCATGCCACTGCACTCCAGCCTGGGCGACCGAGTGAGACTCTGTCTCATAAGAAGGAAAAAAGGATGGAGAGTGAATCTTGGGAGTCTCAGTGCCAGTCGCCACATCCTCCCGCTCTCAAGTGAACTTGTAATTCTTCAGTAGCTGCCAGCCTGGAGGATTTGCTTTGAGACAGGGTCTCACTCTGTCACCCAGGCTGGAGTGCAGTGGTGCGATCATGGCTGGCTTCAACCTCAGCCTCCTGGGCTCAAGCAATCCTCTTGCCTCAGCCCCCTGAATAGCTGGGACTATAGGACTATAGGTATGTACCACCATGCCTGGCTAATTTTTGTATTTTTTGTAGATTCAGGGTTTTGCCACGTTGCCCAGGCTGGTCTCAAGTTCCTGGGCTCAAGCGATCCACGCACCTTGGCCTCCCAAAGTGTTGTGATTACAGGCGTGAGCCACCACACCCAGCCAAGGGTTTGCTTTTCTTTCTTCCTGAGATAAAGCATTTTGAGTGTGAAAGTGGGAGACAGGGGAAAAGAGGGAAAGTAAGTTCTCTCTTCTTTAGGAAAATCTTCCAGAGAGGGAGGTGGTTTTAAATCAGTCAATCTACCCATAACAGAATCTAGCATCACCACGAGTTACTGGAAAGTTTGCAGATTACAGCCTGCCCTAACTGATTTACTGGGTAGTCTTCCTTATATATTATTCATGGCTCCTCCTCTTTGGCTCATTGGCTCATGCCATTGATAGTGTACTCATTTGGGGCAAGGATCAGAAGACTAAAAGTGTGTGTTTCAGGACATGTGTAGCACAATATTTAAAAATTAAGTAAATTACAGCTAATACTTCTTGTGTGCCTACTATGTTCTATGCACCCTTGCAAAGCTTTCTACATTTCAGCTCATTTCTCTTTTACAACCATCTATGTCAAGGTCATTGTTGTCATCCTTATTTTATAGTTGAAGAAACTGTCGCACAGAGGGGCTAAGTAGCTTGTCCAGGGTCACCTAGGTGATGTGGGGTAGAATCAGAATTCAAATCCAGGCAGCCTGGCTCCAGAATCCTGGCTCTTACTGCCCATGGGATATGGTATATGTGGTTTTCCTTTAATGACCAGATACAGGATTTGGTGCTTCATGACAGTACTTCCTGAGCCCTGTGGGATTGCTGGATTCCTCCTGGGGAGAGAAGGTGGTTTTAGACCTGCTGCCATTATCTGCCTATGGTGGTTCAAAAGCTCAGGGATTTGTCCAGCCACTGATAACTGAAGTTTGTTGGAATAACGTAAGCTGCGGCCCTAAGAGCATTATTCCAATTATTCTGTATGAAATTCTGTAGAATTCTATAAGAATTTCCTTATACACAGTAAACATCTAATACCTAAGCAATGAATTAAAAATGGAGCAACAACTAGTTATAAAGACTATCTCAATGTATAATAGGGATTGGACATTGGCCATTTCTGGGTGGTAAGAATACTGATGATTTTTACTTTGTTTTTCAAGTTTTTGTTGGTTTGTTTGTTTGTTTGAGATGGAGCCTCGCTCTGTCGCCCAGGCTGGAGTGATGTGGTGTGATCTGCACTCACTGCAACCTCTGCCTCCCGGGTTCAAAGAAATTCTCCTGCCTCAGCCTCCTGAGTAGCTGGGATTACAGGCAACCACCACCACGCCCAGCTAATTTTTGTATTTTTAGTACAGATGAGGTTTCACCACGTTGGCCAGGCTGGTCTTGAATTCCTGATTTCAGGTGATCCACCTGCCTCAGCCTCCCAAAGTGCTGGGATTACAGGCGTTAGCCACCGCACCCAGCCTGTATTTCAAGTTTTTAGCCAATTACGTGTATCCTTATTTTCAAATCAGAAAAAAAGTATTTTTTAAAAGAAGACATTTAGATGCAATAATTATCTTGTGTCAGTTTTTGTTTCATTTTTGTGTTTTATACTCCAAAATAAATGTTTTACTTTGCATGTTGCATGTCCTAAGTGTAAAGTTTTATGTAAATAGTCAGTAAATACCTGTTGCCATATTTGTCAATATATTCCATTTTCATAAGACCCTGTCATTCTTGATTTTTAAAAAATCATAAAATTTAAAAATATAATAATAGATGAAACTCTTAGAATAATGGAATTACATATACGCATTAATCATATGTAACTAGTAGTTTAAGACCCTAATTTTTCTTACATTTTTTGTTTCTTTCAATTCAAGCAAATGCTTCATCACCCCAGGGAAGCTTTCTGCAGGCAGGAAGCGGGAAGAATCTATCAGCTTTCCAGGCCTTCATTTAGAAATGGCTTCATTAAGAACTATAGGGTATGAAGAGCAAGGGTCTTTCCAAAACAAAGAAGACCTTCCCATATGGATGACAGAAGTGAAGACTAGGGGTGTTAGAATAGCAGAGGCCTCTGTCACTCCCCTAGGGGTGCAGGGAGACGTGGTGCTATCTTGCATGGGGTATGGTGTAATTGGAATGTGGGGCCCTGGGCACTAGAGGGTCCTGGTCTTATAAATGAGTCCTGATAGCCCAACACTGCCTAAAAACAGCAGAGAGCAGTAGGCGCGCAGGACCTGGCACTCGGTGGTCAGAGATGAGGCTCTTATCTCTGTGTGGATGACTGGCTTATGGCCAGAAGGAGAAGCCCCGTACCAGCCTGTTATAGACTGAGATGTTACCTCTTAAAACCTATGTGTTGAATACGACTGTGTTTGGAGATCAAGTCTTTAAACAGACTTTTAAATTAAAAGGAGATCATATGAGTGGTCCTTCGTCCAATACAATTGGTATCCATATAAGCAGAGGAGATTTGGACACAGAAGCACATAGAGGGATGATCAGATCAGGACACAGGGAGAATATGACATCTACAAGCCAAGGATAGAGACCTTAGGGGAAACCAACCCCACTGACACCCTGACCTTGGACTTCCAGCCTCTGGAACAGTGAGAAAATAAGTTTCTGTTACTTAAGTCACCCAATCTGTGCTAATCTGTAGTGGCAGCCTTAGCAGACTAATGCATAGGCACTGGTCCTATGTGAGACCCCAGAACTCTCACATCCTTAGGTGGGCAACCCCAGGAAGACCGAGGCAGAGAGCTTGCCACTCTCGTAGCATTAGGGCCGGAATAGCAACTCAATTGTTTAATTAAAAATAAAACAATGCCTTATTTCTTCCACATCTAAATTTGCACCCTATAATTCAAACTTATTACCCATGTTCTTTTGTTGCATGTTGATTTGGCTGTACTATATTTTGAGGAATCTGTTTTTATTTATACTATTTGTTTTTTTTAATGTATCTCTCTTAGAACTCATTATTTTTTTACCCATTGTAAGGTTGTTCAAAATTGTCTAATACATTTCTTACTTTTCTAGGAAGATTGGCTATACTCATTTTTGTCTTAAGTGTTCAAAACTGCATACACATGCTCATATGCATGCACACACGCACACACAAACACACATTTTCTTTTATAGGAAGTCTTCAGAGGGAAGTTTCACTATAGAGGAGAGACTTAGGAGAAAGAACTGGAAGCCAGATCTCCCAGTTTTCAGCTGATTCAGCTGATAGGAGGCAGAACAAACCAACAATAAACAGGAAAAGCATTGAAAAGGACTTTGAGACTTCTGTGATTTTTATCAGCAGATGGCAAGTGTAATTTAATCTAAACAAACTAATAATTAATTGGGGAACAAGAAGGTTGGTGGGCAGAAAATAATCCTCCAGCACACAGATCAAGAAAAGGATTTAGGGATTATTCTTGAAAAATCATTAAAACTATCAGTCTAGAGCATAGTTCTGGGAACAAAGGCAAACAGCATTAGCAGAGAGAAAGCATAGAAAACTGGGGGTGGTACCAGTTATTTTGAAAAGAACTTGTTTGATCTAGTCAGGAATATCATCATGGTAGCAATTGTTATGTAAGAAAGTCATATAAGAATGACAAAACCCAAGAATCAAATGCATCCACTTACACAGGGGACTGCAAACTCCAATGCCTTCAAGGACCAAGCACGTAGGTGAATGTGTGAAGTCACCACGGGAATGGTGACTTTTAGGAATGGTGGGAACTGAGTTAGAATGGAGGGCGCTTAAAGGTTTTCAGGTTTTTGCACACACACCCACACATGCACCCACCCACCCATCCACCCACACATTGTATTTGCCAAACAAAACCTGTCTGCCTGCTCGGTTCAGCTCTTGGCTGCCAGTGTAGATCTGGGACTAAGAGTTTTGTTTGGTGCCTCTCTTCTGCCTCCTCCCTACTTGGAGGGTCCCTGGAGGGCAAAGCTGTGTCTTAACCTTATATCCTGGCTGCACTGCATCTCCCTTGTTACTTTGCCCAATGAACACTGGTTGCAAGTGCTGAAATGAAGAAGGCACTCCTGCTACATGTAGCAGAAAATGGCTACTGACAATCGCTGTACCTGTTATTCAGTGGCCATGACCTCTGAAGTTGCACATCAAAAAGAGCCCATGTGTGGGCCAAAAATGCCAATTCTGTGCTTGATTCAGCCTCCCTAAACCTACTTTGCATGTGATGTGTAAATTATTTTTCTCTATATTCCATATAATGCTGCACTTTTTTTTTCTCTTCAGTCTATTCCTCCCACCAAGCTTGACCTTTCTTCATCCCGATCTTTCCCTTCCTGTCTTTAGCATTATAAAAGGGAATTTCTCTGTTGGTTTTTCGTTTTCTGCCCTCTCGACTTGGTTCCTTTTGCTCTTTATCCTTTCTTTTTTCTCACTTTTGTGTTGCAACCTCAATGAATGGTATTGTCAGGGAGCATGATCTTCTGGTTAGTAGAGTTTGTGTTGTTTAACTGACATTCTACTCTTTCAAACAGTGCAAACTTTTTCTGGTGGGTAATGTTTCTGGAATAGATAGGTAGTGAAGAAGTACTTTAGGTTGATCTTTATTTATCTGTTTAAATTCTGTACTATGAGATCTATATAAAAGAATCTACATGACATATATGTAATAAATATGTAAATGATATATATATATAAAAATTATAAAGCATAATAAAATGAATACCTCTGAACCCACCTTCCATCTTAGGAAGTAGAACATTGAAAATGCTGTTAAAATCTTGTATTCTACTCAGTGTTTCTTTGATGCCTGCCAATCCTGCCTTAGGATCACCATTATAAGCATCAATTATGACTGTACAATATGATGGATGCATAATGTAATGCTTTAGTCAAAATATAAAATAAGCCTCTGAGTTGCTTCTTGCATCTGTCATCTCTTCTCCTTCCCAGATGTCGCTGCTGTGGCATGGGCCTTGAGGAGCTCATCTATACCACGACAAGAGCACCCTCATTTGTCTCTCGGTCTCCTTTTTCACCCAAGGTTGAACCAGGAGCTGGATACAGAGGCAGGCCTCTAGGAGGGTATGAGTAGGGGGGGATTCAGTCCATACAGACAAGAAAATATGTGTATCAATTAGAAATATGCTGTTAGTTCAGTTTTCATATAACTCCAAATAACTAGCAAAATATGAATTGATTCTATTTACCTGCCGCACTAGTTTCCAATTGTTCTGTGACAAATTACTACAAATTAAGCATCTTAAAACAATGCACATTTATTATCTCATAGTTTGTGTTGGGCAGGATTTCAACGCAAAGCTTGGCTGCATCCTCTGCTCAGCCTCTCATATGGCTGCAGTAAAGGCATTGGCTGGGATTGCACTCTCATCTGGAGGCTCAACTGGGGAGGAATCCACTTCCAAGCTTATTCAGGTTGTTGGCAGAATTGATTTCCTTGTGGTTATATCAATGAGGGTCTCACTTTTTTTGCTGGCTAGTGGCTGGAGGCTGATCCTGAGTTCTTGGGGTCACCTGCAGTTTTTCTTGCCACATGGGCTTCTCCATCATGGCTGCTTGCTTCATTGCTGCACGGAGAGTCTCTGGCTTCTGTCTGCTAAGGTGAAGTCTTATGTGATGTAACATAATCAAGGAGAGTGACATCCCATCACCTTTGTCATATTCTGTGGGTCACAGGACCTGCCTACACTCAAGGGGAGGGGATGACACAGTGGCATAAACACCAGAAGGG
Organism: Homo sapiens; assembly: GCF_000001405.40. Classification (NCBI taxonomy): domain Eukaryota; kingdom Metazoa; phylum Chordata; class Mammalia; order Primates; family Hominidae; genus Homo; species Homo sapiens. Next base: position 2,134,136 of record NW_018654717.1, read on the forward strand.
GAATCACTGGGGGTCATCTTAGCAGTCTATCTACTACATATACCTAAGTGGATAGTGCTTTGGAGCAGGAAAAAAATCCTCATCAGGCAGATAATTTTGTTGGGGTTTCTTCCCAAAGATTGTGTGATTATAATTAACTGAAAGTTGGCGTTCTACTGAAATTTTAAAACCAAATGATGCATTATGTGGTGCTGAGTATTTGGAAGGAGAGATTTATTTTATTATTTAAATTTTAAACCCTAAATATACTCCCCAAAGTGCTTTAGTTAAAAAAAATTATAAAGTAGATCTGATGAGAGAAAAAGTATATAGTAGAGGGAACTATTTTTCCAATTTTAGAAAAGACAATTGATTCTGTTTGGGCTAGGAAAAATTAATCTGGTCCTGAATATGATTTTTTCAAGAGAAAATTCATTTCTCCCTGTTTACATTAAATAAGTGTTGAACCACAAAAATCCTGGTTTACAGGGATACAAGTTAATTAGTCAGCCCAGCGTACTTGTCAACTTTTGCCCTAACTTTCACACTGTCATTAAAGCTATCTGTCTTAAACACAAACTTGGTTTTGTCACCTTTCTGATAAAAGCCTCTGAGAATTTCCCATTGCCCATAGGATCAACTTTGTCTTTTTTTTTTTGAGACAGAGTTGTGCTCTGGCACCCAGGCTGTAGTGCAGTTGGGCAATCATAGCTCACTGCAGCTTCAAACTCCTGGCCAAAAGCAATCCTTCCACCTTGGCCTCCCAAAGCTCTGGGATTACAGGCAGGAGCTACTGTACCTGGTCTTAAATCTTAAGCCTGATATTTATGAATCTTCAAAAATTGGCTCCCTTCTACACTTACCATTTTCCTCTCCTTTCATTCCCCTTGCTCCATCCAATGCTGTGAGCAAACCACACAGTTTCATAAACCTCATTGTTCCTCTTTCTTGTCCCTGCCTCTGCACAGGTTATGCCCTCTACTTGGTGTGTATCTACTCACTCTTTCGGAGTTCCAGAGACTTTGCTTCTAGGCCCCAAGGAGAGATGTATCTATTTCTCTTACCAATAGATTCCTTGGGGATAGTGCCTGACACACAGTAAGTACTCAAGTATTGCCTGAATACGTAAATCTCAGATTTGTCTTATTTAAAATGAGGGATTAGATGAAATGATGGTTCCTTATAGCTCTAAATTTTAAAAAATCATCACATGGATTAAGAGAATGTAAGACTGCGTATAAATAAACTGTGTGGAACAGATTCTAAATGCTACAGGGTTTCAGAGGAAGAAGGTATTATTCTGTGCTGGAATAGTCAAGAACATTTTTTGCTAAAGGAGGTGGAATTTGAAATAGGTATTGAAAGATGAGAGGAAGTTTGAGCCCTTGCTAACATGATGCCTTCTTTATAGTAGGCCCTCATTAAGTTTACTGATTTGAATTGAAATGTAGACAAACGAGGAGGAGGAAAGACTTTGCAAATGAATTAAAGTAAGACCAGGAGCTCCAGTGCAGGAATGAGCACTGGTAAATGTGGACTAGGAGGACATTTTCCTGAGCAAAGTGTGTTCTGGCCAATAGTGAAAACTAATAGTGGCTCTGTAGGTTGAAGTGAGATTATGGAAGATCTGAAAATGAAGGAGTGCAGTTTGGATTGGTATGGTAGGCAATAGTGAGCCATGACATCTCCTCTAAATAGGATGATGTTATAGTATTTTAGGTTTATTAGTCTGATGCTGGTAAGCAGGCTAGATGGGCAAAGAAGAGGATAGTCGGGGAGATTCGGTAGGAGGCCTTAACTTGGATAAAAATAGTTCCTAAAATTTTTACACCTCTCTGATTTAGAAGATACCCACTAAGCCTACAAGAGAGGTTACCACAAGCCTTGTAGGAAGGTAGAGAAGATATTAATATTTTAGGAGATATTAATATTCTTATTTTACATGAGAACTGTGATTCAATCTGAATTAGCCCAAGGTGATATAGCTGGTAAATGGTACATGGTAAACGGTGTCACTGGAACTCATACCTACTTTTTTTCTTAACTTCTGTGGATGATTACTTTTATGTGTCAACCTGACTGGACTAAAGGATGCCCAGATGGCTGGTAAAACATTATTTCTGGATATATTTGTGGGGGTGTCTCTGCACGAGATTAACATTTGAATCTGTAGAGTGAGTAGAGGATCACCCTCATCAATACATGTGGGCATCACCCAAACTGCTGAGGGTCTGAATAGAACAAAAGGGCAGAGGAAGGGCAAATGTGCTTCTGTTTCAGCTGGGACATCCATCTTCTCCCGCTGCTGTGGTTTTCAAGCCCTCAGACTCGGACTGGGAGACTGGGATTTACACCACTGCCCACCTTCCCTCAGTTCTCAAGAAAGAACAGATTAAACCACTGGCTTTCCTGCAGTGATAGGTGTCTCTCTCTCTCTCTCAAGAAAGAACTGATTAAACCACTGGCTTTCCTGCAGTGATAGGTCTCTCTCTCTCTCTCTCTCTCTCTCTCTCTCTCTCTCATTCTGTTTCTCTGAAGAGCCCTAACTAATACAACTTCTAAGCCCAGTATTCCTGCCATTAAGAAAAAGACATTTCAAACATTAAAACTGAGGAAGCTATGCAACTTTATAAGATATGTGTATCAGCATAATGTAGTGGAAAGAGCCCTGGCCCAGATATCAGGAATTTAAATCCTAGTCCCCAGGCTAAGGCAACCAGTGTGGCCTTCAATAGAAACATTCTTCTGTGGTCAGCTTCCTTTTCCTCATCTGTCACAGGGCAGTTGTGCTCAAGTTCATTCTGGCTCACTCGTCTTGGAATTTATGTGTCATCGGCTAGAAGTTTCAATGACCCAGTGAAGCTGGCATCATGGCAGCACAAACAAAAAACAACGAAAAACTGGAGGAGATGGTTCATTTTTGGGCCAAGGGTGATGAGTTCAGGTTTGCACATTAGGAAAAAGCTAAAGGGTGTGGTAGACAGAATCATGGCCCCTTAAAGATGACCACAACCTCATCCCCCAAATCTGGGACTATGTCGCCTTATGTGGCAAAAGAAACTTTGTAGATGTGGTTGATTTAAGGATTTTGAGATGGGGAGATTATCCTAAATTATATTATGGGTGGGTCCTCATAAGAAAAAATAGAAAGGCAAGTCAGAGTTAGAAAAGGAGATGCAGAGGCAGAAGCAGAGGTTGGGTGAAGCAATTCCCCTCTTTGAAGATGGAAGTGGAGCAGAAGCTAAGGAATGCAGACTATAAAACCGAGAAAAGGCAGGAAAATGGATTTCTCTCCTAGAGCCTCCAGAAGGAACACAGCTCTGCTGGCACCTTGGTTTTATTTTATTTAGTTTTTGAGACATCTCACTCTGTCACGCAGGCTGGACTGTAGTAGTGTGATCATAGCTCACTGCAGCCTTGAACTCCTGGGCTCAAGAGATCCTCCCACCTCAGCCTCCATAGTAGCAGGGACTACAGTTTTTGTAGAGATGGGGTCTTGATGTATTTGCCAGAGTTGGTCTCTAACTCCTGGGCTCAAGAGATCCTCCTGCCTCAGCCTCCCAAAGTGTTAGAATATGGGCGTGAGCCACTGTGCCCAGCCAACACCTTGATTTTAGCTCCGTAAGACCCCTCTTGGAGTTCTGGTCCTCCAAGACTGTCAGATGAACTTGTAATGTTCTGAGCCACCAAGCTTGTGGTACTTTGTTACAGCAGTCATAGAAAGCAAATAGCGGAAGTGACTAGGGAGGGAGGACGAGTATTTTTTGAGCCCTTTGTGTGCATCAGGCATTGAAGTCACAATAAACTGGTAGGGGTAACGGTGTGCTCATCATTTCATATATTAGGAAAATAAACCTAAGAGCAGAAGTAACTTGCCCAAAGTGACATAGTCAGGAATTGAGACTGGGGGCTGTGTGCGTGCTTATGCATCATGCATATGCTGTGCTGAAAGGCAAAAGCCCACAAGAAGCCTACGCAGCGACATCATCACACAATGCTGGAAAACCAGGAAAAAATGTGTATGTGTACAAATCAATGGACCAGGGAGTTGGCAATGGGGAAGACCTTCAAGTGAATGGCCAGGACCAACTGTGTATCAGTAGCAGGTGCTTTTTCCACGTGCTATTTCATGAAACACTCACAAAACACCCTGCAAGGTAAATTTTATTCTGCTTCTTTTTATGGTTAACAAAGGGAGGCTTCAATTAAGAAAGCACCTTGCCCCAAATACTATAGCTAGTTAATGCCGGAGCTAAGATTTAAATATAGAGCCTGCCTCCTGTGATTAAGAAAAACAAAACATTTTTATTTTAAAAAAGGAAGACCCAGAGAAGGGCATAATTTAACCATCACTTGGCAGTATATGACCCCACCACACAGAAAGGATCAAAGTTAGCTTTGTGGCATGAATGTTTATATAATTATTTGTTCTCCAGGTGTTTAGCTCAGTCCTGGACATATTATAGGCACCCAATGGATACTTGTGTAGTGAAATCTGACAGTGGGACAGAGGCGCTTCTGTGTAAGGTTAACTAAAAAGGCTGAAACCCTTAAAGTCTAGATGATGAAGGCTGAGATCTGATGGGGCTCAAGTATAACAAAGTCCATTCTCTCTTTGAAGCATTTCAGCAGGATGAATGAATCACCAGTCTCCTCCCTTTCTCCCCTTCCTGACTGCCCAAAGCACATACCCATAACACCGTGCCCTTGGGCCCTTAGCACTTTACTTCACCCTGCTGTCTTGACTGTAGGGGCTCCCACTGCCTCCAGCATCAAGCATAACTTTCTAGGGTGCCCTAGCCTTCTCCCTACCTGCATCTTCCCTCTCTAGCCTCATCCCTTGTCCATGCAAATCTTTGTCTCCGGTCAGCCTGATGCCCTGATGGGAGCCCGTGGAATCCTTATCTCACACCCATCCCTCCCCTTGCCTACATCTCTGTCCAGAGCTCCAGCATTTTGGTGAACTCGCCCCGCACCCCGTAATGCCTTCTTTAACTCTTCCTGCTCCTCTCCCTAATTATTTTGTTACTATTGCCAGTGCCACTCCATTTGCACTTAGAATAAAATAAAAATTCCTTAGCACAATTGGAATGCCTCTTTCTTCCATCTCAGTCTCCCTTGGATCCCCTCTCCTTTTTGCCTATGATGTCACATACTGGCCTCCCTCAGGTCGAGGAGCTCACAGCTCAGGCCCTGACATGGGTATTTTTCTGCATTTGGACCCTGCCATCACCAAAAATAGTCCCTCCTATTTCAATTACAGCTTAAATGTCACCTTAGAGTTGGCTTCCTGATTCCTCATGTTTCAGTAGATCCCATTTTGTTTAAACCTCTTGGTTTTTAAAAAACCTTTTATAAATGCTTTCTTGTTTTCATCTTTATAATTATTCATTTGTATGTTTAGTTGATCACTATCTGCCACTTCCGCTAGAGTCAGCTCCATGTACAATGTGTTTTGTTTTCAGCACCTAGCATGATGCCTGACATGTAGTAGGTGCTTACATACTTGTTCACAAATGAATCTCTTATGTTAAACTCTCTAATCACTAATTGTTCTGTAAATCTGAGCGTCACTTCATGACTTATCTATAATGCTATTTTGTTGACTCATATTGGTGGGCGTCTATTTCATGTCTTCAATAGGACTGTACATTGCAGAAATGATCTCTTATATTTCTTTGTACCAAAAGAAGTTAGATGCAAAGAATCAATGAAGTTAGACTTAATTTGGTGTCTGTCACATTCTGAATTACTATAACCAGGATACGTGTCTAAACTTGAAGGAGACATCACAGTGGGGTTTCATGTTACTTAGGGTCCTGGTAGTATTGGTTGGGATCTAAGGTCTGCACTGAGCCTAAGAACTGTGTATACCCCAAATTTTCTTTGCACTGGAGACATCATATCACTTGGCCAAAAGGCCAACTGAGCCAGCATCAGATACAATCTTGTATCTTTGGTTGAGGACCAGAGAAAAGACTTGGCTTGAATTGGGAGGGCATGTGGGAAGACAAACACAAGGCTTTAAGTCCTAGAATCCCACTTTGTCTGGGAAGACAATCATATTAGGAACTAAGGAACAGAGGTCTACAGTGTTCTATTTCCCATCTCACACTCAATCTGGGGACATGTGCTCTATGCTCATTCTCGGAAGTGGCCTGTATGATTTGATTTGCTATTGCTTGATCTTCATTTTCTTTTTTTTTTTTTTTTTTTGAGACAAGGTTTCACTCTGTTGTCCAGGCTGGAGTGCAGTGGTGCAATCACAGCTCACTGAAGCCTCGACCTCCTGGGCTCAAGTGATCCTCCCACCTCAGCCCCCCAAGTAGCTGGGACTATGAGTGCATACCACCATGCCAGGCTAATTTTAATATTTGTTTTTTCAAAGACAGAGTCTTGCTATGTTGCCCAGGCTAGTTTCCAACTCCTGGTTTCAAGAGATCCTTCCGCCTTGGCCTCCCAAAGTGTTCGGATTACAGGCGTGAGCCACTGCACCTGGCGATCCTTATTTTCTTTTGGTTGGGCATGATTAGTTGACTCCACACACGGTAAGTGTACGTATGATAAAGTTACACTGTACTCTGCTCTTTGGGGAGTAAATACATGAAGCTTTTTATCCTTACTTAGACAATACAGTGGATAAAAATATAAAGAAGCTCAAGAAGGGTTTAAATCAATTCACAGATGTCGGAGTTATAACTAGTTTTTAAGAGACAAAAAACTTCACAAAATACTCCTCAGTGATGTTGCTGTTAGAGAATACAGATGTACCTACCCCCGCCGATTCTTACCGATCTCTGTGACACTACATATGGGTGCATATTCCCTGCGACCTCCCCAAACTTCCCCCCAAACATTTATTATCTTTCTCCCATCCTTGTTCCTACTCACAGCATTTCTCTCCACCATTACCACCACCCTACAGGTAATCACTTTGTTTCTTAGGTCTCTTTCCAGAGTTGCTTTATGCAAATACAAACAAATAAGAAAAGATAACCTTATCTCTTCCCCTTTCTTACAGAAAATGCAGCATGTTCTATTGTTTTGCACTTTGAGTTTTGTTTAACAAAGCATCCTGCAACTCTTTGTATATCATTAAAAAGAAAACTATCATTTTTCAACATCACTGCACCATATTCTGTTGTGTGGATGTACCATAATTTATTTAACTAGTTGCCCTTTGGGTGGACATGTGGGTTTTTTCCTTCCATTCTTTCTCTCAATTGTAAGCAATGCTACATGAATAAACTTGTACACACATACTTTCTGACATCTATGTATTTATCTGTAAGATAAAGTCCCATAAAAGGGATGGCTGTCTCAAAGGGTACCTGCATTTGAAATTTTGGTAAGTAGTGCCAAATTCCCTTTCATAAAGATTTTACCATTTTGTACCACCAGCAACAAAGTATGAGAGTGCTTGCTAACACTTCAATTCTTAACGTCGAATACAGAAATGTAGCTTCCAGGGATAATGGGTTCTATGAGCTTACTCCTCAGCACTCAAAGAAGTCCTGTTTCTATAGAAGTCAATAAGATACAAGGCACAGAATTGATGAGGATGACATCCACCTACTCTTTTGAAGCTTTATGTAGGCTCAAACTAGGAAAATCTTACGAAAAATGTATAAGACAGCCTCTTTGTAATGCTTTTGCTGAGGCCTATCCCCATATTGGAATTGAGGTGTTCTGTTTCCTAGCTGCATACCAGCATTGTAATAGGGTCCCTACTCTGACTAACACAGTAACACTAATTTCATTTGGAAGTGCCAGTAGCTGCCTGGCCCAGGACAATGGCAGGGTAAGTAGCAGGCTTTGGAATTACACCTGCCTGGATTCTAATCTATGGCTCCCCTTACCCATGTGACTCTGGGTAACTCATTTGGCAGACTCGAGTCTGTTTTCTAGACCATTAAAATGGGAATACTAATCCTCATGCGTTTTTGGACTGCCATATAATTAAAAGGAGTCACGTATGGGAGACTGTTTAGTACATAATAGCATTCAACACTAACTTTCCTTTGTGCCTTTCTGAAAATAGAGAATTGGGAAGAAAAACCCCAAAGGGCTTCTAAACATTTAAAATTTATGTCACAATTTCTGTATGTTAAAGCTTTTTAACTTTACTCATAGAAGAGGCTCTAAAAATCTATTTAGTATTATTTTACATGTAACTCCAACATGCTTTGTTATTTGGCTTCTCTGTCTATATTAAAGTGTAAATACAGGGGCCAAAGTTGTTAATTAACTGAATAAACAAAGAAAGCAGAGATTAAAAAATACTGTTAGAAAAAACCACCACTGCTACCACCACCACCACCAACCTCAACAACAGTTGGTGCTTAGCAGGCCGGCACAGGCACATAAATAGTTAGAGCCTCTTAGCATAAGGCCACTTCAAGGTCAAGTTGTCAAGAAAAGGTCAACTTTCTGCCTGATGTGCAGAGCACAAGCCAATGGGCAATGCATTTCTTTCACTTTCCCCCCACTTTAAAGTTTTGAGGTATCTCCGTAATGATTGAATTTTATGGAGATTTACATCATAAAATGTAAAATACATTTTTTTTGGCACTTAAAGGTGAAATTTCAGTTATCTGGAAAATTAATTTGCACTAATTTAATCAATACTTATAGAGTGCCCACTATGTGTTCAGCATTGTGCTAAGTGCTGGCTTACTTGGAACAAAAATCACCCCCAAAATTCTAGGTAAAAGTGTGCCATCCAAAGCACAGTCCAGATTTATGTTAACTTTTCAGTGAGTCTTCATGAGAGGTTTATTATCATTGTAACTGATTTTAGAGCCTTCTGGGTTCCATAATGTATCCTTCTTCCAAAGAAAGTAGAAGGACAAAATTGTTGAAACAGCAAATGTAAAGTTGAAGTCACTTGACAGTCTGAGAATCTTACATATCTACTTGAAACTTCAATTGTAATAAACACTTTTGACTCATAAGCTCATTTGTCAGCCTTATATAGCGAGTGTAATTTACTTAGCTAATTTCACTAGTTTATGTTCTTTCAGGGCACACAGAAATAGGAATCATAAATACACCATTACTGCCCGCTTTTGTATCTCATTTCACAGCCTCGTAGCTTAAATAGAGAAAATATATTTGAAAGCACAAATTAATTGCACCTATTTTCTAGAAGTATTTCAAAATGCTTTCTTTTATTAGAGATACCAAATACACTCAGCGATAGAATTTAAGTAGAAACATGTCAGTATTATGCAAACATAATAATAACAACAGTAATAATAATAGCAGTTACTCTCTAGTGCTTAGCTGCCTATCAGGTATCATATTGAGATCCTTGAAAGGATTACCACCTTTACTCTGCCCAGCAACTTTTCAGAAAAGTCACTGTTGTTATTTCTATTATATCAAGGTGAAAACTGAGATTTGAAGAGGTAATCTTGCTCACATTATTCATGTTACTATTTTAGTGAAATTGGGGTTCATACCTGGGCAATCCTACTCTATATTTATGCCATGTAAGGTGTTATTCATTCAAATTCAGCAAAGAAACAGAATCCCATCTATATGCAGAAATAATCTTTACCTGCTGGCCTTAAGTTTTACTACCATAGGGAGTATGAGGCTTACATATGAGTATGAGTTTTACATACCATAGGGAGTATGAGGCTTAAATCATAGCATGAAATACATGGATACAGTTATATGGCTGGTTTCTAAAAGTTGATTTTGGAATCACTCCCCTCTTCCCAATGTATGGGAGTAAAAATTCACTATTAGTAATTTTTCTAAAGTCTTCAGAGATTTCACACTGGCATATATACTCATGAAAAGCTGTGTCCTAAAATGTAGTATCCCCATCTACCCTGCCACTCCCAAAACTCATAGGTGCCATAGTATTCAATAGTATCAAAGTAACTATTGAAGTTGTCAAACGCACCTTTCTGCCATAGAACCTCCAGCCATATAAATATTACCTAATTTGTACTCTTAACATTCTAAAGACAGTTATTGGCATTATTAGAAGACTTTAGTGAAGGGAGAAGTAGACAGAATCACAAAAATGAGTTCAAAAATCTAGGGAAGTCAATGAGAAAATTCAGGGATTTTTTTCCCCCTCATTCTTTTTTTAACTGTAAAATGTTCATTTCATCTGATCAGGAACAACTGTAACCATGTAGCTTGCCCTATTTTGGCTATCTGGCTTCAAAAATACTTTCACTGGAAGATCATTGTAATTCAAATCCATTCAGTGCTGTTTCACTTTTGTAATTTGTTAGCTAAGTTTAAGTAGTGTATCCTGCACCTACTTTAATGATATAGCACATTGATAACATTTTTTTCCTTATTTAAAGCAATGTTTACCCACAGCGCCTTAGCACCAAAAAAATTCTAAAAGGCACTCCTTACACATTTAAATAACCTGAACAAATAATTGATACAGGTTAAGCCCTGGCTAGTTCTGCATTTTCCAAATTAAGATCACAGAATTTAAAAATTGCATATTAAAAAAAAAGTTGGTAGAATATATTTCCATAGGGCAGAAAATATATTCAAGGTCACAATATGCCCATTCATTCCTTGCTCCAACATGTAAGACCCAACCAGGCTGATTTCCAATTGAATTTTGCCTGAAGCTTTTTTAAGGTAATGATGGAAACTTTATTACAAAAGGTGGTTAAGTTGTCAGTGACAGGAAAATCAGGAGGTCAACAGAGGTAAGAGGAGAGGTGTCTAAATGGAAGTGAGAATCAGTAACTTGATTGTGAAAATCTGACTTATGTAATTTTTAAAGACCCTCAAAATAAGAGAAGAATAAGAGAAATTTAAAAGAAAATAGAAACAGCCAAAGAGGTGAGACATAGACATTTTGATTGGGGGGGGGTGTTGTCTAACTACACAATGAGGTCATCCCATCTCCCGGAAGTGACACGTAATCACCTGCTTTGCACTAGCTCCGCCCCTTCCCTCAGAGGTCCCGCCCCTCCACCAGCAGCCGGGAGGGTGTTAGGGGGCGTTTCTCCAGGAGGAAAGCTGTGAGCTGCGACGCTGAGGAAGGGGACCCCAAAACGTCTGGCACTGCCCCCTCCAGGGATCACTTTGGACCGCCTCACTCGGGCCAGCCGGATTCTGAAACGCCGAGGGGTCAACCTGATGGGTTTCGGGGTCAACGGAAGAGGGGAAGGGGAGCCCTGGCGGGGAGAACCCCCCGGTCCCCCGCCCAGCAGCTGAGGCACAGGAGGGCGGCCATCTTGGCCGGGAGGGTAGGGCTGGGGAGCTGCGGGCGCCGTGCGATTGGGGGGC